>NC_000003.12:113402543-113705574 GCF_000001405.40 Homo sapiens
GACTTTGAGAAAGGAACTCTGGGAAGACTGTCCCATAGATTAGCCTGGTTGGGGGAAGAGGGAAATATCTGAGGGTCAGGGTTAGGGTTAAGGATCAAACTAGGATCAGACTAACCCCTGGGAGTTGGGCTAGGTTTTTTCTATGGGGTAAGAGGTAAAGATTTACTGTGTGAAGGACTGAAAAGACAAGGACAGACTCTGAAAAGAGAAGCAAGCTTAGGAAATACTGGTGTCCATGAAGGGATCCTCTGTGAAATATTTAACTTCTTTTCTCCTGAGGTTTTCTCCCACTTGGTATTTAGACATTTTGGGGTAACGTATATCTTGGAAAGATAGCAAATATATCATATGACAAAATAAAGGACACAAAAGATTCTCAGAGAAATGTGTGAAATCTAACAAGATTAAATTTAATATTGTAAATGTAAAAAACATACACTGGGGCTCAAAAAGCCAGTGGTAAGAGGACCCACTGTGGGAGATATGGGTTAAACAATATTAAACACAGTAAGCTCAATCGGTGGCAACAGAGTGACCAGACTCTTAAAAAAGAAAAAAAAAAGAATCTTACTTTTGATAACATTTCTTAAAGAATGTCAATAGAACACTGCCACTTTCTTATGAAAGGCCCCACTGAAAATATCTACCAAGAGGACTACAAGGCAAATCACAAGGCTACAGGTTGACCAGCCACAGCACAATACTCATTAACAGAAAGTGCTACACAGAGTGGGTGGAAGAAGTGTGACAATAGCAATCAAGGGGACTTAGATGCTGGAGCAATGTTCCAGCTTAGCCCAGGCTTTGGGCAAGAGAGTGTCCCCAAGAGAAAGCAAGTGAGGTCCCTAGCATAAGGAGCAAGAAGAATGTAGCATCCATAGGCAAACTCCATCAGTTCACCTCTGGGTGTATTTCTAAGTGGTAACCTCAGTAAAAAATAACTAACAAATGTTCAGCACCTTTGTTCCTACAAAATGGCCCATTCATATGGAGCCTTTTGGAAGGATATGTGGGTCTACTGTTCATCTTGTGCTAACATGAGTTTTCATCTTCTGAAGCTATTATTTCAACAGAATCAGAATAACAAGAGGCCCTCTCAAAAAGTTTCAGTGGTAAAATGCAGTAAATTAATTTTGACAAGAATGCAAATATTTACCACAAGAGAAGCATTATTTAAAGTGAGTTGGCCTTGGGAGTAAATGACTACTGATCTCCTTCACAAAATAACCTTTATGAGAAATAAAACCCTTTGGGTGAGCTACAAGTCTTAAACGTGGGTGCTACCATCCAAGTATCGAGAAAACTTACCCTAACATATCCATCTGACCCAACAGTGATAACTTCACCCTCATACAGCATTATCTGGTTAATGGGACCATTGTGACATGACTTGCTTGTCCCTCGACAGAGCTCCACTTTGATCAGACCACCTTCCCAAAGCAGCATGTTGCCCCATTCTGACCCTGAGAGCACCTGGCAGGTATGTGGAAAAAAGAAATGTGCATTAAAACAGGTAAGTGTACATATTTATGCCTCAAATAGTAGGTGAAAATTATTTTTTAAGGTTATCTTTATTGATTATAAAATTTTTAAATGGAAAAATAAAAAAATACAGAAATGAAGACCTACTACCCCAGACACAACTACCAATAACATTTTGATGTATTTCCTTCCAGCAATATGATCAGTTTTACATCTTTTTGATTAGGCTGTATGTTGTTGGTAATTGTTCATGTATGTATACAATAGACTTCTTGGTACATCTCTTAGGACAAAAGACAGGAGTGGAATTAGATGAGAGTCTACTTTTTAAATGTAATACTATCAAATTTTAGATGTTAGATAACTTGTAAGGCCAGTACTGAATTAAGTAGATTATAGCATAATAGTATCCAATTTCAAACAAGGATAATCATCTAAAACTTTTCTCAAATTAGCCTGTTTAATCTGGCATTTTCCCAAGTGCATGCCACCAAACATTAGTTGTTAAGATATTTAACAAGTGTCACAAATAAAGTAATATTTATTGAGTACTGACTCTGTACCAAGCACTGGTTCAGTACTTTATATATGTTAAGTTATTTAATGCAAAAAACCATATGAACTAGGTACATTTATCAGGGATACCATGTACACTTGTGCATGTTGGTTACCTCATTCTCCTAGAACAAACAGCTTTTTCTGACCCCCGCAAAGGAACCATATGGGCCAATGATAGCCCTGACTATTATTATCCCCATTTTACAGAGGAGAACATTGAAGCACAAAACAGTTAAGTAACTTGCCCAAAACTACCCAGTCAGCATTCTAATCCAAGCAAGGTGGCTCAAAACCTCCTATTCTGACTGCACAGCCTCAGAAGGCTGTTGCTAGGATAAACAAAGTCAAACAACTTTATTTTCTCTAGGACCCCTGGGAACTTTTAATAGAGAAGTATTTGCTGGGAATCACCAAGAGGAATTTTTAGATACAAAGGAATTTGACTTAAAAAGTCTTATTTTTATGGAGCTTCTGTACAGACTGATGTTCCATAAAAATGCACTTTGGGAAACTCTATTCTAATTTTTACCTGCATGCTCTAGAGGTCTACATTTCCATTTCCCCCTTATCTAGAGAAACTGATGATTTTATTCAGTCCTTTATCTCTTGGGTCTACCTATTTTTTAACAACCCTACCGACTTTACTGATTCTGTTCTTAAGCCTCAGCCATTTATGGTAGAGTCTTTAGACTTATTTTCTTCTGTCCAGTGATGAAAGCCAGCAGTGATGACAAAAACCTACAAAGCATTCCTTTATGAAATGTGACTCATATCTAGCTTCCCTTTTCCATTTGTTCTGAGAAGTCTAGGCCCTTGATCATCTCTTTTTAGATGACAGCAACAGCTTCTGTTCTAGCTCATTTCCTTGACTCCAGATTTCCCTTCTAATCAACCTGGCATTTTATGGCCAAATTTGTTTATTACTTCTTTCATTTGCAAGTCTACTCTTCCCATGTAGAGTAGTTCTGCCTACCTATTAAACTCCTTGTACACTAGGACCAAGTCATACTTCTCCACTGAAATTCTCCACTTTTTGCCAACATAAATGGTTAATTCCAATTTGCCCTCTAAAAATTTGATATTTATTTCTAATGCTAAACATTTCCTTCAGTTGCTCTATCATTTAAAATGGCTTATTTCTTCCCTATATCTATACAAATTCTACCAACCCTTTAAAAAATATATCTCATACCAGGTTTTTAACAAGGATTCTATTGATCTTTATCTTAGCTTAATTCTTACAGTATTGAGAATTTGAAGCTGGGATGATTTAAGATCATCTCATGGATTTAGACATATAGTTTCGCCAGCATCCAAGGCTTTTTACTTCCTCCTATATACCATGCTTTTGAATTGAGAATATTCAGTCAGGTAGATGACTAGACAACTTGGTTCCTTAAATATTTGTGTGCTGGCATTTACTTACAACTGAGATTATCACAAATAATAATGTATAACTCATTCTAATAGGAAGCTATGTAAAATATTGATAGAGAACTAATCCTAATTAACTATTGTTTCAGGCAATATGCCTATAAATTTTATAAGAGAAAGAAAGGAAAGAAACTAACAATATTAAAGAATAAATTAACAGATTACAGTTGCAGTGTTGCAGATGCCTCTATAAAGTGGTTTGCTCTTTCTGAGTAATAATCTGACAATAAAAATAAATGCCACATGGTTGTATATAACCTTTGACCCAATAAGTCTTCTTGGATCACGATAGCAAGACAAAATGGGGAAAAGTAAGTAACATAAATACTGCAACTCTGTGACATAACTGAAAGTAACAAATATTTGGGAGGCCGAGGTGGGCGGATCACGAGGTCAGGAGATCAAGACCATCCTGGCTAACACGGTGAAACCCCGTCTCTACTAAAAATACAAAAAATTAGCCAGGCATGGTGGCAGGCGCCTGTAGTCCCAGCTACTCGGGAGGCTGAGGCAGGAGAATGGCGTGAACCCGGGAGGCAGAGCTTGCAGTGAGCGGAGATCGCGCCACTGCACTCCAGCCTGGGCAACAGAGCGAGACCCTGTCTCAAAAAAAAAAAAAAAGTAACAAATATGTCATTATGTTAATATATGAAAATGCTCACATACTTTATATGTGTGTACCATATTTAGTAAAAAGAAAATAGAAAATGGTAGGTAAGTATGGATTATGACAATTTCAGGGAAATATTTTAATTACAATTGATAATTGAAGAAGTAAAATTAAATGTTCATTACATTTACAATAATATCTGTTATTGGCAGAGCTTGTTAGAATTTTCATATATGTGTGCTTTCATATATGTACTTGAAAACACAATTTTAATATTGTAGAATAGTAGCTGTACTCACCTTCCCATCTGGGAGCTCCATGTAGCCTTCTATATCAGTAGTGATTGTTTTGCCAAATCGACCTAGTGATCCCTGCAGCTTGAGACCGGTGAACGTAAAAGCCATTTCCCAGAACCTACAAACAAGAAAGAGACTGAATGTACCTCAAAGATATTTTATTGATTTTTATTTTAATATGACCCAAACATTTACATATTTCATAGTTGCATATATTATTTCATTCATTCATTCATTTATCTGATTAAGATTTATTAAGTATCTACTACCTGCCCGGCAAGGTTGTAGGCAATGTGAATTCTGCAATGATCAAAACAGGCGAAAAATAAAATTTCCTGCTTTCATGCATCTTATATTTTAGGGCTGTGCTACCTAATGCAGTACCCTCCAGCTATGTGTGACTATTTAAATTTAGATTTAAAGTAATTAACATTAAATAAAATCAACATTTTAGTGTTTCAGTCACACTAGCCAATTTCAAGTGCTCAGTAACTACATGTGGCTGGCAGCTATTGTATTAGACAGCATAGAACATTCCCAGTCTGTCAGAAAGTTCTATTAGACAGTATTGTTTTAGAAGACATAAAAGTTTTCCAAAGAATTCTAATTTACTAGCTGTGTGACTTTGAGCACTTTTCTAGATCACCCTGTGCCTTCATTTTCTCAGGTATAAAATGAGAAAATTAGTAACATCTACCTCATAGAATTGTTGAAAAATTCTTAGAACAGTGCCTATCATATCAAAGCAATCAATAAATGTTATTACTAACATTTTCTTATTAATAGTCTAAACAAATGGACAGGATGATGAAGACCATGTAGAAAAAGAAGACCTATCCAAGTAGATATAAAATAGATAATGGAGAGTATCAACAAGCCAATGATACAAAGCTAAAAGCCTAGATAGCCAACATCCTCTCCAAAGGAATGGTAGGTCCCCTGATGATATGCTTCCATATACTCTGGGTTCCTTCATAGCACTTCACACATGAAATTAACTGTTCAATGTCTGCCTTTTCCCCAAAGATATGGGGCATAGAAAATACAGATTTTACTAAATAATCAGAAAATATAAGAAATTGGAAAATTTTCACATATAGCTAGCAGAAGGTTATTTGACAATTCCCCAAAGATTACAATTAAAAATCTGCTCAATTAGTCTATATTTCTAATAAATGAATAACAAAAAGACCAGATTTAAATTGAGACAAGAGGAAGTCAGGATGGATAAAAATGTCTTTCTCTTAGAGACACTGATAATCAAGTTATGGGAAGCTCTGGGGTGGTAGAAGATTGTTACGCAAATGCATGAGACAAAGTGGAAGAAAGAGAGAGAAAGACAAGATCATTCCATCCCGGAAATAGACGAGGGTATGATATAATGAAAAGAGCATGGAGTTTGGAGCAAGACCTAAGATCAAGAGTAGGTTCTGCCACTGTTTCGTATTGAGTGTTCCTTGTCAGGAATGATAGTGTGATAATTCTTGTTTTACAGATGAAGACTGAGTTGCTACAAAAAAGAAATTCAGTAGTGGATGTGAAAGCTCAGTATGAATTTGGAAATACCATCCCAATGTTAGTTATTAAGACACTACATAAACTCTTTTAGGAGGTGGAGCCTATAAGAAGGCAGCAGGCTATATTTAAAAATCCTTATTTGGCTGGGCACAGTGGCTTACGCCTGCAATCCCAGCACTTTGGGAGGCTGAGGCGGGTGGATCACATGAGGTCAGGAGTTCGAGACCAGCCTGACCAACACGGAGAAACCCAACTCTACTAAAAATACAAAATTAGCCAAGCGTTGTGGTGGGTGCCTGTAGTCCCAGCTACTCAGGAGGCTGAGGCAGGAGAATCGCTTGAACCCAGGAGGCGGAGGTTGCAGTGAGCTGAGATCATGCCATTGCACTCCAGCCTGGGCAACAAAAGCGAAACTCCATTTCAAAAAAAAAAAAAAAAAAAGCCCTTATTTTATCTATGCTGTTTGCAGAAATAAAATCCCACATATCTAATTAGAAAAGGTGCATTACTAGTTAGCTTTTAAAATAACATATTTTTAAATAATTCTAATGTTAACCAAAACAGCAAAAAAAAAAAAAAAAAAAAAAAGTCTCCAGCTCTTAGATCCTCTTAGAAAAATACTCCTGTGATATCTACTGGCACCTCTATTGGTTACCCAACCTACTTGATGTGGCCTGATCCCGATGTAGTAAGCTGCTCTTCCTTATCAGGATTGAAAGTAACCTTAAAAACTTCCTGAGAAAAAGCTTTTGTCCTTAGTATGGGTTGTTCTTCTTTCCAGTTCCAGATAGTCAGTGTGTAGTCAGGGTTACTACCAACAGAGGCCAGCAAGTTACCGCTGTAGTTAAAGTCCACATAAGCATATCCCTTCTCAGTCCCATCTGGAAGGATAAATGGAAGCCTAATAAATAAGGACACATTTATTTCATTTTCAAAAACATATTGTAAAAAAAAGAGAGGGAGTCAGCCCATGGTGATGTAAGAATGCCAAGAATACCCTAAAGGAACAATTCCAAAAACATTCTCCATCTTTGGCTTTAGAATGAATTATGTTATATGAAAGGGGAGGGTAAAGAAGTCTTAATCACATATTGCATGAGAAAAACACTTTGAGAACATATTCCATTTTATGACTTGGGGAGAAACACAAACGCATATTAGATAGCAGTGTCAGAAACATTAAAACCAGAGTGACTCCATCTGGAATAGGAGCTGGGTAAAATGAGGCTGAGACCTACTGGGCTGCATTCCCAGGAGGTTGGGCTTTCTAACTCACCAGATCAGATAGGTGGTTGGCACAAGATACAGGTCAAAAGACCCAACTGATAAAACAGGATGTGGTAAATATGCTGGCCAAAACCCACCAGAATCAAGATGGTGATGAAAGCGACCTCTGGTCGTCCTCACTACTCATTATATGCTAATTATAATGCATTAATATGTTAAGGATACTCCCACCAGCACCATGACAGTTTATAAATACCATGGCCACATCAGTAAGTTACCTTATATGGCCTAAAAAGGGAGGAACCCTAAGTTCCAGGAATTGCCCACCCGTTTCCTGTCCGGAAACCTCATGAATAATCGACTCCTTGTTTAGCATATAATCAAGAATAACTATGAGTATTCTCAGCCAAGCAGCCCAAGCCACTGCTCTGCCTATGGAGTAGCCATTCTTTTATTCCTTTACTTTCTTAATAAACTTGTTTTCTTTTTTTTTTATTATACTTTAAGTTCTAGGGTACATGTGCACAACGTGCAGGTTTGTTACATATGTATACATGTGTCATGTTGGTGTGCTTCACCCATTAACTCAACATTTACATTAGGTATATCTCCTAATGCTATCCCTACCCCCTCTCCCACCCCACGACAGGCCCCGGTGTGTGATGTTCCCCTTCCTGTGTCCAAGTGTTCTCATTGGTCAATTCCCACCTATGAGTGAGAACATGCAGTGTTTGGTTTTTTGTCCTTGCAATAGTTTGCTCAGAATGATGGTTTCCAGCTTCACCCATGTCCCTGCAAAGGACATGAACTCATCCTTTTTTATGGCTGCATAGTATTCCATGGTTATATGTGCCACATTTTCTTAATCCCGTCTATCATTGATGGACATTTGGGTTGGTTCCAGGTCTTTGCTATTGTGAATAGTGCCACAATGAACATACATGTGCATGTGTCTTTATAGTAGCATGATTTATAATCCTTTGGGTATATACCCAGTAATGGGATGGCTGGGTCAAATGGTATTTCTAGTTGTAGATCCTTGAGGAATCACCACACTGTCTTCCACAATGGTTGAACTAATTTACACTCCCACCAGTAGTGTAAAAGCATTCCTATTTCTCCACATCCTCTCCAGCATCTGTTGTTTCCTGACTTTTTAATGATCACCATTCTAACTGGTGTGAGATGGTATCTCATTGTGGTTTTGATTTGCATTTCTCTGATGGCCAGTGATGATGAGCATTTTTTCATTTTGTCTGTTGGCTACATAAATGTCTTCTTTTGAGAAGTGTCTGTTCATATCCTTCACCCACTTTTTGATGGGGTTGTTTTTTTCTTGTAAATTTGTTTGAGTTCTTTGGAGATTCTGGATATTAGCCCTTTGTCAGATGAGTAGATTGCAAAAATTTTCTCCCATTCTGTAAGTTGCCTGTTCACTCTGATGGTAGTTTCTTTTGCTGTGCAGAAGCTCTTTAGTTTAATTAGATCCCATTTGTCAATTTTGGCTTTTGTTGCCATTGCTTTTGGTGTTTTACACATGAAGTCCTTGCCCATGCCTATTTCCTGAATGGTGTTGCCTAGGTTCTCTTCTAGGGTTTTTATGGTTTTAGGTCTAACAATTAAGTCTTTAATCCATCTTGAATTAATTTTTGTATAAGGTGTAAGGAAGGGATCCAGTTTCAGCTTTCTACATATGGCTAGCCAGTTTTCCCAGCACCATTTATTAAATAGGGAATCCTTTCCCCATTTCTTGTTTTTGTCAGGTTTGTCAAAGATCAGATGGTTGTAGATGTGTGGTATTATTTCTGAGGGCTCTGTTCTGCTCCATTGGTCTATATATCTGTTTTAGTACCAGTACCATGCTGTTTTGGTTACTGTAGCCTTGTAGTATAGTTTGAAGTTAGGTAGCATGATACCTCCAGCTTTGTTCTTTTGGCTTAGGATTGTCTTGGCAATGTGGCCTTTTGGTTCCATATGAACTTTAAGGTAGTTTTTTCCAATTCTATGAAGAAAGTCATTGGTAGCTTGATGGGGATGGCATTGAATCTATAAATTACCTTGGGCAGTATGGCCATGTTCATGATATTGATTCTTCCTATCCATGAGCATGGAATGTTCTTCCATTTGTTTGTGTCCTCTTTTAATTCATTGAGCAGTGGTTTGTAGTTCTCCTTGGAGAGGTCCTTCACATCCCTTGTAAGTTGGATTCCTAGGTATTTTATTCTCTTTGAAGCAATTGTGAATGGGAGTTCACTCATGATTTGGCTCTCTGTCTGTTATTGGTGTATAAGAATGCTTGTGATTTTTGCACACTGATTTTGTATCCTGAGACTTTGCTGAAGTTGCTTATCAGCTTAAGCTATTCATGACAAACCCACAGCCAATATCATATTGAATGGGCAAAAACTGGAAGCATTCCCTTTGAAAACTGGCACAAGACAGGGATGCCCTCTCTCACCACTCCTATTCAACACAGTGTTGGAAGTTCTGGCCGGGCAATCAGGCAAGAGAAAGAAATAAAAGGAATTCAATTAGGAAAAGAGGAACTCAAATTGTCCCTGTTTGCAGATGACATGGTTGTATATTAGAAAACCCCATCGTCTCAGCTTAATAAACTTGTTTTCATTTTACTCTATGGATTCACCTCAAATTATTTCTTGCACAAGGTCTAAGAACCCTCTCTTGGGGTCTGGATCGGGACCCCTTTTCCATGACAATTCCATTAAATATATCTCTTTTATTTCTTCTAAAAAAAAAAAGATACATGTGCAGAACGTGCAAGTTTGTTACATAGGTATATGTGTGCCATGGTGGTCTGCTGCACCTATTGACCTGTCCTCTAAGTTCCTTCCCCTCACCCCCACCCCCCAACAGGCCCTGGTGTGTGTTGTTCCCCTCTCTGTGTCCATGTGTTCTCAATCTTCAACTCCCATTTATGAGTCAGAACACACAGCATTTGGTTTTCTGTTCCTGTGTTAGTTTGCTGAGGATGATGGCTTCCAGCTTCATCCATGTCCCTGCAGAGGACATGATCTCATTCCTTTTTATGGCTACATAGTATTCCATGATGTATATGTACCACATTTTCTTCATCCAGTCTATCATTGATGGGCACTTGGGTTGGTTCCACGTCTTTGCTATTGTAAATAGTGTTGTAATAAACATACGTGTGCATGTCTCTTTACAGCAGAATGATTTATATTCCTTTGGGTATATAACCAGTAATGGTATTGCTGGGTCAAATGGCATTTCTGGTTGTAGATCCTTGAGGAATCGCCATACTGTCTTCAACAATGGTTGAATTAATTTACATTCCCACCAAAAGTGTAAAAGCATTCCTATTTCTCCAGAGCCTCGCCAGCATCTACTGTTTCCTGACTTTTTAATAATTGCCATTCTGACTGGCATGAGATGGTATCTCATTGTAGTTTTGATTTGCATTTCTCTGATGATCAGTGATGTTGAGCTTTTTTTCATATGCTTGTTGGCTGCATAGATGTATTCTTTTGAGAAGTATCTGTTCATATCCTTTGCCCACTTTTTGATGGAATTTTTTTTTCTTGTAAACATGTTTAAGTTCCTTGTAAATTCTGGATATTAGACCTTTGTCAGATGGGTAGATTGCAAAAATTTTCTCCCTCTCTGTAGGTTGCTTGTTCACTCTAATGATAGTTTATTTTGCTGTGCAGAAGCTCTTTAGTTTAATTAACTCTCTTTTGTCAATTTTGGCTTTTGTTGCAATTGCTTTTGGCTTTTTTGTCATGAAGTCTTTGCCCATGCCTATGTCCTGAATGGTATTGCCTAGGTTTTCTTCTAGGGTTTTTATGGTTTTGGATTTTACATTTAAGTCTTTAATCCATCTTGAGTTAATTTTTGTATAAGGTGTAAGGAAGAGGTCCAGTCTCAGTTTCCTGCATTTGACTAGCCACTTTTCCCAGCACCACTTACTGAATAGGAAATCCTTTCCCCGTTGCTTGTTTTTGTCAGGTTTGCCAAAGATCAGATGTGTGGTGTTATTTCTGAGGTCTCTGTTCTGCTCCATTGGTCTATATGTCTGTTTTGGTACCAGTACCATGCTGTTTTGTTTACTGTAGCCTTGTAGTATAGTTTGAAGTCAGGTAGTGTGATGCCTCCAGCTTTGTTCTTTTTGCTTAGGACTGTCTTGACTGTATGGGGTCTTCTTTGATTCCACGTGAAACTTAAAATCACTTTTTCTAATTCTGTGAAGAATGCTAATGGTAGTTTGATGGGAATAGCATTGAATCTATAAATTACTTTGGGCAGTATGGCCATTTTCACAACATTGATTCTTTCTATCCATGAGCATGAATGTTTTTCCGTTTGTTTGTGTCCTCTCTTACTTCCTTGAGCAGTGGTTTGTAGTTCTCCTTGAAGAGGTCCTTCACATCCCTTGTTAGTTGTATTCCTAGGTATTTTATTCTCTTTGTAGTGATTGTGAATGGAAGTTCATTCATGATTTGGCTCTCTGCTTGTCTATTGTTGATGTATAGGAATGCTTGTGATTTTTGCACATTGATTTTGTATCCTGAGACTTTGCTGAAGTTGCTTATCAGCTTAAGGAGATTTTGGGCTGAGATGATGGGGTTTTCTAAATATAAAGTCATGTCATCTGCAAACAGTGACAACTTGACTTCCTCTCTTCCTATTTGAATACGCTTCATTTCTTTCTCTTGCCTGATTTCCCTGTCCAGAACTTCCAATACTATGTTGAATAGGAGTGGTGAGAGAGGGCATCCTTGTCTTGTACCAGTTTTCAAAGAGAATGCTTCCAACTTTTGCCCATTCAATATGATATTGGCTGTGGGTTTGTCATAAATAGCACTTATTATTTTAAGATATATTCCATCAATACCTAGTTTATTGAGAGTTTTTGAAATGAAGGGATGTTAAATTTTGTTGAAGGCCTTTTCTGCATCTATTGAGATAATCATGTGGTTTTTGTCTTTGGTTCTGTTTATGTGATGGATTACGTTTATTGATCTGTGTATGTTGAACCAGCCTTGCATACCAGGGATGAAGGCGGCGTGATCATGGTGGATACGTTTTTCGATGTGCTGCTGGATTTGGTTTGCCAGTATTTTATTGAAGATTTTTGCATCGATGTTCATCAGGGATATTGGCCTGAGGTTTTCTTTTTTTTGTTATGTCTCTTTCCGGTTTTGGTATCAGGATGATGCTGGCTTCGTAAAATGAGTTAGGAAGGAGTCTCTCCTTTTCAAATGTCTGGAATAGTTTCAGAAGGAATGGTACCAGCTCCTCTTTGTATTTCTAGTAGAATTCTGCTGTGAATCTATCTGGTCCTGGAGTTTTTTTTGGTTGGTAGGCTATTAATTACTGCCTCAATTTCAGAGCATGTTATTGGTCTATTCAGGGATTCAACTTCTTTCTGGTTTAGCCTTGGTAGGGTGTATGCATCCAGGAATTTATCCATTTCTTCTAGATTTTCTAGTTTATTTGCATAGAGGTATCTATGGTATTCTCTGATGGTAGTCTGTATTTCTGTGGGTTCAGTGGTGATTTACCCTTTATTACTTTTTATTGCATCTATTTGATTCTTCTCTTCCTTCTTCCTTATTAGTCTAGCTAGTGGTGTACCTATGTTGTTAATTTTTTCAAAAAAACAGCTCCTGGATTCATTGATTTTTTTGGAGGGTTTTTCTGTCTCTATCTCCTTCTGTTCTTCTCTGATCTTAGTTATTTCTTATCTTCTGCTACCTTTTGGATTCATTTGCTCTTGCCTCTCTAGTTCATTTAATTGTGATGTTAGGGTGTCAATCTGAGATCTTTCTGGCTTTTTGATGTGGGTATTTAGTGCTATAAAATTCCCTCTTAACACTGCTTTAGCTGTGTCCTAGAGATTCTGGTATATCCTCTCTTTGTTCTCATTGGTTTCAAAGAACTTCTTGATTTCTGCCTTAATTTCATTATTTACACAGGAGTCATTCAGGAGCAGGTTGTTCAATTTCCATGAAGTTGTGTGGTTTTTAGTGAGTTTCTTAATCCTGAGTTCTAATTTGATTGCACTGTGGTCTGAGAGACTGTTATGATTTCAACTCTTATGCATTTGCTGAGGAGTGTTTTACTTCCAATTATGTGGTCGATTTTAGTATAAGTATCATGTGGCACTGAGAAGAATGTATATTCTGTAGATTTGGAGTAGGGGAGAGCTCTGTAGAGGTCTATCAGGTCCACTTGATCCAGAGTTGAGTTCAAGTCCTGAATATCCTTGTTAATTTTCTGTCTCATTGATTTAATATTGACAGTGGGGTGTTAAATTCTCCCACTACTATTGTGTGGGAGTCTAAGTCTCTTAGTAGGTCTCTAAGAACTTGTTTTATGAATCGGGGTGCTCTGTATTGGATGTATACATATTCAGAATAGTTAGCTCTTCTTGAATTGTTCCTGTTACCATTATGTAATGCCCTTGTCTTTTTTGATTTGTGTTAGTTTAAAATCTGCTTTGTCAGAGACTAAGATTGCAACCCTTGGTGTTTTTTTGTTTTTTTTTCCTTTCCATTTACTTGGTAAATTTTCCTCCATTCCTTTGTTTTGAGCCTGTGTGTGTCTTTGCAGGTAAGATGGGTCTCCAGAATTACAGCACACCAATGGGTCTTGACTCCTTATCCAATTTGCCAGTCTGTGTCTTTTAATTGGGGCATTTAGCCCATTTACATTTAAGGTTAGTATTGTTGTGTGTGAATTTGAATAAATCTCTTTTCTGTCTTCCACTAGTTCTGTTTCTCTGGAGAACCTTGACTTATGAAATAATGTCACACCTTCTTCAGAATGTTGTTATCCTTGAACATGAAATATTTAAATATGCTTCTGGACTCACCTCGAAGGACTCTGTATGGTCTCAGAGAAGGATATTCATAGATGATAATATCTGGAAAACTCCCTTTTTCAGCTACTGTGAAATAAGTTTTATGTGGATGAACCTACAAAAGATAAAATTTCACCAAAATATTAAAAGAAAGATTTTTGTATAAATAGTCTGATTAATGCAGTATTTAGCATCCATTATTTCATAATTTATTAGGCTTTACTCTAATAGAAAACTCAAAAATGGGCATCAGATAAATATTTAATGATGGATACAATTGAAACTGAAAACTAGAAGAATACACATTTTAAATTTTACTTTAAGACAGCCATTTCTAACTCTACAATTTCTTTCATTGCCATTGGAAGAGCTAGAACAATGGTTCTCTATCTTCAATGTGCATCAGAATCCACTAAAGAACTTATTAAAATATAGATTGCAAGCCCTAACACCCAGAGTTTCTGACTTAATCTGTCAGGCTGGGACTCAAGAATTTGCATTTACATGTCTAATAAGGTAATTTCTAACTGCGTGATTTACATTCTAACAAGGTGATTTACATTTCTAACAAGGTGATGTTGATGCAGCTAGTTTGGAGACCTTGCTTTGAGAATCACTGAGATGAACTGTCTACCCTACATATAAATCAACCTAAATTTTGTATAGAAAAATTCATGGAATGTATGGGATTCTTGTTTCCAGACCAGGTTACATCACAATTTTTAAAATTTCACTGTGGAAAAAGTTACAAACGAATGTAAACTTACCAGAAGTAAGAAAGATATAATATTTCCAAACCAGACACAGAGGAAAATACAGTAAGTATGCCCTGGATAAACTATTTGTGTCAGTATTTTCAAAGATAGCCATATAAGTTGGATAAAATAGTATGGTCATTTCTGTTATTTTTGTCTATTGGTAAGCCAAATGTGTAGGAAGGGTAAATGGCCAGCCAAAAAATGAAAATAAAAATAAGCTGTTATAAGGATAAGCTATTTAAAACACATATTATGCTTATAAAATTCTGTTTTCAGATATTATTTCACATCCCCTGATTACATATAAGACAAAGAGCCTGGTTCTCAGATATAGATTGCTAATCCTGGTACCCAAGATAACATTATTTCCTTTAAATTTTATACCAACCTTGTGAGCTTGGATACCATTATTATCTCCATCTTATTGATGAGTAAACTGAGGCACAGAGTTCAAGTAACTTGCCTGCAGTCACACAGTCTACAATGTGTTAAGTGTAAGAGATAGGATTCAAGCCAAGTATCAGAGTCAAGAAGCAAACGGGCCTAAGAAATAGTAGATCTCAAGGAGGTGGGGGACATGGATTAAGACCATATCTATCTAGATTCCCATTTGTAAAGAAATATGGTGTAGAACATATGGTCAAAGAAATCTGGATGAAGATTCATGCAAATCCTTTACCCTTCTAGGTCTTGTCTACAGTAAATTAAAAAGTTTCTGCCTCATATTGGAAACTGCTGTGGGGTTGAGTTTGGGAGTTTTATTTATTTAATTATTTATTGAGACACAATTTATTTATTTATTTATTTATTTATTTATTGAGACACAATTTATTTATTGAGACTCTGTCACTCTGTCACCCAGGCTGGAGTGCAGTGGCATGATCTCTGCTGTCTGCAACCTCTGCCTCCCAGGCTCAAGCAATTCTCGTGCCTCAGCCTCCCAAGTAGCTGGGATTATAGGTGTGCACCACCACACCTGCTAATTTTTGTATTTTTAGTAGATACGGGGTTTTACCATGTTGGCCAGGCTTGTCTTGAACTCCTGGCCTCAAGTGATCCACCCACCTCAGCCTCCCAAAGTGCCATGATTACAGGCAGGAGCCACCGCGCCAAGCCAGGAGTTTTATTTTTGGTGAAGACCTGGAATTAGTAAATCATTTACTTTACACTCAACATAGAGGTTCACCCTACCTTTTCCAGGTAGGGTGCCCAAACACTTTTCTCATAGGTTTCTCATAGCCTTGCTAAAGTATTTCTGAACCATAACTGGATAACTGTTTCAGAAAAGATGAGGTAACACGGACAGTGGAGGCAAGGCCTCTGTCACTACCCAGGCTTCAACAGCTCCAGCACACATGAAGAAAAGGCCTTGTGGACATAAAACTGCTCAACATCCAGGTGGATGAGAGTTAGGATTAGCTTTTGTTTTTTTTGTTTTTTGGGTTTTTTTTTTGAGACAGAGTCTTGCCCTGTCGCCCAGGCTGAAGTGCAACGGCATGATCTCAGTTCACTGCAACCTCCACTTCCCAAGTTCAAGTGGTTCTCTGCCTCAGGCTCCTGAGTAGCCGGGATTACAGGCGCGTGCCACCATGCCTGGCTAATTTTTTGTATCTTTAGTAGAGACAGGGTTTCACCATGTTGGCCAGGCTGGTCTTGATCTCCTGACCTCGTGATCCACCCGCCTCAGCCTCCCAAAGTGCTGGGATTATAGGCATGAGCCACCGTGCTTGGCCAGGATTAGCATGCTTGACCACACTACACCTCTGACTACTGTCCTCAAACCAAATTATTTTATAACAAAATATTAAAATAGAAATTTTAAAACTATTACTGCCATAAAGTAATAGATAAATATGTGATAATTAGATGTTTCTTGGTCCCCTGCAGATGGTGTGGACCTCAGGGCTCCTGAAACCTCATAGGCTCCGACTGACTTCCCTCCACAAAATCCACGACCCTTACATTGGGCCCATGGCTATCTGCACACAGTTATTGCCACATTATCATGTACTTGTGTGTCTAGTTTTTTTTTCTTTTTACAAATATAGGTCTTGTCTCTTTAGATGGATTTTAAACTCTGAATTCATACAGGTCATGAGTTCTTCTTCATTTAAATTCCCCATTATATGTTCTGTGTAGTGTTGGATGCACAGTATTACATAATAAATTATTGCTGAACTTATTAATTAGTCTTATAACAAACTCTCCGAGGACATGGACTTTTATCATGTATACATACTATATATAGATAGATGATCAAGAAAGAAACAAACATGATAGTATCTTTCACTCCATATATCTCAACATATCCTGTTTCCATAGTCAATCTATGTCTACATCCTATGTGTGTGTCTCACATTTTCCTCACCTTCTCCATTCCCATGGCCATGTGCCTGCTTCAGTCTTCAGATTAAGATTCTTTAAAATCTCCTCACTCATCTCCACTTCTAATCTAAATATGAAAAACTTGCACGACTATGGGGAAGTCACCTAACCTCTATAAGCCCATTTCCTTATCTGCAAAAAGACATAATAATATTATAATAGTGCACAGAGGTAGTGACAGTGAATGAGTGTCTGTAATAACTGAATTGAAAATGCCTTGGAATAAAGACAGCTGTGCATCTCATGTGAACCCACAATACTGTGCATGGTGTTGGCATCTAACAACCATGTTGGCTGGTCCACAGAACAAGCAAAAAGATAGGGTTTTTTGGGGTTTTTTTCTAATTTATTGAAGGCATACCCCAATGACGCCAATTCCTTCACCACTGCTACTTCGCAGGTAGATCTGTTCCTTGGTTTTCAAATTCAGAAAGATCAGTTGGTTCCCAGCTATGTATATGGCGATACTGTCGTCCAGAAGTTGTAGGTTGGCTCGCTTTCTACAGTCATAACCAAAAGAATGTCTGAGGGAAAGTTGCTAAGGAAAAGAAGTGAAAAACACTACCATCCTAGGGATTGGAAAAGTGATGAAATAAATTTTTAAATCTATACTCTTAGATGAAGATGTGAGGTTGAAGTAGTTGAATTTTACCCTGAAACTCATGATTTTTCTACATATTACTAACAATTTTGTTTTTAAATTAGGTGAGAAAAAAAAGGCCTGGGCAGGAAAACAATAAACAAATAAATAAATAAATCAGGTGACTATCCCCATACTCTGATTTGGTTACTATTTTAATTTTCCTGGGGAAATCCTGAGAGCCCATTAATTGTTTTTGCAAAAATAAATAAGGTTAAACCTATTTGGGTACCACAGGCAGCAAAACTGTCACCTAAATAATTTTATTTTCCTCTCTCCCACTAAAACTAAATCATACTGTATAACATGGGAGAAAGTCTGTATCTTCATCACCTTTGTATTCACAATGCCTGTTAAGTTTGTTGACTAACCACAGTAAAAATATTACGTAGGCCTTTTCCTTGATGTTGAAAGACAAGATGCTTAAAATTCTAACAAACATGTTTGTAAAATTTTAACACACCATTTGATAACATGATTATAATAAATTCACATAAATATAACTAAAATTTAATTCATATCAACAAATTATGAAAATTGATTTATAGCATATAAATATATATGTAATTAATAGACTAACATTTCTTTTCTGAGCTTATTAGTATATGTATTGGTGTGTAGGTAACTAGTGTGTGTGTATATGTATGTGTTTGTGTGTATGTATGCTATAGAGTAAAATTGTACTAATTCAAAATAGAGTGGGACCTAACTCAACTAAAGAGTTTCTGTACTGCAAAATAAACCATCAACAGATTAAACAGACAACCTACAGAATGGGAGAAAATATTCCCAAACTATGCATCTGACAAAGGGCTAATATCCAAAATCTATAAGGAACTTAAAGAAATCAACAAGAAAAAAATAATCCCACTAAAAAGCAGGCAGAGGACTTCAATAGACACTTTTCAAAAGAAGACATGCAAGCGACCAACAAACATGAAAAACGCTCCACATCACTAATCATCAGTGAGATGCAAATCAAAACCACAATGAGATACCATCTCACACCAGTCAGAATGGCTATCATTAAAAAGTCAAAAAATGAGAGATGTTGGTGAGGCTACAGACAAAAGCGAATGCTTATATACTATCAGTGAGAATGTAAATCAGTTCAGCCACTGTGGAAAGCAGTTTGAAGATCTCTGAAAGAACTAAAAATAGAACTACCATTCAACCTAGTAATCCAATTACTGGGGATATACCCAAAGGAAAATCATTGTACCAAAAAGACACATGCACTCATATGTTTATCACAGCACTATTTATAACAGCAAAGACATGGAATCAACCTAGATACCCATCAGTGGTGCACTGGATAACGAAAATGTGGCATATATACACCATGAAATACTATACAGCCGTGAAAAGAATGAAATCATGTCCTTTGCATCAGCATGGATGCAGCAGGAGGCCATTATCCTAAGCAAATTAATGCAGAAACAGAAAACCAAATATTGCATGTTCTCACTTATAAGTGGGAGCTAAATCTTGAGTACACACAGACACAAAGACAGGAACGACAGACACTAGGGATTCCAAAGGGAGGGAGGGAGGGAGGGGGCACGGCTGAAAAACTTCCTATTGGGTACTATGTTCACTATGTGGGTGATGAGATCAACAGAAGCCCTAACCTCAGTATCACACAATATATCCTTAAAACAAACCTGCATGTGTACCCTCTGTATCTAAAATAAATATATTTTTTTAAAAAAGAGGTATAAAAATCTAAGTTATATAAAACATCTTTTAAATGTATATTGTTAGTATGTTTAAGTCAAAATTAATATGCCCAAAATATAAATATAATAAGCAAGTTAAATGAGCTCAATCTATGAAAAAAACTAGAGCTGACAAAAGAAGCATATCCTATAGTGTAGCTTAAGCAGATAGATTCTTTGTTCACAATAATTTGTTGCTGAACATCAGAGTTGAAGGATCATTGGAGGAATTTGTATTTCTTGAGCCCTTGTTTAAAAACAAATTCTGATTTTAGAGAATTCCACTTATTCATAAGTAAATAATAATTTTCAGAGAAAGAAATTATGGAAAGTTTTAACAAGAAGAAAATGTAGAATGTAAAAAGAGAAGATTTACATTAATGCAATTTAAATTGTGAAATATAAACAAATTATAACCAACCACAAGCAGCCTATCTCATTACCAAATGGTTAAACTGAAAGAGAGAGATAAAGCATTTCAGGGTACTGGATCTGTTCAAGAAAAAGAAATTTTATAAATTTAATAAACACATAAATGCCTAAAATTAAATCTTGTATAGAAATGTGAATGAATATGTGATCCAAAGATGTAAATGAAGCTATTCAAGCCTCCTGGAGGAAGTTTTGCCCACCGGTTTTTTTCTTTCCTTCAAACCACTGCTCTCACATCCCCTTCTTCCCTTTCTTTCTTTCCCTCTTCCCAGGTGGCAATATGATACCTCAGAAGGCTAAAGCATGTTAGTAGCTATGAGAATAGAAATTGGTTACCATCTCTTCACTACTTTAGATGAAAATTAGGAATTGGAGAAATTATCATTTATCTAATATTATTATCTTTAATTTTAGCAGGAAAACTCCCTTTTACATGCTGCTGCCCTGATAAAAGGCTCTTTCAAACCCAGAATGGATCAGATTGTAACTTCTCAAATTCTCCCCCTCTAAATTACAACTTACTGAGGGCAAAGACTGCTTCTCTCCATCTCTATTTCCCAGAATGCCTAACACACTGTCTTCAGCCTATTGGCTATTCAGGAAATGTTTGTTGAACTAATGAATTCATTAATTTGTGCATAACTGGAATCTGATCCTTCCTTTTTTTTTTTTTTTTTTTTTTTTTGTGAGATGGGGTCTCACTTTGTCACCCAGCCTGGAGTGCAGTGGCATGAACATGGCTCCCTGCAGGCTCAACTTCCCAGGCTCAAGAGATTCTCCCACCTCAGCCCCCCAGGTAGCTGAGACTACAGGTGTGCACCACCACACCTGGCTAATTTTTGTATTTCTTGTAAAGACAGCATTTTGCCATGTTGCCCAGGCTGGTCTCGCACTCCTGAGCTCAAGTGATCTGGCTGCCTCCTGAGCTCAAGTGATCTGCCTGCCAAGCCTCCCAAGGTGCTAGGAGTACAGGCCTGAGCTGCTGCGCCTGGCCTGATCCTTTCCTTTTAATCCCAGAAGACAGTGGCAGACCCTTAGTAGAGTTCTGAAAATCTTAAAATGTGTTCTGATGTACCTTCAGCTCCCTTTGTCTTATCTCACCCTCTCTTCTGGCTTGCCTCTTCTTAAATTCCTGTCAAAGACCTAAAGCTTTCAATGTTTTTTCATGGCCATCTAGAAACTTCACTTTAAAATTGTTTAAACACTGTTAAGTTCTGTATAATCTCTTTTAAAATTATACCATGGTTTAAGTAATACTTTATAAATGGCACATTTCTTGCTATTAAAAGAAAACTTTAGCCAAATTAAATTTAACAGAGTTTAATTGAGCAAAGAACCATTCAAGAATTCGGCAGCCTTCTGAGCCAGAGTAGGCCCAGAGACTCCAGCACAGCCACGTGCAGGAAGATTTATGGACTGAAAAAGGAAAGTGACATACAGAAAACGAAAGTGAGGTACAGAAATAGCCGAATTGGTTACAGCTTGGCATCTGCCTTATTTTAACACAGTTTGAACAGTTGGCCACCTTTGACCACAACTCAGTAACTGGCTCAAGAGTAGGCTAGAGTCTAACTCCCTTTAGGTTATAGTTCACCATGTACAGAGAAACCTGGAGGCTGAACTTAAAGTATGTAAGGAGGCAGCTTTAGGCTAAACTTGATTTAACATTGCTAAAATTTAGAAGACATAAATTTAAAAACTGAAGTAGAGGGCTAGGCGCGGTGGCTCACACCTGTAATCCCAGCATTTTGGGAGGCCAAGGCGGGCAGATCACGAGGTCAGGAGTTCGAGACCAGCCTGGCCATTATGGTGAAACCCAATCTCTACTAAAAATACAAAAATTAGCTGGATGTGGTGGTGCATGCCTATAGTCCCAGCTACTCGGGAGGCTGAGGCAGGAGAATTGCTTGAACCCGGCAGGCGGAGGTTGCAGTAAGCAGAGATCGTGCCATTGCACTCCAGCCTGGACGACAGAGCAAGACTCCATCTCAAAACAAAACAGAACAAAACAAAAAAGCAAAAACTGAAGTAGAATCAATATAATATACTAATAATCATTAAAGGGTTAATTAAAAGAGTACTTAGGGAATACCTGATGGCTGACTTGTTCTTCCTAGAATTCCTCACAAGATATAGAGATTATATATGTCCATCTGCAGAGAGGAGAACTAAATCTAATGGGGGCCATCCCAGCAAGGCAGAATTTTATTCAAGGCCCAAAAAGCTCTCTAGTGAGCCGTCCAAAAGTGGGGTAAGCTACTTTGTGATTTTCCTGGTGTTGAAAATGTTTAAGAAAAGGCTATAGTTTATACAGCCACCCATCCAGCACGAATAGAGATAATTCATATATTGGAATAAAAGTTAAGGTTCTTCTGACTCTGATGTTTAGAATTTAGGCATATTTGTCTAATACAGACCCTCCCATCCTGGAGCAGTGAGAAGGCAGTGCACTGCCAAACCAACTCGGAGTTTCTTCAGAGTACATATTCCCAAGTCCCTCTCCACAAAGAACTAGCACAGTAGGTCCCGGAAGGCATCAGAGCATTGTGTACTTTAGGAAAAACTTCCAGGGGACTCTAATATACCACCCCATCCCATTTGGGAAAAAAAGGCTAAAAGAAAGCAAACAGCATAACTTTTGTCAGAAACTTGTCCAAAGATAAGGAAAAAAAAAGCCATGAAGAGAGAAAATTCCAGGTTACAAGATAAATCAGCACGAATTAATTTAGTTACACCTGGGATTTAACAACATGTTCTATTTTTATGTTTTTATGTAAAAAGCAAAACTGAGTCAGGGAGTACACCACCCTATCTCTGTAAGTATTCCTTATGTAAGAGGCCAGTTGGTGGTTTAGGCCACGTGGTGATAAGTACTAACTATCCAAAAGGGAAGCACAGTACATTGCCAGCTAAGGACCTCAATGAAAACTGTTTTCTAACTACCCGCATTGCAAACCTAACATCATAATGTGATGACGAACACAAAATCCCCTTGTCAATCATCCTGTTTCTACATATCTTAAAAGACTCTTATTCTCCAAACCAATTAAAACTTTATATTTTGTGCCCTGTTTCCTAAGAATTGTCTTCTCTGATAGCTCATCTGATATATAATGTGAAAGTACTAATGCCTTACAATGGACAGACACATAAGTGTTTCAAGAAGGGAAATTGATTATGTAACTTGACAGGCACTGACAAAAGTAAATGGGAAGAAGAAGCCTTCTGATTTCCTTCACTCAGATCTCATGAACTGCAGCCTTTCCACTTGTGCAAAGGACAGCCAGAAAAAATATTTCTCTGTATGGTTATTTGGCATCAAACAAAAGCTTAGTTTAAATTAAGATCATGCATTTCTATCAAATCTCTAAGAATTCAAGCTTCTTAGAATTACCTAATATGGGTTGGCACACATTTTTTTATAAAGGGAAGGTAGTAAATAGTTTTTGCCTTGTGAGCCAGATGGTCTCTGTCACAACTACTTATCCCTGTCCTTGTTGTGTGATGGCAGCCATAATAAACAAAATGTAAGCAAATGGATGTGGCTGTGTTGCAATAAAACTTGATTTACCAAAACAGGTGGGAAGGCACATTTGGGCTCCCTGGGCTATAGTTTGCTGACCTCTGACCTAAGAAATGAAAATCCCAAAATTATACATATTTAGCCAGGGTGGATACACAAGTGTGAGAAGATCCAGTGGTATGTTTGAATCCAGAGTCACAAAAGGCATCGAAGCAAGCTCCATATAATCATAGAAGAAGCTCTCTGATATTTTCTTCTTAACTTCCTCCTCTGCTTCTTCCACAGCTGGAGCAGGGGTTTGCTGAGGTACTAAAAAAATAAAATAATTTAAGAAGAGTGATATGGTTTGGCTGTGTCCCCACCCAAATCTCAACTTGAATTGTAGTTCCCATAATCTCCACATGTCATGGGAGAGACCTGGTAGGAGGTAATTGAATCACAGGGGCTGTTACCTCCATGCTGTTCTCATGATGGTGTATGAGTTCTCACAAGATCTGATGTTGTATAAGGGACATTTCCCTCCTTCGCTCTGCACTTCTCCTTCCTGCCATTATGTGAAGAAGGACATGTTTGCTTCCCTTTCTGCCATAATTGTAAGTTTCCTGAGGCCTCCCCAGCCATGCAGAACTGTGAGTCAAGTAAACCTCTTTCCTTTATAAATTACCCAGTCTCAGGTATGTGTTTATTAGCAGCATGAGAACGGACTAATACAAAGAGTGTCTGGTGAATCCAAAATTGTATTTCCCAGAGACAGGAGGAATGTACACAGCCTGCAATACTCTAGCAGTAAGTACTACTACTGGCTGGAAGATAGGAAGCAGTCATCGGTGAGCATGGAAGGAAGAGCCATTATGCCCACGTGCATCAGGAGTAAATGCTGAGTTCTGGTCGGTCATGGCGCAACAGTCTCCAAGGGGAACTCCCAATTACTTCCAAAGGAAAGTTGAACTCCCACTAATCTGTAGTGGAGCAGTTTTTATACCTTCTTAAAACCCAGAAGAATGAGTATCAGAGTACTCTATGTGATCCTCAGAAATAAAAACCACAAGTCTAGGGCTGCTAAAGTACCCTACCAAAATATGTACTTGTCCTTTTATCATTCCCACACATATGTACATCCTGCACATTTTTCTTTCTATGGATTTATAACTCTTCCATTTGTCTGGGCTTTGTCTCTAAAACAGTGACAATTACTGACAGAAAACTAATAATACCTACCTGTAGTGCTTTGCAAATCACCATACTGAAATGAACTCAAACTTCCTTCCAAACGTTCCTCATCTGAGTCTTCTTCTAAATATGATCCTTCCCCTTTGGTAAATGTTTCATCTGTGTCATCTTCTAAAAATGTGTTATCTTCTTGAACAGGAGCTATTAAAATTTGTTTTAATAACTTCTAAATTTTGATTAAACATTTTCTTATTTCTAAAGTAGCTAAAACTTCCAATTTCCTTGTGCTATAGATGTAATAAATCTAATACATACTCAAAAATTTCTAGAAGAATCATTTTATTTGGTCAGTCTTGTAACTTTACAAAATAAGAAAGCCTTTTCTGTTTGTTAATCTCCATTTTCACTTCATTTTCAGTCTATTTCCTATCATTAAATACTTACAAGAAGTAAAAGATAAAAAGAAAGAGGTTAGTATGCTGCTATCATAATTTCAACTAAATTCAATTTTACTAACTTTTATAGGGAACCTGTTACGTTAAAGACAAACAAGCCTTATTGTCTTTCTTTCTCTGAGTATGCTGATTTCTCTTGGAAGTGATATCCCAGGAATAAGTTGGAATATTGGCTTTAGGACAAGCTGGGAATGAGAACTGGTATAGGAGTAAAATGGCCCCAGGTATAAGCCAACATTCAGATCAAGTGCAAACATGAGGATGGTTAAAATATACAATGCCAAGCAGGATGGGTATACTTTCATATAGAGCTAGGTGAACTTTCAGAAGAATAAGGAAGAAATGGCAAATGTACTACTAGGTACCAGAGCTACATAGTAGATCTGAGATGAGGCTAAAAGATTAGGAACAAAGCCCAAGACTAATATGAGTAAGATAGAAAAGCTGGGCCAAGCCAATTAGTTGCGGAACAGGGCAGAGTTCCTTAGGATGCGTGTATTTGGATGGCAAGAAAGTAATCCTGGGTGCCTAAATAGGCCAAACAGATTCCCCAAGAGGGGGCCCTGGAGAACTACTCTCTAATAATACCTTAGCTCTTTCTTGTGACTGTAGCAACCAAAGACTATTTCCTCATTTCAAGATTAGGGCACTACAAGTGTAACACTCCTAACTGCTGGGTTCCCCAGGAAAGGAGTTAGAACTGGTAGATAAGGTGATCACAGATTAATGAATTGCGAGTGAATACAGATGAAGGAGAAGACGTAATAAAAAATAATGGGTATTCTGAGCCTGGAGAAGGGTTGTGCTACAGACGGAAAACTAGAGTTAGGGGAAGAAAACTAATTTGGCAGGAAGTAGGCACATTAAATCAAGCTGGCAAATCAACACACTTAGGCAACTTTGTGAAGGCTGGATATTTCTCTAGTTTTTATAATCCTAAAATAGACAGATGGAAGACTTATGGTTTGAAGAATAAATCAGTATTTGCCTTTCTATTCTTGGAAATAATCTAAAATCAACATTGAGAATAAATACCAAAAACACAAACTCCATTTTTTTGTATAACTAGAAGCAGTTAAAACCTGAAATCACAAATGGATGGCAGGGCTGCTGGCAAAAGGGCTGGCAAAATTAGTGGAGACTGAACAAGGATGGGTGCAGGAGGAAGCAAAGGAAGGTGACCAAGGAGAAAGGAATGCCATAACTGTAGATATCAAAAATAACCTGCTGGGATTTTTGGTGTATGACCCACAATTTTATATACAAGTTTCTTCCATTTTTTTTGTTTGTTTCCTCCAGCCAATGGATGTAGGAAGCTTTGGGACCTCTCCTCTCCAGCTATCTGAGAGATACTGCTTCCCGCAAACAGTTTGCCTCTGTGATCCTTATTTACCTCTACCTTTTCCATGAGATTGAGAACACTATAAGAAAGCCTACAAATGCTATGGTTGCACATACAGAAAAATCCGTAAGAGCTACTTTATAAAAAATTTATAAGAACTAAATTATAATTTATTATAATTTTAAAAAGAGTTCAGCATGGTTACTGCATACAACAACAATATACAAATATTAATGGTAGGCATGTATACTTTGGCTATTATGAAGTAACTAGTACTAAGCTGCTTTCTTACTATGATTGTGGAATTACTTAGTTTTTCTTTAATTCTATTTTTGCTTTGTGTATTATGATGCTGTTACTAGGTGAATACACATTTATGATTATTATGTTTTCTTAATTGATCCTTTTATCTTTATGAATAAATTGATCCTTTTACCCTTATGTCACTGGTAGTACTCTTTGCCTTGAAGTCTATTTTATCTGGTATTAATATAGCCACTCCAGCCGTGTTATGCTTACTGTTTGCATGATGTATCTTTTTCTATCCATTTACTTTCAACCTATTTGTATCATTATGCTTAACACGTGTTTTCTATGAGCATCATATAGTTGGTTCTTGTTTTTATTAGCCATGCTGATAATCTCTGCCTTTTTATATTAATGTTCAGTTAACTAATAATTAATGTAATTATTGATATGGTTAGATTTTAATAACATATGCTTGTGAAATTAACAAATAATATTTGATAAGTTATTTTCTGTTTTTCTCCTCCTACCTGTCCTTTTTCCCTCTTTTTCTCTTTCCATGTTTTCTTTTAGATTATTTACTCTTTAGAATTCTATTTAAATTTCTGTTGGCTTTTTAGCAATTCTGTGTTTTATTAGTGGTTGCTTCAGAGATTACAATATATAACAACTTTCTACAGTCTACTTAAGAGTTACCATTTATTATAGTAACACGTATCTTTCAGCAATTGATAGAACAACTAGTCAAAAACTTAGTAAAGACATAGATGATCTGAACATCACTATCAACCATCCTGACCTGACATTTATAAAACACTTACACCTATCAATACAGGATACACATTCAAGCATACATGGGTCATTTACCAAGACAGATCACTTGCTGGGACATAAGACCAGTTTTAATACATTTAAATGGATTGAAATCATATAGAATAGATATGTTCTCTGAAAACAACAGAGGTAAGTTAGAAACCAATAATGATAAGATACCTTGAAAAAAAGTCCAATATTTGGAAATTAAATTACACAATAAAAATAATGCATGGGTCAAAGGGAAATCAACAAAGAAATTAGAAAAGTTTTCAAATTAAAATTTATTAAAATACAACATATTAAAATTGAGATATAGCTAAAGCAGTCCTTGGAAGGAAATTTATAGCTTTCAATACATATGTAAGAAAAGAACAAAAGTCAAAAAAAATCAATGACCTAAAGTTCCACCTCAAGAAGCTGGAAAAATAAATGAAAAAAAAAAAAAAAACAAAGTAAATTAGCAAAGCCAAAATCAGTCTTTGAAAAGATCAACAACATTGATAAGCTCCTAGCTACACCAATGAAGAAATAAAAGAGAAACAACATAAATCTGCAACATCAAGAATGAAAACAGATCCTACAAAGTTATGTCAACAAATTTGACAATTGAGAAGAGAAGTGGGCAAATTGCATGAAAGATACGAACTTGCAAAACTTAGTAAAGAAGAAATAGAGAGCCCTCTATTTAAAAAACTGAATTCATGGTTAAAATTTTCCCACTCATCAAGAAAATTCCAGGCCCAGACAGCTTTACTGGTAAATTCTACCAAGCATTTAAGGAAGAAATAATACCAATTCTACACAAAATATTTTTGAAAATAGAAAAGAACAAAATACCTCCCAAAATTATTAAATAAGGTCTGCAATAATTTAGTCCTTTGATAAGCATAAGAAATCAATGCCTTAGTAACTAACAGTCCTTCACCATCGTGAGAAATGATGGATGGTTTAGCTGGTACACTCGACCTAAATTTCTTAATAGAACTCAGAGATAGCAGAAACCTCTTGTTAAGTATGGGAAAAAGTCTACTCCAACTTCTCTGCTTGGGTGGAATACAAGGACTTTTATTCATTCTACATGAGAATCCCAGAGTAAAAACTTGCTGGATGTGCTAACAAGCCTGAGAGCAAAGCAAGGTTTTCAGGGGTGGGGGGAATGCAGCTATGATCAGGTATGAGGCTGAGCCAGGAGGAAGAGACCTCTTCACGCAGCAACAAGGTACAGGATGTTCAGAATGCCAGAAAATTATTTCACATTATCATTTGGGAGTCTAAGACATATGATATGTGAACTAATTAATGAGCTGAGCACTGGGCCAGGTCACACTTGAAAAGGTCTGCGCCTAACAGCATCTGACATAAGGAAGGCAGGTCCTGAAGGCAATGCTAGACAAAGGGTCATTATCATTAAATCCATCAAGGGAAAGTTGAGAGTAGCATCCAGGAAAACACTGCCGAGGACTGGAAACCAACACACAGACAATCCTGTGTCAGAAATGTAGGGAGTACAGAAACATGAAAAAGGAAAAACTAGGGGGGAACAAACTAAAGTTTCTGAAGTAAGCGATATAATGATACTTTTTGGAAAGAACTCTAGTGGTGGTGTGGAGGGAGATCTGGACAGGAAGACTGAGGTAGAAATCCATGTTGCAAGAGTCTAAACCAGAGAAGACAAATGCCTAAAATAAAATATAATGTGGAGAAACTGTGGATTTACAAGACATGTCTGCGATAGATTAAAAGAATTTAATGCAAATTTTGCATGTGTATTGATTTTCCCAGGACCTGATCTTCTCTAGGTGAACAGTCAAAATTAAATTTCTCAAATCATATTTAGGATTAGAACCTTAAATAGTCAAGATTCCACTAAGATACCTAACATCGTGATAGTCAGTCAGAAAGAGCCAGCCATCTTTCAAAAATCCTAGTTATAAAATTCCTCCTTTTTTCTTCCATTGCAGCCTATGAAGTCCTTCCACATGTTATGCAATTTAATTCCCAAATGACTCATAATTGTTTTAATGGGTGAGAAAATTGAGGCTCAGAAAGATGTGGTAATGTTTCCAAGATCAAGCATCTCTAAATGGTAGATCCAGGACTCAAAACCAAAGTCCAGGTCTCTTTCCACTACATTGTATCAGAAAAGTCCATATAAGACTTAGTAGCTCTCACAGGAGAACTCTAGACCAGACGTGTGGATAGGTTATTATCAACTTGTGTGCCAGGAGCTGTGATAAATAAGTAAAACACAGACAGCTCTTAAGGAACTTAGAGCTTTGTAAGGGAGTTGAACAAGTAAACCATTTCTGTTCTATAAACCCAGATATGCACTATTTAAAAATTATTTTGCCCATTTTTTTGACTTTTAGAAAATTATTTTTAGTTTTGTTGAAGTACATGCCCATAACTTAAAAAGTCAAGTAATGCTAAAAGACTTGTCTTTTAAAATACTCAACTTTTCCCTGCTTAACAGCCTTCTCTATCTCTCCAGAAGAATCACTTTTAGCTTTTAATCTTTTTTCTTCTGATATTTACCTCCATATATCTAAACAATATGGATATACTGCTCTCTCTAGCTACTTTTAGACAGTGTTTATTATGGGAAGATGAAGAATGTTAAATCTCTATCACCACTTGCTATCTCTCCGCCCTTGCAATATAATCAAAGCACAAAAAAACTATAGTGAAGTCCATGCTTACTATTTTTAGTATACTGCCTTAATAACACTCATTCCTGAGTTAAGAATGTATTATTTTATTTCCTTCTTGAACAACTCGCTTTTCTAAAACTAATACCTCATTTATTTTCACTTTTTAACTTTCTGGAATCTCCTGATAAATATTCCCACATCTTGTCATAGTTCTATAAATTCCACTCAGTTCAATTTTCTACATGCATCTATCAGATAATCTATTATTTAACATTTTTAACTTTCTTGGAGGTGAAAATTCTCCTTTCCTTGCTTCAGTATAATTGTTCTCTGCATGGCTGCCCAAGTGTCATCCTAGGCATTACCTTTACCTTATTTCTATTTTGAATCTCCTATTTCCTGGACCATATGTAGTCCTTTTTCTTTGCTAACTCCATCATTTTTATGGAGCCCACCTTCCTACAGCTTTCTGGGAACAGGGAGTATAAGATCTATTTTGGCCCAGCATGGTGGCTCATGCCTGTAATCCCAGCACTTTGGGAGGCAGAGGCAGGTGGATCACCTGAGGTCAGGAGTTCGAGACCAGCCTGACCAATATGATGAAACCCCATCTCTACTAAAAATACAAAAATTGGCTGGGTGTGGTAGCAGGCACCTGTAATCCCAGCTACTCAGGAGGCTGAGGCAGGAGAATCACTTGAACCCAGAAGACGGAGGTTATAGTAAGCCAAGATCGTACCATTGCACTATAGCCTGGGCAACAAGAGCAAAACTCCATCTCAAAAAAAAAAAAAAAAAAAAAAAAAAAGATCTATTTTATAACATCCTGCTCTTTCCATTCTACTATAAAAATTAATTATTTAAATGTTTACCTAAGTTTAATACTTTTAAAAGTATACATATTATCTTTACTTACATCTTGATTCTGATTTAGAAGACCTCAGAGACTTCTTCCCATCACTCTTTGATGTAACTGATTTCTCCCCATCAGTATCCTGATCATCTGGTTCCTTCATTTCCTCTGTAAGTACAAAATGGGGATGAGATATGGATAAAGCTGTAAAATTGAAACTAACAGATTTCCCCCTAACATATTTCATTAGCACCAAACACCATGTGTGTCAATAATCCTTGTTTGCACAGGATCCAGGATGACCCACCAGTAGGAGGGTGCAACTACCACCAGAGACCTCTGACCTCTGCAAGACAGCTAATTATAATCACAGATTCTCTTTCTCTAGGTAAATTGTCATTGTGGTGCACTTTGGTTTTCCAGAGGTCCACTACCAAAGTTCATCTTTTCCCCAGATGCTTCACCATTAAAATTAACTTTCTGCCATCCTACCTTTGGTCCATCCCTCCCTCTTTCTCTATTTTCAAATTCCCTTGGAGTTACTAATCAATTTCAGTTTTTAAAATATTTTTTGAGCACACCTGCAGTGTATCAAGTCTTATGTTGGGTACTAAATTACAAACCTGGAGAAGAGAAATATGGTCCCTAACTTTATGGAGCTTGTTTATAAAGATAGATATTAAACAAGCAATTAAAAATAATGAGTGCTACAAAAAGGAAAATGGTACTGTGGGCATGTATAGCAAGAAGCCTAAAACATGATGGGGGGTTAGAGAAGAGGTGTTTGAGACATGGATGATGGTCAGGAGTTGGCCAGGCAAAGAATGTGAAAGATACATTAGGCACATCAAAGAGGGCTGCATCTTTAAAGGGCTGCAAGCAGTCTATTGGCCAGAGTGGGAGAGTAAAATGGATATTGAAGAGAAGGTGGGTACCATATCATAAAGTTGTCTCTAAGCTTTGCTAAGAAGTTTATACCTTATTTCCTTGACAACTGAAAACCATTAAAGGGTTTTAAAGAGGGGAGCGACACAACAGGTTTTCTCTGCCCTCTGTCTATAATGCAGCTTTTCATATATTTGAAAACACCTTCCTTCTAAGTCTTCACTTCTCTATACTAAACACCCTATGTTTCCTCAACATTCTTCTACGATATGCCTGGCAAGCAGAATGGAACACTAGTTCTATTTGGATCAGATTTATAGTTAGATTAGGGTTTGAATCCCAGTACTGACATATAACTAGCTAACTAAACTTTATATGAATTCCCCAACTGTAATGGGAATGAAGAAAAAACTTTTTACAAGCCTGCTATGAGGGTTACTTAAACTGCCACACTGTTATATCTTCCTGGTCTCTGAAGATAGACTGGTATGCCTAAAGCAGATATGGTACACTACACGATCAAAGGACAAAGGAGAGTGTAGTATGATGACTGTCTCCCTTCAAGTGGGCACTAGGGTTCATTCCATGTTTTCCTGCAGTGACATCATAATGATGCCTTCTTTTGATATGGGGGATAACAGTACATTGTCTAAACATTTGTATTATAAACTATGATCAAGAAAGATATAGACCGAGCTCAGTGGCTCATGCCTGTAATCCTGGCAGTTTGACAGGCTGAGGCAGGAGGACTGCTTGAGACCAGGAGTTCAAGACCAACATGAGAAACATAGTAAGACCCTGTCTGTATTAGTTTGTTCTCACACTGCTAACAAAGGCATACCTGAGAATGGGTAATTTATAAAGGAAAGGGGTTTAATTGACTTACAGTTTGGCATGGCTAGGGAGGCCTCAGGACACTTACAATCATAGCAGAAGGGGAAGCAAACACCTCTTTTCTTCACATGGTGACAGCAAGGAGAAGTGCAGAGCGAAGGGGAAGAAAACCCCTTATAAAACCATCAGATTTTGTGAGAACTCACTTACTATCACAAGAACAGGATGAGGTAACTGCCCCCATGATTCAGTTACCTCCCACTGGGTCCCTCCCATGACACATGGGGATTATGGGAACTATAATTACGATGGGATTTGGGTGGGGACACAGCCAAACTGTCTCTAAAAAAAAATTTTAAATGGCCAGGCATAGTGAGGTATGCCTGTAGTCCCAGCTACTCAGGAGGCTGAGGCAGGAGGATCACTTGAGCCCAGGAGTTTGAGGCTGCAGTGAGCTAGGATAGCACCACTGCACTCCAGCCTGAGTGACAGACCAAGACTCTGCTTCTAAAATTAAAAAAAAAAAAAAAGATATGGTCTAACATGATACTCATGTTATTAAATTTTGTATTTTGTACTTTGGAGGCATTCTTCTGGGTTACAAAAATAATGTTTTACTTTTTAAAAAGTGTATGTACGTGTGTGTGTGTGTGTGTGTGTGTGTGTTTTCCTTTCCTTTCTTTTTTAGTTGTGAATCTTCCTTCCTCTCTCTCTCCATCCTTTCTTCCTTTTCTCCTTCCCTTCCTTCCTCTTTCCTTCCACCTAATTGTAGAATATATACCTTTTGGGGTTTATGGAGGGGGTGGGGTTAGGAATCAAACAATAAAAACCTGTAAGTAGCAAAATCTTTTAAAATTCACATTCTGTCATCCTTTTAGTTATCCACATCTCAACATCCACTCCAGCACTGTCAGAAAAGCAGTCTAGTGTGTTGGCCAGGGCTGAGAATATTTTCTATTCCTTCCAGTTTGGGATACACAGACTTGCTTTCTATGTTACTCTACAGTGAGTAACTGTTTTTTTTTTTAAATAAAGAATTATGCAGCCAATTCAGTTATTACAGAGTTTGGTTATAAATGACCACATACTGTGGGTAAAATTGTTTAGATACACACACACCTAAATATTATTTTCTCCCTTGCCTTCATAATTTAGGTCAATTTAATTCTTAAAACTATTGAGCATATTATTATGCTAGGCATTGCAGAGGATACAAAGGTGAGCAATATACAGTCCCTCACCTCAATGTATAATTCAAGATGAAGAAATCAACAATTCTCTTTCAAAATAGTTTCAGAATAAACTTATCTTCTAAATCACTGATTCAGATCCATCAGAGTTTGACCAAAACAAGGATGGTCTGACAGTCGTGACTGAAGTGACTATGATTGATCGATAATGATTTCTTTGATAAAAATCAACATTTAAAGTATTGGAAAGTACTCCCTAAGTTTCCAAGACGCAGGTCCCAAATAAGTGAAGGCAAGGCAGTTCCTGGGTTTTCCAACAAAATCAAACTGATATTCTACTGCTGCTAATCAATTGATAACTAAATGAAAATTTTTCATCTGTGAGTTTCAATAGCACTTTCTTCTGTAAGTAGGTACTGTTTAGTTTTCCATTGCTGCCATATAAATTACCAGACATTTAGCAGCTTAAATAACATCCACTTATTATTTCATGGTTTTGTGAGTCAAAAGTCCAGGTCAAGTGTGACTCAGCTAGCTCTCTGCTTAGAGTTTCAGGAGGTTGCTAAGGTGTTGGCAGTGCTGCCTTCACTTTCAGAGGCTCTGAGGAAGAATCTACTTCTGGGCTCATTCAAGCTGCTGGCAGAATTCAGCCCCATGTGGCTATGGAACAGTGGTCCCTGCTTTCTTGCTGGCTGTTGCCCAAGAGTCCTTCTAAGTTCCAGAGGCCACTCGCATTCCTTGACTTATGGTGCCCTTTAAAGCCAGGAATAATGGGTCAAGTTCACCTAGTGATTTGAATCTCATGATTTTCTTCCCTGCTATCATAAGCCTCATGACTTCATGAGATCACTTTCTACTTTTCAGTCTTTTTTCTGAATAAATTTATTTTAACATACTATAACTGAACGTTAACTGGATATAGATTCTAATAAAAAGAGCCCATAATTTATTCACAAGATAATCATAAGGTGGGTAAAAAACAATTATGGGAACTAAAGCACTCTGAAAACAAGAGTTGAACCACAACAAAAGGTAAGTTGGTCTCAAGACGAAAGCACCACACTTTATTCTGTGCTATCTTAAACAATATATTCCCCAAATGGCTAATACTACCATGTAATAAACTTTCACATTACAAACCCAGTTAATGTCAGGTTGTGTACAATGTGGAAGAAAATACTGGAAACCAAGGAATTTGCCCGGTGTTCTGATGTAGCAATACCGGACAATAAATACTATTCCTACCTTTCCTGGGTCATAAAAGGTAACTGAAGAACCTGTAAAAAGCAGTGGAGCAGGTCAGGTGGGAGAGACTCCTGTTCTCCTGGAGATTATCAGTATAACTGGTAAGGTAGAATAAGGTATTTTTGGTTTTTTGGGGTTTTGTTTGTTTGTTTGTTTTGTTTTAATAACAAAGGGATTGGAAAGCTACATTGTAACCTGTGGAGACTTTGGAGCCACAGAGACTTGGGTTCACATCCCTGCTTGCCCAAGAAACAAGTTCCTTAACCTCTTGATCCTTTAATATGTAAAATGAGGGTGATAGGGTTATTTGGTAGAGTTGTTGTAAATATTAAATGAGATCTTTTATATACAGAGTTCTCAACTTTGACTGCACTTTGCAATCACTTGGAAAACTTAAAAACGTACTGTTAACAGGGTCTCACTCCCCAGATAATTCTTTCACACAATCAGGCATAAGAACTGGTTAGGAATCATGAGTTTATATAAAACACCTACTAGGCACTCAGAAATGGCAGTTGTTTTTACTATACTCCTAGATATTCTCTTTGACACATGTAGGGTTCAATAAATAAAATCATGGAATCTTCAGAGCTGAAAGAGGACTTTAGTTTAACTTCCTACCCCATGCAGGTCACACATCTCAACATCCACCCCAGCACTGTCAGAAAAGCAGTCTAGTGTGTTGGCCAGGGATGAGAATACTGGCTACAGTCAGTCTGACTAGGTTTAAATCTTGGCTCATCCTCTTCCTGGTTGTGAGGTGTTAACCAAGTATTTAATGGCTGTGTGCCTCAGTACTTCCATCTTTAAAATGCAGCACCTACTGGATAAGGTTGTTCTGAGTCAACACAGGAAAGCTCTAAGAATGATACATGGCAGTCAATATGTAAAATGGTTGCAGGAATGAATTTATTGATATATTCCTGAATAGATGAAAGAACAAGATTGTCAGTCAGCTTCAACTTAAATATTTCGGGTAAGAGGGTGAGCACATTCTGTTCATGCTCAGCTCTACTTCTTAGTATATTTTATATTAAGCTGAAATCTGCCTCCCTGCAACTTGGATCCATTTGACCCTTATTTTTTCTTCCGAGAACACACAGAACAAGTTTTTCTGTGTACTTCAACCATTCAAATAATTGTAGTTGGCTCTCATTTCTCTCCAGATCCTCTCTTTTCCCAGAGAAAGTATCCCAATTATTTCAATTATTCCTCAATGACATGTTTCCAACTTTTCTTTACCACCCTGAGAGCTCAAGAAGTTAATTCCCAATGCATCATATATACCTCCTAATTTTATATGTTCTTCGTAGGATCTGGACACTTTCCAGAAGAGCGGAACTACCAATTCACCTATCGGGGACATTCATTGTATTCCTTTAAGGCAGTCGAAGTTTGGGTTCTAGACCATGTTCTACATTCTATTAGTAAACTAGCTAGGTTTGGGAGTCTATTTGCAGGACTAGCATAAATTTCGTTTCATTAGATCCAGGCTTATTCGTCCAGCCTACAGCCAATTCTTTCAACTAACTCATTAGATAGACTGTGCAGTTTTGAGTTGTAAAAGTTGTCAGAATTAGAATGGAGTCACCAGTGTTAAGAAAGAACCCTGACAAATAGAGCTGGGGAAGGCTATGAAGAATGGGTTCTCACGCTTGTATGCTGGATAACTATCCCAAAAGACTGCAAAGACCACAGCCTTGCACAAAAGCCATCACAACCTTACACATAAAAAAAAATACTTCTACAAGGACATCTGCCCAACAATTGCCTGTCCAACCTCAGACTAGCATCACACTTATTGTTGATCTTTGTAGCCAAGGATAATTATCTCAAAATAATTATGTAGTCTTTTTCATTATTCCTTTAAAACCCTTGTTTTCCTTTACCTCCCTAAATACACATATAGTTTACCATGGCACGCATATTCCATTGCAATGCCTTACTCCCGAATAAACATCATCTTCTTTTAGAAAGCCGCTCTCTGTATGTTATTTAGGTTGACAGGGTCAACTCTAAGGAAGTATAAAGAAAAAGGGAAAATAATAGTACACATTGATGCAGAGGAGTGTGTTGCTAGAAGGTTGGCTAGACGCCAGACAGAGTGCTGTCTAAGGTGACATTACTCTGATTCATTCACCAGAGTCCAGGTTCTGGTCCTCATGCTCACAAGCTCACTCAATCCCAGCAGTGTGCCAGAGGTGGTTATTTAAGATTCACAGTGACTGATGTATAAAACAGACTCTCGGTTTTTACTTTGCAATGTGAAATACAGCTGTGGAGAAAAAAAGTAATAGCTTGTCTTTTTTAATGTTTACTATGTGTCAAGTACAGTTCTAAGAAATTCTACACATATTATCGTACAATTCTCAAAACGACCCTATGAGGTAGGTACCATTATTATTTTATTTATGTATTTATGTATTGAGATGGAGTCTGGCTCTGTCACCCAGGCTGGAGTGCAGTGCTGCGATCTCAGCTCACCGCAAACTCCACCTCCCTGGTTCAAGCGATTCTCGTGCCTCAGCCTCCCGAGTAGCTGCGATTACAGGCGCACACCACCTCGCCCGGCTAATTTTTGTATTTTTAGTAGACGGGTTTCCCCATGTTGGCCAGACTTGTCTCGAACTCCTGACCTCAGGTGATCTACCCACCTCCGCCTCCCAAAGTGCTGGGATCACAGGCGTCAGCCACCGCGCACAGCCTATTATTATTATTTTTGAGACAAAGTCTTGCTATCCATTATTATTACTGTCATTATTTTACAGATGAGAAAGCAGCGTATTTACTCTGAATCCGTTCCTCTCACCCAATTCATGTAGATGATTTCCAAGTCCTGTTACTTGGTGTCCAGTGATTAAGCCTTTTGAATTCCTCCCCTCCCTTCATTCCTACTGTCCCTGCTGTCCCTCTGTAGTTCCAGTCCTCACTGTGTCTCACCTCTACCATTACTGTACCGTCATACTTTGTCTTCCCTTCTGTAACCCATTTTCTACACTATCGCTTGTATTTCTAAAACACAGCTTTTAATGTGTCACTCTTGCTTAAAACCTCTAATGGCTCATCACTGCTATCAAATAAGAGCTCAGATTCCTCGGTCTGGTGTAAAGGTCCCTTGTCAGAGGGTCTGTAGCTTATTGCAGCCCAGCTACAGTCACCCTCTCTCTCTCCCTAGCCTCCTTAGCCTTCTCCTCTCAAAGATTTTCATCAGTACGCACCCTTAGCAACTCATGATAGACTGGACACACTGAGCAGCACACATGTATGCGACTGTCTTTACCTATTATCCGACAAATATTTATGTGCACCTACTATGTGTCATGCATGTGCTAAGCACTTTACTTGTATTATCCTGTTTAATAATAACTCCATGAGGTCACATTATCACCTTTCTTTCTGGAGATGAGGAAGCCGAAGTGCAGAGGGCCCAGCGTGCCAAGCGTCGCACCCAGCTGAGCGCAGGGCAGGTGTCTCACTGGAGCGGGGAGCCCCAGCACCTTCCCAGCTGACTCGCTGCTGCTCTGACTTGGCCGGGTCTAAGCTGTGCTCCTGCTGCCTGGCTGGCTTCCGCCCGGTCAGACTGACAGGGTCTTGCAGGCAGGAACCGTGCACACAGTGTCTAGCTCCGAGCCTGAGAATACTCGTGGCTTCAAAAGTTTGCTGAGCTACCGCAGGGAGGACGAAGGCTATAACACTGGTCCAGCCTGAGAGAAGCCCAAGTGGGGTTCACTGCCCTCTGAGCCACAGATTTAAGGGGGAGGGTGTGGAAACTGCCGGCTGCTGAGGTCCAAACTCACCGAAGGTACTGACCGCCGCGGCTCCTCTCTTCACAGCGTCTGCCGGAGGCCTCCGTTTACTCCGGTTACCGAGACAACGCCACCCCTCTTCCAGGGAGGCGGAACCAGGGCGGGCCGTGGGGCGCATGCGCGGCCGGCGTCCAGCTCTCCGGGAACCCGGTACCTATCCGCCCTTTGGTCGGGCCTTCTCCGCCTCATGACACTGGTTCAAAGCCAAACAGAAAAGCCCGACGAGTTTATTATCCCCTAAAGGACGTCATGTAGATAATTAAATGACATGAATACCGTCGAAGATACCTGCCTGATATTCCAAAATGGCCCAACGGAGCCCTGATCGCGGCGTTCCTATGTTGAGGTTTTAACTTCGATTTTAAGAGGGGTCCTGGGAGATAGTAGGCAGCTTGCCGGCAACATCAACAACAAAGATACATCGTGGGATTTTTGTTATTTTTAAAACTATATTATCTCTGTTGGCTTTTAAGAGTAAATCAGGTTTTATGTTGTGGGTTTCTTGGTCGCAGCGCTCTGGGCACAAAAGTATAGGCCTCCCTTGACAGATTTCTAGGTTTAGCAGTTTGTTCAACCTCTCTGTAGTACTGTGGTCATATTGTTTTTTAAAGTACCTAGCCTAACGTTATTAGTTACCAAATACTTGTTTTAAAATGGTCATTCCAATATGTGACAAAGGACTTTGTATACAGAATGTATAAAGAACTCTTATAATTCAATAAGAAAAAACCACCCAATTTCTTAAATGGGCAAAGGATTTGAATACTTCACCAAATCAGATATATGTATGGCCAATAAGCACATGGATAGATGCTTAAAAGTAGTCATAAGGGAAATAGAAACCACAATACACATAACTCCACATCCACGTGAAGGGGTAAAACTTCAAAGATTGCTAACACCAAATGCAGAAGGATATGGAGCAACTGGAACTCGCATACACTGCTGTTGGGAATGTAAAATGGCATAACCACTTTGGAAAACTATTTGAGAGGTTTCTTCAAAAGTTAAACATACACAAAGTCATTCCACATCCAAGATAGTCTAGAGACTTGGGCAAAGTGGTTGCCTAGGACTTAGTGAGATGCACTGGAAAGAGACACAAGGAATCTTAGAAATGATAGAAATGCTGTGTCTTCATTGTGGTGGTAATTTCATGGGTATATACAACTGCCAAAAGCCAATAAACTGTTCTCTTTAAATGGATGTCATTTATTGTATATAAATTATTTGTCAATAAAATTGGCAAGAAAAAATTGCTATAATACAATTTGTGTTTATTAGTTTCCACAATGTTACACAAATACCATGCATTTATTTGCAATACTGAAATGTCCTCTTTAATCAAGATTTTCCAGGGCTTAAAAAAATGATTATCCTTGCTATTACTTATTAAATGGTATATCTAGGTGCCAGAAAAGATAGAAAACATAGGGTAAACTTATTTTTAAATAGCATGTTATTTATATTTTCAAATCATATGCCCAGCATGTTTTCTTTCAATCTCTAGACATCTTTTCAGGTGAAATACCTCTAAATTTCAAGCACTGTGTGCAATTGTTAATCTGAGAAAGATACAATAAATTCACTATACAATGTCTTAAAAATTGGAAACATGGGGGAAATAGTGTATTTATTTATTTATATACCAAAAAAAATTGGCAGTGATCATTACTGAGTGTTGTGAGCCAAGCTCTGATCTCAGCCCATTTACATACACTTGCCTCACTTAATCCTCACAAGCCTCTAGGGAAGACATTATGTCTGACTTTCAAATGGGAAAGATTAGATTAATTTGTCCAAAGTACACAGCTCAAGTGGCAGAAATGGCATTTGAGGCAAGATTTCTGGTTTCAGTACTTGCATCCTTAGCTACTGTACTGTATTAGTTCCCGTAAATTAGGAGAAATCCAGTAACTGCAAGAAAGAGCTTCAAGTCTTGGCTTTACCTCTTACAAGCACTCTGTCATTAGACAACTTTCTTCACCTCTAGGGCTCAGCATCCTCATCTGTAAAGGTGCTGGGAGAGGAGGAAGCATTTACATACCTCTAACTGATAGGTCTACTATGAGATTCAAATGAGATAATGGTGATACCACAGCTTATAGTACGGTGTCTGCCACAGTAATGGCTCAATAAGGAACAGCTATTCTTATTATTATGCTGCTTCCATACTACACACACTGTAAAACAGGTTTACTCTCCAACAAGAGGCAGCACAGCATAGGCTTTGGAGAAAGACTGCCTATGTTCCCATTCTAATGCCACCACTCCCTAGTTGTGTGACCTTGAGAAAATACCTCCTTGTACCTCAGTTTCCTCATCTGCAAAATGAGGATAATAGTACCTATCCCATAAGGTGTCATGAAGCACATAAAGTGGCTACAATATTGCCTAGTATGTAGTTAACAGTTAATTATTAAATTCTGCTAACCAAAATAATTTTGTTTACAGCATAAGAATGATTATATGATAACTGTGGATGTTGTTATCAATCCAGTATCTCTGCCAACCTGTAATTTGGAAAACTGTAAATTTCAGGTTGAGCAAGTTATTAGCAGCTTTCTGGGGCATACTGGAGAAGTCATATGTTATCAAAATATATGAGTCTAAACACAAGTAATCTCAGTTTGAATTGTTCACTCAGGTTGAGAATTCCTATCATAGAGCCAGGGAGCAGAGATCATTCAAAAAACAAGTTTAAAATAGAAATAAACATCTCAGAACCAAAAGGGTACCCTGAAAAATCTATCCTGAGCCGGGTGCAGTGGCTCACACCTGTAATCCCGGCACTTTGGGAAACCAAGGCAGGTGGATCATTTGAGGTCAGGAGTTCGAGATCAGCCTGGCCAACATGGTGAAACCCCGTCTCTACTGAAAATACACAAATTAGCTGGGCGTGGTGGCATGAACCTATAATCCTAGCTACTCAGGAGGCTGAGGTAAGAGGATTGCTTGAACCCAGGAGACTGAGGTGGCAGTGAACCAGATTATACAACTGCACTCCAGCCTGGGCAATAAAGCAAGACTCTGTCTCAAAAAAAAAAAAAAAAGAGAAATCTACCCTGAAAGATCTGCTTAAATTCAGGGCTGGGAAAATTAATAGCAACTTTTTCTATTTAATTGTTTGAAGCATTAAATATACCATTAAATCAATGTTACCACATTTAGGCATTTGAGCTCTAGAATCATATTTATTTGATTTGCATTACCATTATTGATGACATTTTCACATTTAAAAACTACATAAGATTTTATAATAAATGCAACCACTCTTACCTGCTTAAGCAAATATAAACAAACACTCCCAGGCCTATTGTTTTTAAGGCTGTATATTTCACTTGATGGAAAAAGTGATGAACAGCAATGACTTCCCAAGAAAAAAGAAAGAAAAGTGGGTGTTACATATTCCTGAAAGCCAGACTCTAATCACACAGAGGAATTTTATTGTAAGTTACATGCAAAGCAAATTAGTTCTTCAGGAAAATAAATAAATAAATGGATCAACTAAGATATACTAAACCTCAAAAAACCCTGAATAAAGATAAAGGTAAAAATGTATTAATAAAAAAAACCCTTAAAATACTTAAGAAAGTATTAAAATACAAAACTTTAACTTCTCTACAGTCAAAGTTTCATTCACAGGGAGCTGTAGGTCAGTTGGTTGTTGAAAACTTATTTGAGAAAGTCAAAAAATAATTGCTTTATTTCTCTGTTTCATTAGTACTAATTCACAGGATCTTTGTAGGTTTTATCTGAAAGAAGGATATAAAAACTTAAAAGTCAGAGCAGGGAAAGGGAAGTAATAAATTATTAAGAACAAACTCAGTGAGACTTGACTTCACTTATGATACATGGGTAGAAAGAGCAAACCAGCCTTCTTCATTCTGTTTCTCAATCTGTTGAACAAAGACACGGAAAAAATTTAGATGGTAATTAGAAACATGAGACTACTCAAGATTTACAGATCATTTAGACCAAGTGCATAAAACAAAGTCATCCTGTGCCATTGAATGGTACTGGAAATTAAATTGTTATTGGCAATGTTAATTCTCTAACAGAGATACTACCAAATAACTGATTACTTGGTCAACAGATCCTCTTACTGATTTAGGAGTCATAATTTTTTTAAGTCCAGTGTTTTATAGCTATCATAGGCATAAATTTTTAAAATGATAAAAAGGCAGTTATTTGGTCTTAGTAAATTAAATGCTACTAAATTCCAGGAACTAAGAATAATTTATATAAATTAGCTTACTTTAAAGCTTTTGTAGAATATAAGAAGTAGCAAAGAACAAATCTCCTAGAACTGGACAATTCGGGTATCTATCATTCCCCTATCATTTAATATCTTTCCCCTATCATTTAATTTGGGCTATAAGCACCCACTCTTTGATCTAATTACTGAACTCAGTAATAAGAAATGCAAAGATTTTCCCAATGTCAGACACTTATTGGCTCAAGTCTACAAAATTAACTTTTACAATTTTAAAGATATCCTCACAATTTACCATAACCACTCAAAGGAACTATATTTTACTGTACTAGCACCACAGAAAAAATGCCTTCTGCAAAAATTTTGAATATACTGTGAAATGCTTAGCTTCTATACATACCTATGGCACATCAAAATACATGAAGAACACATTAAGACATTTATTTTTCCCTGGTACCATAACCTATCTAACCAATGGCACAGTCAGATATGGCACACAGGGATAAAATGAGAGGAAAAGTGACTGGACCCAGTGCTCTGGCTGTCCCAGACCCCACCCAAGCACAAGGACTGGGGGAACCAATAGCTCAGTAGATCTACAACCCATTCAAGGCACACCTGTGTGTCCTGCCGTAAATATATGGGAAGCTCTACCTGAAACCAGTAATTTCCAGTCTTTAAGGACTGTTGAATATCCTATTGAATTTTACCTTATTCCTTAGTTACCCTAGAAAACAGAAGAAGTATATGGCTTGTTTTTCCTAAAAAGGTAAATTAGTATTTCTTTTCTTTTAAGAATATCATACCAGCTTTAGGATAACAGGAATGATAATTAAGAATGGAAATCACTAAATCAGCCACCTTCTACCCTCACCCCTATATGCATTTCACAATTACATTTTAACGTGTACCTTTGCTCTTGGATTAAGAGGTGTGAATCTCCCACTTCCTGAGGTGGCATTTAGTGGAGAACAAGAATTACCAGTAGCCCCGGAAGATCTATTCATGAAAAATAAAACAGAGTAAGAGAGTGAGCTATCATTATTAACCTTAAAAGATTATGCAAACAACTGACAATTCTCAATACTGGCAAGAGCTTGAAAACATATGGCTAACTTAGGTCCAACGAGGTAAATTATTTGTAACTTATTTTCACCAACCTGTAAGTCTTTATTTGTTCATTAATAGTGATATGGTTTGGCTGTGTCCCCACCAAAATCTCAACTTGAATTGTATCTCCCAGAATTCGCCCATGTTGTGGGAGGGACTCATGGGGAGGTAACTGAATCATGGGGGCCGGTCTTTCCCATGCTATTCTCGTGATAGTAAATAAGTCTCATGAGACCTGATGGGTTTATCAGGGGTTTCTGCTTTTGCTTCTTCCTCATTTTCTCTTGCTGCCACCATGTTAGAAGTTTCCTTCGCCTCCCACCATGATTTTAAAGCCTCTCCAGCCATGTGAAACTGTAAGTCCAATTCAACCTCTTTTTCTTCCCAATCTCAGTTATGTTTTTATCAGCAACATGAAAATGGACTAATACAAATATAATTTAATTTTTAGAGCTGTTTTAGGTTTATGGAAAGATGAGTGGAAAGTACAGAGTTCCCATATGCCCCTTACCCCCCACCTCCAACACACACACAGTTTCCCCTATTATTAAGATCTTGCATTAGTGTGACAAATCTATTACAACAGATGATCTAATGTTGATATAATTGACTGAAGTTCATAGCTTACATCAGGGTTCACTCTCTGTGTTACACATTCTGTGGGTTTTCACAAATGTATAATGACATGTATCTGGCATTACAATATTATATGGATAAATTTTCAATAATAAAGAGAAAAAGAACGTGCAGGGATGGGGAAAAAGGTCCAGGTAGTAGAAGAGTAACACGACCTGGAACAGCACAGTACAATAGTAAGGATGCAGAGTAGAGACAGAAAGGCCAGGTATGTCCTTAGTGTCACTATTTACCAATCATATGACCCATCTAGACAAATCACCCAATTAACTCGGAGAGCTTCAGTTTCATTTACTGTGAAGGAGGAAAATACTATTGGTCAATTCAGCTGTCCTGTCATACATCATCTCCTAATTTTGTAACCCGTAAGTACTCTACATACGTGTTATCTCACTTTTGTTTTCAGTAGCAAACCCATGCCTTTCTACTTAAAGTTTATTCCTCACTCCATTTCCCCTCAAAATTCTCTTTTCCAATTATTTTACTCTCTTTGCATGAGTCTGTCTCAACCTAAGTCAGATACTGTACACTTCCTTTTTTCACAAAGAGAATAAAATACATACCAAATTCTTTTTGATTTTTTTTTTTAAATAAATATTCACACTGCAACTTACCTTCTTGTATTTATCCCGCTGACGGGAGAGACAGTACTACATTTTGAGCTTTCTGGGGCTTCTGCTCCTGGAATAGATACCTCAATTGTCCTCTTTGCTCCTTCTAAAATATAAAAATAAATATTAGTTCCATTACCTTTCAATGAAATAAAAATTTCACTCAATTTCTATCTTACTGCAAACTGCACATTAAAAATTTGGTGGTTCTTTCCATCTGTTTTAATCTTAGCCCAAGATACACTTGAAAGACTTTTTTTTTTTTTTACTGAACTGTGGGATAAGAAACTTTAGTTACTAGTGTTAATTCAGTAGCATGCCAGTTCATAGAGAGCCAAAATCTTCAGACAAGTGGCATCATGTCAGCTCTGGAGGTGAAAAACAGGAATTAAGAGCTAGCCCTAAAGAGCTTGAGATCTTTGTCCAAAAGAGCTTACCTAAAGTTTTCCCAAAAAAAAAGGAAAAAGAAAATTTCTGAAGTCATTCAGTAAAACTTTAAATCTTTTAAATCGATTACATTATGACTATTACTGAAGACATTAAAGTAGGAGAGGAAAGTTGGCTGAAGAGCTCCATATGGCCAATAGCAAGTATAATTATGAATATTTTCCATATTTCAGAAGTAGGTAATCAATCAGCATATTTACTAAGTATTTACTAATGAAAGACTTAATGTTCATCACAGGCAGTTTCACAGAGGCTCCTGACTTTGTGTGACTTCCTGGCTTTACAAGGTAATAAAACCCTATTTAATTTTACAAAATATTCCTCAGTTACCCTAGAAAACAAAAGAGGTTTTTCATGATATATGGTTTATTTTTATTTTTATCATTATAGTCCACAGCAGCTTTTTTTTAAACAAATATAAGAATTTTACTTATAAAAAGAATACTTTAGAGATAAATCACTGGACAGGAAAGAACGCAGTTGCAAATCCACAACTTGCTTTGTAACTTGATAAATCACATAACCTCTTTGTACCTCAGTTTACTTATTCATCAAATAGGTATAATATTAGCCCTGTCTCCTCTTAAAGTATGTTGAGGACTAAATTACATAACATAAATAAAAGCATATTTTAACCATACACAAATACTGAAATGGAAGATGTATATTTAAACACAAAATTATTCTTAAGGCTGATCTGCTTTATTTTTCTTCCTTGCACTTAGCACTAACTGATATTATCCCAAATATTGATTTGTTTGTTGCCTGCTCCCCTACTCAAATGCTAGAGTATTCAAGCCCACACATGGCAGGCACATAGTACATGTTCGCACATAGTACATGTTCGCACATAGTACATGTTCGCACATAGTACATGTTCATATATAGTTAATTGATTTATTTATTCTAATCAGAAGTTGTCTCTAGGCTTCATAACTATGAAGAACAGTAGACAAAACTGTCATTTGAGGAAGCCTAGAATAAACAGAGAGCCCTGGGGAAATGCATTACCATCTTTTTCCAGCAATTTCCAAAAGAGTCTGCTTTCTGGGTCTGTATTTCAAAAAGGAAATAATTTCTGAGGGGAAAAGTCTTATTGGAAGGTATCTTAAAGGTAACCTACTTCAACCAGAAATAAGACATATGAGTCCCCTTCAAACACCAATGTTTGAACATCTCAGAGAACACATCAATTACTGGTACATGGAGCTTTTTCTATTCCTGACAATTAGAGCCTTCTCTTTTACTGGGCCAAAATCAATCTCTCAGTACTCTTCATGTAGCTGTCCCTTGAGGGCCTTAATAATGCAATTTCTGATAAAAAGCAACTTGATACATACTTCGTTTCATCAGTATCTTTTTGAATGTGAATACTATGACAATTTTTTCAGTTACTATTTTATTATTCAGAATCCCCTCTAGCTTTTCACATTCCTAAATGTAACAAAAAATTTAATTGAGTGAAAATGTTTTAAGTGTTTTACAGAATAATAACTTGTAATTCATTGCTGATGAAATTCTAAATGAACATTCAGATATTTCATGCTTAGTTGCAGCATATGACCTAAGTGAACCGTACACTATAATGAATCCCATTTAGATGTACGATAATTTAGGAACTCAGACACCAAAGATTAACTATAGGCATCATAGGATAGAAATAATCAGGAGATCTGCCTTCTAATCCCATTTCTGTCACTTATCCTGTGAGTTAGGGCTATTTCTTTCTGTGCAAAATTGAAGGCACCAAAATATATGCTCTGATACTTCTTTTGGCTTAATATAAACTTGCAAAATCAAGAAAACTGAAAACCTTCATATTTCTAGTTTTTAAATCATGAATTTGTGACCAACCAGTCCATGCTCTGAGAGGTAACTGAACAGGTGACATTGGTGGAGAAAGATTCAAACCAACAAGTTTCTGCTGCTCTATCAACTGCAGTAGTTTTCCACGAGCCTCCATACTTTGTCGATTCAATTCTGCAATCCGTTCCTCCATACTACCTGGTGTTAGAGACTGTGCTACTGGAAAAGTCTTTGGGAGAAAAAAAAAAAAAGTACAAATTGAATACTGAATACTGAAAAATCTCTCCCACGATTTTTTTTTTTTTTTTAGGCAGAGTCTCACTCTGTTGCCCAGGCTGGAGTGCAGTGGCGCTATCTCGGCTCACTGCAACATCTGCCTCCCGGGTTCACGCCATTCTCCTGCCTCAGTCTCCCGAGTAGCTGGGACTACAGGCACCTGCCACCACGCCCAGCTAATTTTTTGTATTTTTAGCAGAGACGGGGTTTCACCGTGTTAGCCAGGATGGTCTCCATCTCCTGACCTCGTGATCCACCCACCTCGATCTCACACAATTTTGACTTACTAATGGCCAGCAAGTTAGTATTCATAGCCCTTATTATATATAAATGTGAATAGTGAGCACACAATAGAATTTACAGTCCCTTTAAGCATATATTCTGGGAAAAGCTTTTCTGTATCTCTTAGTATCTGCAGAGCTGCACAAAAGATCACATGAGCAAAGAGACTGCTCCAAGTGAGCTGGTCTCTAAGTAAATGCCACACATCTTTGAAGACAGATCTGCAGTTTGACAGATTACAAAAGAGGATCTGCTATCTTGGAAACAGAAGTTTCTATAATTACAGGCTTCAAATATGCACCATTTGGCAAAGATTCTGGGAATCTTGTCACTCCTTCTAACCATATGTCAGCCTCCCCAAGCCACTTTTGGCCTAAGGTATCTGATTCAAGAATAGTTGGTGATTGGAAAGAAATATGAGAGGTAGGGTAAAAAATAGCCGCCCAAAAAATATAGCATAAATTTAATTTGAAAATTCCCCCCCCAAATGTGCTTATGTCATTCCTAATTATTTCATTATTCCTAATTATGTCATTATTTCAGTCCTAGTTATTTCATTTCTCTTTGGAAAAAAATAATCCCTAATAAAAATCACTGATTTTTAGCTTATGTCTATTAGTAATAAATAAATAAATAAATAGGAAAATCAGTATGAATTAAAGATCATTTTGTATTTCCAATTAAAACAAAAGAGGGTAGTGAAGACAGAAATATTAGATAGTCCCTTCCAGCTTGATCTACATACTAATTAGAAAAGGAGGCAAGCAAAACATTAGACTCTGCTGTCTTTTTTAAACCAAGAGTTGCCTGTTATGAATAATCTTCAAAACTACAAATATATAAATGCCTCCCAGTGACTCAAAATTGAGGCAGTTGATATTTACTTATATACACCACTACCAATGGCTGGCTGCTCCCTACTAGCAATATTCCTTTCTGGCTCCTCTTCTGCCAGTTCCTTCTGTCTACTTCTATGATTCAATACCCATATTGTCCTTATTCCCCATGACCCAGTGCTGACAGAGATGGCCCTTACCCTATGACTCACCTCACCCTAACCTTCCTCACCAAAGCCCTCCAACCCACTGTTGTTAAAGCCCTTATGAACACAGCCACCTCACGAGCTTCTAATCCCCAGTGACAGTGCCCAGCTCCTCCTATCAGAAACTTGACAGGAGCGGCCTTGGCTCTAGAAGGGGTAAAAGAAAGTGTCTACCATCACTGGAACCAGCATTTGGAGCTCTTTTATAAACCCTCCCTAGCTGGAATTTAGACTCCCTATCTCCCCCAGAAACAACGAAATGAAGGTTTAAGTTACCAGGTTAGCCCACAAAGTTTATTTAACTTACAAAACTCCTGCACTATAAAATGCAGACCTTTGCTACTCAAAGCGTGGTCCTCAGACTAGCAGCACTGGCATCACTTGGGAACTTATTAGAAATGCACAGGTCCTACCCTAGACCTACTCAATCAGAAACCACATTTCAGCAAGATCCCCAGATGATTAATATGTATATTAAAGTCTGGCTTTAATAATCCTTTAAAACATTATTTCTGGCCAGATGCAGTGGCTCATGCCTGTAATTCCAGCACTTTGGGAGGCCGAGGCAAACAGATCACTTGTGGTCAGGAGTTCGAGACCAGCCTGGCCAACATGGCGAAACCCCGCCTCTACAAAAAATACAAAAATTCACCAGGTGTGGTAGTACGCACCTGTAATCCCAGCTACTTGGGAGGCTGAGGCAGCAGAATCGCTTGAACCCAGGAGGTGGCGGTTGCAGGGAGCCAAGATTGCGTCACTGCGCTCCAGCCTGAGCAACAGAGTGAGACTCCATCTCAAAAAAACAAAACAGGCTGGGCGCAGTGGCTCATGCCTGTAATTCCAGCACTTTGGGAGGCTGAGGCGGGCAGATCACGAGGTCAGGAATTCAAGACTAGCCTGACCAACATGGTGAAACCCCGTCTCTACTAAAAATACAAAAATTAGCCAGGTGTGGTGGTGCATGCCTGTAATCCCAGCTACTTAGGAGGCTGAGGCAGGAGAATCACTTGAACCCGGGAGGCAGAGGTTGCAGTGAGCCGAGATCATGCCACTGCACTCCAGCTTGGGCAACAGAGCAAGACTCCGTCTCAAAAAAAACAAAACAAACAAACAACACACAAAACAAAACAAAAAAACCACCTCATTTCTATAGGAAAATCCATTCTATGTCCTCAAAAATTAACTACTCATGAGTTGAGGGCCAATACTCTTTTATGAGCCATTTTAAAAATAAAAATATTTTCAATTAACATGTGGCTGTGTGGCAAACATTCAAGTAACATTAATTCTATATTTTATACCTAAAACTTCATTCCTAACTTAATCTTAGCTTTCCTACGCATTTTATCTTTGTCCTATTTTCATTTATATAATTTCCCTTTTATGCTGTCTTGTATTGTATGTACAACAGACTGATAAATAACTTGGACCTATTGTATTGAGGACATGCCAAACATAAGCCATCTAGCCTCAAAGCTTTCTAGGATCACTTCTGAAAAGAAGTTTCTTAAGTTGCCCAAGCTAAAGTTCCTATTTAAATTCCTATATGTCCCTAATCAATCCTTAAATGGTACTCACAGAAGTCATGTCACTTGCACTTTCTTGTTTGTTCAACTCCCGGAGTCCATCCCCTTGCTCTCCTCTGGGCTCAATAATATTATTCATATGTGCCTTGATAGCTGAATTCTGCAATGTCAAATCAGCAATTCGTGTCATTATGTCCTTTCTTTGTATTAATGACTCATTTGTTCTCAGCTGCTGCCCATCTCCCAGTACTGGGAGCTCTTCTGAGAATGTGGGGCTTCTTGACTGTTGAGTGTTGGAATGGGAATTGCAGAGGGGCTGTGAGAGGTTAACAAAAGGAGCCTGAGTTTTGTTCTCCAAATCTTCTCCCATGTGAGAGACTCTCCATCTCTGAGTGAAGAGACGATTCTCTTCACTTGAATTCTGAATGTCTGTATCAATAGGTAAGGTCTTCTCTTCCCAATTTTGTTCCTTCTCAATTATTTCCACAGTTGGAGGAAGTCGTGGAGCAGGACGAGTTTGAACAGTCCTTCTCAATACTATAGATAAGAATTTAAAAATAACAAATATGTATTATTTTCCCATAGATTGGCACTATACTCATTTCATTAGCCCACCATGGTAGTTAGAAAAGTATTTCAGTAGAAGGGTTTGGCTTCTGAATGCTTAAACTATTTTCAGCAGAGAACACACCAGCAATGCCGCCCCTCGTAATCAAGTACAGAGACTTTTTACATTCCTTAAAGCATTTGTTAGTACCCTTGTGAAAAACCATCTGTCAAGTTCACATTTTAACGCATATATTAACTCACATCTGGGAATCTTGGGGAATGAGGAAGTGGGTATAAGTACCCAATTTAAACAGCAGATAACCAGGAAAGGCCTCTCTGAGGAAGTAAAATTTTTAAATGATTACATATGTAATAGGAACTGAGCAAAGGACATTACAGGCAGAAAATGACTGCCTTTAGGGGTATGTACTGTGAAAGCTGTCAGAATCAAAATGGAGTCATTTGGCCGGGCGCGGTGGCTCACTCCTATAATACCCGCACTTTGCAAGGCCAAGGTCGGCAGATCACCTCAGGTCAGGAGTTCGAGATCAGCCTGGCCAACATAGTGAAACTCAGTCTATACTAATAATACATATTTTAAAAACTAGCCAGCCATGATGGTGCACGGCTGTAATCCCAGCTACTCAGGAGGCTGAGGCAGGAGAATAGCTTGAACCCAGGAGGCAGAGGTTGCAGTGAGCTGAGATTGCACCATTGCACTCCAGCCTGGGTGACAAGAGCGAAACTCCATCTCAAAGGAAAAAAAAAAAAATCAGACATTTGTGTCAGAGCGCAAGTGACTTTATCAGAGTCACTTTATCAGACACAAGTGACTGATAAGTGGAGCCTTAAAAAGCCAGGAAGGAAGGGTTCTCAGGCATGTATGACTGATAACAAGAACTGTTCAAGAGACTTCAAAAACCAGAACCTTGCACAAAGGACACCACAATCTTACACAAAAAATAATTCTGCGAGGACATTTGCCCAACATCTGCCTATCCAACCTTAGACTGATGCCACCCTTGTTATTGATCCTTGTAGCCAAGGATAGTTATCTCAAAACAACTTAAATAATCCTCCTCATTTCCCCTTTAAAAACTCTTGTCTTCCTTTACTTCCCTGAATATGCCCACCATATTCCCATTGCAATTCTCAATCTCAAATAAATATCAGTTTCTTTTAGAGAGCCTTTCTCTGGGTTAAATTGACAGTACTTTTTAAAAAACCATATACAAATATGAATTCGAATGAACGCTTTAAAATAAAGGATGAATGGGAGATCAGAAAATGAAATGAAACTGCACACCAATACACACAGACACACACACCCACTACTCGTTCAAGAAGCATGGCTGTAAAGAAAAGCAGAAATAAATCAATAGCTAGAGGAAAATATTTATGATGGGAAATTCTACAGCAATAGTGTCCAATATGGCAGCCTCTAGCTATATGTGGCTATTCAAATTTAAGTTAATTAAAATTAAATAAAATTTAAAATTCAGTTTCTCAGTCACATAAGCCACATATCAGGTGCTCACTAGCCCCATGCAGCCAGTGGCCACCATTCTGGATGGAGCAGACACAGAACATTTTCATCAACCCAGAAAATTCTATTAGACAAAGCTATCCTAAAAGAGAACTGAATGCTGATGAAGGGCCCTATGTATCACCCATTTTCATCTGCATATTCTGTTTAACTGAATAATTCTTTATATGTGAGTATTCCAAACAATGCTTGAAAAATATAATAAAACATCACCAATTCAAATACATATTCACAAGCAGCTGTCTGCACATTATAAAATAAATGGGCAGTTATTTTAAATACAAACTTGCTGAAGATATTAACAAAATGTTGTCTATAGCAATCCCTGACAAATTTGCTTTAACAAGCATTTAGTACGGTTGTGATCAGAGTAAACATATTTATTGTAACTGAAGCCCTCTGAAGAGGAAATACTGAATCATACAATGATAGAGCTGGAGGGAACATTAAAGATAAAGAAATATCTTCTCATTTCATAGATGGAAAAACTTAGGTCTAGAAAAGGTAAACTATCTGAGCCTCATGCCTCACAGCTAGTCAACAATAAACGGGCCAAGATACCAGCACGTCTGACTCTCAGCCTGGCACTGTCACCATTGCACCATACTGATCTGACAAATGCTACATCTGCATTATAAATACCAAAACAGAATTTTTAATAGCAAGGATTTGCCATTTTCTTTAACCCCTGGGCTTCTTCGTGTCCTTTATTGGAAACATACATCAAAGTGCAGAAAATTGCACAAAATTTGTATGTCCCAATAATAATAAACAGTTATTTTTCTGTTCCCCTGTGTAAAAATAAAAAAAAAAAACTTGTCAAAGAAATAAAAATTCAGGCTAATCAGACCTGAATAATATTTTTCAAAAAACTTTGGAAGAGAGTTTAAGATGGTGGTTCTTTTTTTGACTAAAGACCTCTTTAAAAATGAAATAAAAACAATAGCTCCAGAAAAAATGTACATGGGGACAAATAAATTTAATCTTCCCAACAATGAGGTAGTCCATGGAACTTCTGAAGACCATTCATGAACCCTAAGTTAAGAATCTTTGAGCTAAGAATAATATATTCTTAACATGTTTATTCAAAACTCTACCTGTGAGCTGCAAGAGTAACTCTAAAGCTATTTTTAATTGTCCATTAACTTTTATTATAAAATTGCCTCAACTAACTGAGCTGAAAACTTTTGATGAGAAAGAGGTGAATATAATGACCAGATGTCACTTACAAGACCCTTAAAGTCACAGTTTTCACCTTTCCTTAGTCTAACTTTCATTACTCTTTGGAGTATAATCTCCTGCTTCTAACTCTTTGAAATGCTCCTGGACCATAGGGACAAAAGGGATTCCCCTTACTCTGCATCTTAATGCTAAGGACTCTGATCTTTTGATCTGAGTTTAATACTTACAATGTTTAATAAAATAGATATACAATAAAATTAATTAAATGTCACACATGACCACAGGTATGATACACATAGCATGAAAATTCTTCCTTCAGCTTAAAGGCTATGTGTGGTAATCAGTGTCTTTTTCAATTCTGTTTTTCATGTAATGGTGAAAGTAATACATTGCACAAATGAAACATTAAAAAACAACTTTCATGTAACTTTAGAAGAAGACTTACCGTCCTGAAGAGGAGAGAATTTTAAGTTGCTCTTCTGCCTGGGTGGTGTTAACAACACAGCTGGCTCAAAAATATGTGCTGGAAAATTCTTGGCCAGATTCATGTTATCTGGAGGGTCTGGCACCTGAGACAGTTTAACGGGCAACTCTTCCTGTGGGAATTCAGCCACTTCCTCTCTGAACATCAATGGCACTGAGACATTGGCATTTACAACTGGACGCTCTGAAGAAGATGAGAGGATATTAGTACAATAGGAACAAAAAGAAACTATGAGCACATTTCAGGTATTTATTCTTAAATGCATCTCAGTAGAGTGCAAAATCCACATGAATCAACATAGCTCCTGGAGCCTTCACTTTCTAGGCTGTATCCTCCTCTGCCAATCATTCATGGGCAGGCTCCTGGGGGGCTAGTACTGAGAAGTTACTATTTTTGAGAAAATCACTAAGGCCTCAAAGCCATGAAAAGCGAGCCAGTTAGGGACTCCTAAAAAATCCTATGTGGCATTCCAGAGTTTGTCTTTTCCATTTTTCCTTTTTTTCACACAGAGTCTCACTCTGTCACCCAGGCTGAAGTGCAGTGGAGCGATCTTGGCTCACTGAAGCCTCGACCTCCCAGGCTCCAGTGATCTTCCCACCTCAGCCTCCCGAGTAGCTGGGACTATAGGCATGCACCATCACACCCAGCTAATTTTTTGTATTCGTTGTAAAGACGGGGTTCACCATGCTGCCTAGGCTGGTAGAATTTTTCATTATTTGTTATGGATAGCTTTTTAATGGTCATCACAAGTAACAAAATGGCTAAAATGGGTCATATTAATGCACTGACCTCCATATATAAGGCTCATTACAAAACAAGGAACTTCACAGGTCATGCATTATCACAACATAGTCACATTCCATAGTATTTTAAAAGAGTTACAAGAGCTGAGACTCAGGAAGATATTACATAAATCTTTGGTCTCACCAACATAAATCTTTCTGACTTTTTCCACAGGCAATAACAAGAATTAACAATAATTCTGGCTCCCTCTCCCGTCTCCCTCTCCCGTCTCCCTCTCCCGTCTCCCTCTCCCGTCTCCCTCTCCCGTCTCCCTCTCCTCTTTGCACGTCTCCCTCTGATGCCCAGCCGAGGCTGGACTGTACTGCCGCCATCTCGACTCACTGCAACCTCCCTGCCTGATTCTCCTGCCTCAGCCTGCCAAGTGCCTGGGATTGCAGGCACGCGCCACCACACCTGACTGGTTTTCGTATTTTTTGGTGGAGACGGGGTTTCGCCGTGTTGGCCGGGCTGGTCTCCAGCTCCTGACCGCGAGTGATCTGCCAGCCTTGGCCTCCCGAGGTGCCGGGATTGCAGACGGAGTCTCGCTCACTCAGTGCTCAATGTTGCCCAGGCTGGAGTGCAGTGGCGTGATTTCGGCTCGCTACAACCTCCACCTCCCAGCCACCTGCCTTGGCCTCCCAAAGTGCCGAGATTGCAGCCTCTGCCCGGCCGCCACCCCGTCTAGGAAGTGAGGAGCGTCTCTGCCTGGCCGCCCGTCGTCTGGGATGTAAGGAGCCCCTCTGCCCGGCCGCCCAGTCTGGGAAGTGAGGAGCACCTCTTCCCGGCCATCATCCCGTCTAGGAAGTGAGGAGCATCTCTGCCTGGCCGCCCATCGTCTGGGATGTGGGGAGCGTCTCTGCCCCGCTGCCCCGTCTGAGAGGTGAAGAGCGCCTCTGCCCGGCCGCCCCGTCTGGGAAGTGAGGAGCCCCTCTGCCCGGCCGCCACCCCGTCTGGGAGGTGTACCCAACAGCTCATTGAGAACGGGCCATGATGACGATGGCGGTTTTGTCGAATAGAAAAGGGGGAAATGTGGGGAAAAGAAAGAGAGATCAGATTGTTACTGTGTCTGTGTAGAAAGAAGTAGACATAGGAGACTCCATTTTGTTCTGTACTAAGAAAAATTCTTCTGCCTTGGGATGCTGTTAATCTATAACCTTACCCCCAACCCCCTGCTCTCTGAAATACGTGCTGTGTCCACTAAGGGTTAAACGGATTAAGGGCAGTGCAAGATGTGCTTTGTTAAACAGATGCTTGAAAGCAGCATACTCGTTAAGAGTCATCACCACTCCCTAATCTCAAGTACCCAGGGACACAAACACTGCGGAAGGAGGCAAGGCCCTCTGCCTAGGAAAACCAGAGACCTTTGTTCACATGTTTATCTGCTGACCTTCCCTCCACTATTGTCCTACGACCCTGCCAAATCCCCCTCTCCGAGAAACACCCAAGAATGATCAATAAATACTAAAAAAAATTAAAAACAAAACAAAACAAAACAAAACAAAAAAAAACAATAATTCTACAATATATTTACTCCCAGCCCTTCTTACCTATAGGATAATTAAAAGCTTTCTCAGTAGTGAAGCTTAATTCAGATAATAGTAAAACACTAACATATTCCTTGACTGAGATATTAATAGCAAGACTTGCCAGGTGCGGTGGCTCACGCCTGTAATCCCAACACTTTGGGAGGCCAAGGCAGGCGGATCATGAAGTCAGGAGTTCGAGACCAGGCTGGCCAACATGGTGAAACCCCGTCTCTACTAAAAACACAAAAATCAGCCAGGTGTGGTGGCAGGCGCCTATAATCCCAGCTACTCAGTAGGCTGAGGCAGGAGAATCGCTTGAAACTGGAAGGCGGAGGTTGCAGTAAGCCGAGAGGGCGCCACTACACTCCAGCCTGGGTGACAGAGCGAAACTCCATCTCAAAAAGAAAAAAAAAAAAAAAATAGCAAGACTCCACCAGAAGACAGAGATGTGCCCTAGCCAATGAGTTTACCTCATGCAAGTTAAATTTTGGTCAGCCACTTCTTAGAATCCATCCTAAGAAAACGGTTTTAAATACATAAAACACTTTTCTTACAGATACTCATCAAAGTCTTACTTAAAAGTAAAACACATGAAAAAACCAAAATGTCCAATTCAGCCTATAGCATATGATGGCACATGAGATGAAGGAAGAATTTCAAAATAACAACACTATCACACATGAACAAAAGTTATGAATTTCTAAAACTCAGTATTTTTCTCTTTCCAAAACCATCTCTTCTAAATCTAGAGCACTGGGATTAAAAGTGCTAGCACTCTCTTTGGTCTAGGTGTCCAGTTCTGCTACTTTCTACCTGTATGACTTTGCTAAGTTACCAACCCTCTCTCAGCCTGTTTCCTCTAAGGATAACACCAATGGGGATAACAATAACACCTACCTCATCAGACTATTATGACACGAATTGAAATTATGCATGTAAGACTTAACAAGTATCTGGCATAGAGCATGCATCCAATATTAGCTGGAAAAGTAGTGGCAACTGTAGTAGTGACAATACTGTACATGCATAAACAGTCAATAAGTCTATATAAGTTTAGAGATTTAAGGTTTGGTTTGTTATCTAAGGCCATTAAGTAGTCTAATGACAGTCTGAGAGAGTAAGACCACACTCACCTGGACTGTCCATAACTCTTCTACCTGTGGCTCCGCTTTCTGATGCCTGAATTTCTTGTCTGTTATTTATCACAGGACAGTTCTTAATAGCATGTGTGAGTGATATCAGTTGCTCATCTGTTGTGACCATGTACTGCTGAAGTCTTGCCTGGGGAGGAAAACATATGAAATAATATTATTAGCATATCAAACATCAAACCACCACCTAGAAAGCAAACCACACAAAGGATACGTGTGTTTAATATCATATCAATACATATCAAAGGATATGTATGTATAATATCATCATTTTAAATACTTCAGGAATTTGAGACTTCAAATTAAAGCAATGCTATTTATAATTATAAATATTCTAATAGTTCCATGATAGGGAAATGGTTAAGTAAATCATGAAACAGTAATTAATAAATACCCTGCTATAACAATAAGAATTAACCTTTCTACAGGGCTTTCCATTTACAAAACCTCTTCATATAGATGTTTCAACTAACTCTTAAACTACCCCCAAGAGACACAGATACATGAGGTGGAGGAAACAATGAATATTACCCAGGCATTTAAACTGGTAAACATGAACAGCACAAAATTCTGTATGTAATTAATATAAATATTAATTACAACTTGATTTTTACATACGTGCATGAGAGAGATAACACTATATTTTATATATGTATATAGATATTCTCATCTTTGTCTATATGTGTGTGTGTATATATATATATTTTTAATATTACATAAGGTTTTTTTTTTTCTATATTTAAAAGATCACCCACAAAATACCATACCCATAGATTTACTTTCTGGCACAGAGCTGAATGTGTTCAGTGTTTAGAATTCCATTCTTACATGTAAAAGTCAAACAGATTGCCCAGAAGGTTAGATGAATTTGTTTTGTTCTTAATCTTCTCTACAAGGATGATACAAGTATGTCATCTAAAAACATCAGGTTTGATCACTACCACATAATGCTCATCTAAGTTATGTATTGGTGTTACACAAATGTTCCTAGAAGTAGAGAAGATTGCAGGTAGAAGGAACAAAAGGAGAGTTCTGTAAATTGCTGACACTCTGTAATAATAACAAAGTAAGAAAACCCAAAGATGGCAGCTAGTAACAAACTTCTATCTAAGCATATATATATCTCTCATGTATGCTTAGAGAGATACAGACATTTGATAAAAGTCAGGTGCAGCCAGACTCAGAAATATTATTAACAGTACTGCTGAATGAAGTATAGTAAACATTTTTATACCACCAGCCCAAATTTTTTCCCAAATTTCACACTCATATATCCAGTGGCCTACTCAACACCTCCATCTAGAACTGAAATAGACTTCTCAAACTTAAGATACATAAAGCCAAATTCCTCCTCAAGCCTTGTTTACCTCATAAATGGCAACTTCATCATTTTAATTATTCAGTCCAAAACTTTGGAATTACCCTTGACTCTTTTCCAATATCCTCTACTTCACTCCACATCCAATAAATTAGCAGACTGCATTGGTCAGCCTTCAAAATATATTCATAACTTGATCACTTTTCACACCCTCTCCCACTTCCACCCTAGACCAAGCTGCCATGTCTCACCTGAACTATTCCAATAACTCCTCATGTAATATTCTGCTTTTTGGCCACCTACTCTAGTCCCATACTGTTCCCAAACTGTTTGCTGAGGCACCTCAGGGCACTAAAGTGAACTTACAGGGGCACCGGGGAAAATTTAAATCTTCAAGGGAAATAGTGATGCCTGCCATCTATCAGACACTGGTGAACTATTAGCTCAGGACAGTTCACAATTTCAATGTCAGATTCCATTACATTCCTTTTGAGGATGTCAAATCTTCTCATGGCTGGGTTTTCAGCAGTTGCTAGGTTAAAAAAACAAGTTCTGGAGGAAAATCAGTGTGGAACAGGAAATAAGAATGATTGTGTCCCACATGATTCCAAGCTTTGAGAAGTGGTACAGTGCTCAAAAGGTACATATAACCCATTAGTAAATAATTGTAGTTATTTAAGAGAAAGTATTACTTTTTCTCAAACAGCCCCTCAGTTGTTAGGACATAGTTGTTTGGACTCAACAACTTAGTAAGTAGAACTGTTTTTGGCCTAGTAGAACTGTTTTGTTATAAGACACTAAGGGCACGCGACCCAAGAAAGGGCACCAATCTCTGATCTAGTTTCAACACAGCCCAGAGTGATCCTCTTAAACCCAAGACAAATCACGTCTCTTCTCTTTAGTGGTTTCCCATCTCACTCAGCATAAAAGCCCATATCTTTAACCATCATGCAAGGCGCTATGTAATTGGGCTTACCTGATCTTGTCTCCTGCCTCTCTCTCTTCCTCTTCCTCATACTCTACTCTTGCCACACTGATCTCCTTGATGACTCTAAGCTCACCAGTCACACTCCCACCGCAAGACCTTCGCACTTGCTTTTCCTCTGCCCAGACTGCTCTTCTCTCAGCTACCCACATGCTCACTCCTCGCCTCTTCCAGGTCTTGGCTCAAATGTCACTTCCTCAGACAGGCATGGCCCATCTCATTTGTAACTGCATCCTACCCCATCCTATGCATTTCCTGTGCCTTTATGTGCTTTATTTTTCTTCAAAGTACATATCACCATCTAACTTACTATACTTCAACTTTTTGTTTTTAGGATTTATTTAGAATGTAAGCTCCATGAGGGCAAAGTTTTCTATATTTTGTTCACTATTCTATTTCCTGTACCTAGAACAGTACCAGGCCCACAGCAGGTGTTCAACAAAGATTTGTTAAGTAAATTAGTACATTTTAAAACTGCACATCTTCCCAGGAGAATTAAACATATGTTCTGCAAAAATATGTATATGAATGTTCATAGCAGCATTATTCATAACAGACAAAATGTAAAAATAACCCAAATGTTCATTAACTAATGAAAGGATAAATAAAATATGGTATATCCATACAATGGAATATTATTGGGCAATACAAAGGAATGAAGTACTGATACATGCTAAACATAAATTAACCTTAAACATTATACTAAGTGAAAGAAAAGCACATATTACATTATTCCATTTCTATGTAATATCTATATTAGGCAAATACACAAACACAAAAAGTAGATTAGTGACTGCCAGGAGCTGGCAAGAAGAGAGAATGAAGAGTGACTTCTAAAGGGTACAGGATGGCCTGGCGCGGTGGCTCATGCCTGTAATCCCAACACTTTGGGAGGCCAAGTCAGGCAGATCACGAGGTCAGGAGATCGAGACCATCCTGGCTAACACGGTGAAACCTCATCTCTGCTAAAAATACAAACAATTAGCCAGGCGTAGTGGCAGGCGCCTGTAGTCCCAGCTACTCAGGAGGCTAGGACAGGAGAATGGCGTGAACACGAGAGGCAGAGCTTGCAGTGAGCTGAGATCATGCCACTGCACTCCAGCCTGGGGGACAGAGTGGGACTCCGTCTCAAAAAAAAAAAGAAAAAGGGTACAGGATTTCTCTCTGGAGTGAGGAAAATGTTCTGGATTTAGATAACAGTGCTGGCATACAACTTCAAACATACTAAAAACACTGATTTGTACATTTTAAAAGGGTGGAGGACTTAATGGTATGTGAACTATATTATCAAATTTGTGTGTGGTTTCAGTTTTTTGTTGTTTTTTTTTTTTTTTTTAGAGACAGGGTCTCACTCTGTCACCTAGGGTGGAGTGTAATGGCAAAATCATAGCTCACTGCAGCCTCAAACTCCTAGGCTCAAGTGATCCTCCTGCCTCAGCCTCCCAAGCAGCTAGGACTACAGGCATATGCTACCATGCCCAGCTAATATTTTTATTTTTTGTAGAGACAGGTCTCACTCTGTTACCCAGGCTGATCTCAAACTCCTGGCCTCAAGTGATCTTCCCACCTTGGCACCCAAAATGTGGGGATTAAAGGTGTGAGCCACTGCGCCTCGCCCTATATTATCAATTTTAAAAAATTATACATCTACATCTAATGTCCATTAACACAAACATAATTTATCTTCTAACTATTACTTGTCTAGTCTCTTCTGGCTGATAAATAAAAGTAATAATAACCATCATATGAGAACAAAAAAGATGAATAAAATAGACTGTGTACACTCAAGAAGCATACAGTCTCAGTAACAAGTACACATATAAGTATAAAACAATTTGATAAATGCAATAATACCAATATCCAGACAGTATCAGAAGTGCACAAAGAAGCAAGGTGCAGTGGCTCATGCCTGTAATCCCAGCACTTTCGAGGGCCAAGGCGGGCGAATAGCTTGAGCCCTGGAGTTCGAGACCAGCCTGGGCAACATGGTGAAACCCCATCTCTACAAAACATAAAAAGTTAGCTGGGTATGGTGGTGTGCACCTGTAGTCCCAGCGACTTGGGAGGCTAAGGTGGGAGGATCACTTGAGCCCAGGAGGTCCAGGCTGCAATGAACTCATGCCACTGCACTCCATCCTGGGTGACAGAGTGAGACACCATCTCAAAAAAAAAAAAAAAAGTTCACAAAGGAAGAATGCTCAATGCAGCATGGAAGCAATAGGTTTTCCAGAAGAGAATGGTGTAAGTCTTTTAAAAAAGAAAAGGAGCAATTAGTCAAGCAGCAAAGAGGACTTTATGTAACAAATATGAAGATACTGTGAACAACTGTAAATGGCTCTGATATAATTGCAAAAGGACTCCTCAAAGGCTACCTTCTGCTGTTTTGAAATTAAAAGTGGCTGTCATAACACTCATTTCACATTTTGGATTAACTACTGTAACACTTGTAGTTATAATTTAAATGTAGACTCTGTCTTCCCACTAAATAGTAAGTCTCTTGAAGACAGGAAGACAGTCCATATACTACTTCCAAGCTTCTACTATAGTACTTCCATGTAATAAATGTTCAATAATACCTGCCACTGATGATAAAAATGACTGATAAGTAATCACATCGATACAGTTAAACCAAAAGCAACTCTAAGAGAATCCAGTACATGTTTAAAGATGTTTTATACCACTGAACACATAAAAATTGGGATCTCATCTGAGTACCTGTGTAGCAGCGTTTTCTTCTCTAAGACGAAGAATTTCAGCTGTCAGAGCATCAATGAGCTCTCGATGATCACCTAATACTTGTTCCAGTTGTTGCCTTGTCTCTACTTCTTTACGTAGCTGGATCTCACTCTACAAAAAAATATCAAATAAACTTCCACCAATAGCATCACATGTTGAAAACTAAAAGTTTGCACTCAAAGCTGGCAAAGAAGATATTTACAAAGAAGCATATATTATGTGACAGTAATGATGAAGAGTTTTATTAAAAGGTTTATTATATTTAATTAAAGAAAATGTGCTTCTTTATCCTCTTCCCTTCTTTAAATAGAATAAAATGAACTAAATGCTATATAAAATTAAGTAACTACATTTTTTGTAAAAAGAAAGTAGAGGGATATACATATACATATTATTTGAATATACACTGACCATCTCTAGAAAGATACACTGGTATCTGGAATGATAGTTGGCTATAAATAAGCAAACAGGCTAGCTGGAAGTTAGTCATGAGAGTTAGTACAATCTGCTGTTATCTTTGAATTTCATAATATGTGACTATATTGCCAATTCAAAAATTAAGCTTGTTAAAATATAATTTAAAGTAAATGACTACAACTTTAAATGGTTTAACTTTGTAAAACAAGTGATTAGCTTAAAAGTACACGCTTCTGGTCGGGCGTGGTGGCTCACACCTGTAATCCCAGCACATTGGGAGGCCAAGGCAGGCAGATTACAAGGTCAAGAGATCGAGACCATCCTGGCCAACATGGTGAATGAAACCCCGTCTCTACTAAAAATACGAAAATTAACTGGGCGTGGTGGTGCACGCCTGTAGTCCCAGATACTCAAGAGGCTGAGGCAGAAGAATCTCTTGAACCCAGGAGGCAGAGGTTGCAGTGAGCCAAGATCATGCCACTGCACTCCAGCCTAGCAACAGAGCGAGACTCTGTCTCAAAAAAAAAAAAAAAAGTACATGCTTCTAAGCCTGCAATACTCTCCAAGAGCCAAAAGTATACTCCTGAAGATTCCTGAGTTAAGGGTGAAAGAATGTTAAGGTTTTAATAGGTCTGACAATACAATGAATCTGTCATTAAAAAGTTAATTTTAGGGTCAGGTGCAGAGGCTCACGCCTATAATACCAACACCTTGGGAAGCCAAGGTGGGCAGATCGCTTTGAACTCAGGATTTCGAGACCAGCCTGGGCAACATAGTGAGACTCTGTCTCTACAAAAAAAATACAAAAATTAGCTGGGTGTGGTGGCATGCACCTGTGGTCCCAGCTACTTGGGAGGCTGAGGCTGGAAAACCACTTAAACCCGGGAGGTGGAGGTTGCAGTGAGCCGAGATCATGCCACTACTGCACCCTAGCCTGGGCAACAGAATGAGACCCTGTCTCAAAAAAAAAGCAATTCAATTTTAGGAAGACGGCTCTAGAGAAACTAAAACATCTGTATTAAGGTGGTAAATCTATCTTATTAAATAATAAAGTTTCCTTAAACATTTTTGTCATATTTGTATAACAGGCTTAAGTACATAACAGTTTAAATAGATTTTCAAAGATGAAACACATAGCTAACTCTAATTCTGTGGCATTCTGTGGATGATTATTTGAAATCAAATTAAACAAACAATTCTTTTTTTATTTTTATTTTTTGAGACAGTGTCTTGCTCTGCCGCCCAGGCTGGAGTGCAGTGGCGCGATCTCGGCTCACTGCAACCTCCAACTCCCTGGTGAAAGTAATTCTCCTGCCTCAGCCTCCCCAGAAGCTGGGATTACAGGCGCCCGCCACCATGCCCGACTAATTTTTGTATTTTTAGTAGAGACAAGGTTTTACCACGTTGAGGCCAGGCTGGTCTTAAACTCCTGACCTCAGGCAATCTGCCCGCCTCGGCCTTCCAAAGGGCTGGGATTATAGGTTATAGGCGTGAGCCACCACACCCAGCCAAACAAAGAATTCTTGCTTATTTTATAAATTATTTTTACAACAATAAAACATCTCCCACTTAGACATTGAAGCCATATGTGAGTTACCAGACATACAGGGAACATGAAGAATTCTCCCACATATCAAGTCTACCGATTATAGGCAATGCCACTCTCCAAACTGAATGTGGGAGTAGGAAGCAGAGAATAGCAATAGAATGCAGACACAGTTAACAGTTCTATTTAATCTACAACTGTCAAACAGTAATATTTAATATTAGCACAAGATATAATTATATTAATGGCAGATTTACCCTACTAATTATAATTTGCTAAAGCTCTTATTAAAATTAAAATCACTTATCTGAGCATGTATCAACTAACGGCAGAAAAGACTTAAAGGATAAGCCTTTACTGCAGATAATCTAAAACTGAGGTATTTTAAACGAAGCTATTCAAATTTGACTGTACTTTATTTGGAGGTTGCAATAAATGGAAAGGAAAAAAAACTCATGCATTTCTGCCTGAAAAGAAGACTCTACTAACCTAATGTCCTTACCTCTTTAAGGTACCGAACCAGGCGACAGAGGGAGCTCACCAGCGACAAAGTGAAGCCTGTAAGACCCTGACTGCTCTGCAGACCCTTGACCTCGCGACCTGTCCACCGCTCATATTCTTCCATTTCATGTTCCACTTCATGTATCATGTGTTTGAGGACATCCAGGTTGGAATTAGTCCTATTTGGTAAGTCTGCAGAGGTTGTGCTACCTGATGATATGTTTTTCTTCGGCTTGGAAAGAGCATGCAAATTCGGTTTCCTTTTCACTGATAATGAGAGAAGTCATTCTATTTTAAGACCAGGAAAAATTATGACTAGAAAACTACTAGAAAAATCTTTTGACTATTGTTCACAATTTATAAAAGGCTTGTATAGACGATATCACCATTTCTCTCATAAAAATTAAACAGTTTAAACCAGATTTACACTAGCTATAATGAATGCACTAGAACCACTGTTCCAGAGTTACATGTGGTAGGAGACATTTCTTAGCTACCATTCAATAAACTTTCAGTTGGAACCATGTGGATGAGATTAAGGGAGAAAAACATTGACTAAGAGATTAAGACAGCTGTATCAAGTTACATGTTTAATATTCATCTTTGTAAATTAAGGGACTGAACCTTTATTTAACAGCTGTTTTTGCTTCCTTGAGTTCAGCACGTGTCCCACAACGTAGCTTGAGTCTAGAGTCTCAGTAGATTCTTCAGGCTGAAGCCTGGTTTGGAGTCTCTTGACAGCATTGGTAGCATTCAGAGCAGCTAAAAGGAAGAACATTTCCAAAAGTATCTCAAGTGAACAAACTTCTTAAGAAAGTATTTCAATTGACAGATCCATCAGTATTTTAGTCAATTAGGCAAAGGCAGTCAAAACTCAAATAACATTCCTTCAAAAATTACTGCATTCAAGAATGAACCTAATAAAGCAGGCACCTAGAAATAATGCAAAAGGGAAACAAACCTCTTTGCTCCCCTGATGAAAGAGCAGATGATGGCGTTCCTGGAGGAGTTATTTGTGACTGGGTTGCTATTTTCTGCTGAATGTCAGTCCACAACTTACTAATTAACTCAAAATTCTCTTCTGTTAGTTGTTGGAGAAACCTATAAATTACAGGACAATAAGCTACATGAGAATTATAATATAAATTAATATAATATAAATATAAATTAAATGATAGCAGGCATTTAATTTATATTTACATTATCTATATTATTATAATTTATATTTATATAATTATAAATTTAATTTTATATATAAATATGCATATAAATTTAATTATAATTTATAATTAAATTATATAATTAATTATATATAATTATATAATAATTACACATAATTATAAAATATATTCTATATTACATGTAATTTAATTTATAATTTAATTATATAAATTAAATTATATTTATATCTAATTTATATGTATATTATATTAATTTATATAAAAAATAGGTGCTATCATTTAAACTGTTCAAATAGTTACATGTTTGATTTGAAGGAGCTTTTAGTAATTCATAGTCAAAGAAAAAACACTATTCACTATAACTGATAAGACAGGTAGATAGCAAAAATGCCTATCACCTTAGTGTTAGAAAGAATCATTCCATCTGCCTCCCAGTTTCCTACCTACCTTGGTCCCTAACATAGGTATGTTTGCCCTTTCTGCAGTTTTGTGGTATGGCTCCATCCTCCTCTCTCTTTCTCTAGAGTAAAGTAATTAAGCATATATGGCTCAGCCCCTTTTGGTTTCTCTGTCCTACAAAGGAGCCTGTCCACAGAGCAGCCAGTCTCTGCTCATCAATGAAGTAAATTGACCACAGCATACTCTGTCCCTGTGTGTCAGGGAGGGGCTAGATAGAGTGAGAAGAGATGCTGCAGTTTAGGGGTTAGTAATTACAAGCACATTGGTTACAGAGCTAAGCGTTATGCTATAAACACTTTTATCACTGATAAGGTTGATATTTTAATTTTCAACTGTCTCATTTGTCTATTTCTCAAAGTGCTAAAGTTACAGCCTACCTTCTTCTGGAGGCTTAGTATAAAAGCAAGAACAAAGAGATAAATGGTGGGAAAAACTTTAAGCAAAAGGAACCAGGACTTGATGTTTTGAGAAGTTTTCAGCCTGTCCAAATTGCAAAAGATTAGTAAAGTCGCTGTTAGGAAAGCATATTCTGGAGAGAAGGGCAAGAGTGTGGCTGAATAACCTTTTGCTAGTTCTGAAGAGATAAAGCATGTGATTCATGGATCCTCCAAATGATGTCAGAAGAAGCTAACAATAAAGATGGGATTTTCCAGGAAAGACCTGTCTATGGAGTAGATGACCATGACATATGCAAGACACAAGATCTTTTGAGAATGTTATACCAACAGAAATACTGCTAGCTTAAATTGAAAGACACAAAGACAGGATGAAATGAAGGAAGGGTGCTAGACTCAAAAAATTCTACAGACTACCTTTCTCAGCCTCTGGTAACCATCATTCTACTCTCTATCTTCCTAAGTTCAACTGTTTTAATTTTTAGCTCCCAGAAGTAAGTGAGAACATGTGGCCAGAGCTGCAGATCCATAGGCACAGAGGCCAAAGCCAGAGCCACAGGCACAGAGGGAAGAGCCATGGATCCAGAAGGGTAAAGACTCAAGTCACAGAGCATTAAGTCCTAATAGTATTTGCTCTAATGAATTTCAAAGTTGCTTGGAACTGCTGATCCCTTTCTTCTTTGATTTTCCCTCGTAAAATGGAAATGTCTATAACTTTCATCCTATGTCTGTCCCATCATGGTATTTTGAAAGCAGACAACTTGTCTTCTAGTTTCATAGGACCACAAATGGAGAATTTTGCACCAGGATGGATTCTATCCAGTCCTCCCATAACTGATTTAGATGATGAGATTTGGGACTTTTGAGCTAATGAGATTTAGATGAGATTTTGAACTTGAAATGAAGCTGAAAATTGAAGGATATTGGGATGGATCTTTGGGGCCCACTGGAAGGACCATGGTAGGCTAAATAATAATGCCTGAAGATATTCCATGTCCTAAACCCTGGAGCCTGTCACTATTACCTTATATGGCAAAAAAGGGGTAGGGGAAGCCTCTTCAGATACAATTTAGAATCTTGAGATGGGGAGATTATCTTGGGTAGGCCCTAAATGCAATCACATATTTTTTAAAAAAAATTTTTCATATTTCATGTACATTCTTATAAGAAACAGACAGAGGAAGATCTTTGACACCCACACAGAGGAGATGATGTGAAGACAAGAGGCAGAGATTGGTGTGCTGCAGCCACAATTTCAGAAGCTAGAAGAAGCAAGGAGCAAATTCTCTTCCAGAGCAGCTTCTCCTCTGGAGGGAGTGTGGCCCTACTGATACCTTGACGTTGGCCTAGTGAAACTGATTTTGGATTTCTGGACCCCAGAACTGGGAAGAAATCAAGTTCTGTTGTTTTAAGCCACCAAACTTGTGGGATATTTAATATACTTAATTGTAGCTATAAGACAAAAACAAAAACGGGATACGCATGGAAGCATAGTATGTAAATACTTCATGTTCTGTCAAAGCAAAATATATAACTAAAAATGGGAAGGATGGAGAGAAAATAATGGAAAGAATAGGAACATAGAAAAGCTCACTTATTAAAACAAAAAAAAAATTTTGTTTTTTCGGGAAGGGCAGCCAAGGTGGCCGAATAGGAACAGCTCCGGTCTACAGCTCCCAGCGTGAGTGACACAGAAGATGGGTGATTTCTGCATTTCCATCTGAGGTACTGGGTTCATCTCACTAGGGAGTGCCAGACGGTGAGCGCAGGACAGTGGGTGCAGTGCACCGTGCGCGAGCCGAAGCAGGGCAAGGCATTGCCTCACTTGGGAAGCGCGAGGGGTCAGGGAGTTCCCTTTCCTAGTCAAAGAAAGGGGTGACAGACGGCACCTGGAAAATTGGGTCATGCCCACCCTAATACTGCACTTTTCCGACGGGCTTAAAAAACCAGGAGATTATATCCGGCACCTGGCTCGGAGGGTCTTACGCCCACAGAGTCTCACTGATTGCTAGCACAGCAGTCTGAGATCAAACTGCAAGGCGGCAGTGAGGCTGGGGGAGGGGCACCCGCCATTGCCCAGGCTTGCTTAGGTAAACAAAGCAGCCGGGAAGTTCCAACTGGGTGGAGCCCACCACAGCTCAAGGAGGCCTGCCTGCCTCTGTAGGCTCCACCTCTGGGGGCAGGGCACAGACAAACAAAAAGACAGCAGTAACCTCTACAGACTTAAATGTCCCTGTCTGACAGCTTTGAAGAGAGCAGTGGTTCTCCCAGCACGCAGCTGGAGATCTGAGAACGGGCAGATTGCCTCCTCAAGTGGGTCCCTGACCCCTGACCCCCGAGCAGCCTAACTAGGAGGCAACCCCCAGTAGGGGCAGACTGACACCTCACACGGCCGGGTATTCCTCTGAGACAAAAATTCCAGAGGAACGATCAGACAGCAGCATTCGCGGTTCACGAAAATCCACTGTTCTGCAGCCACCGCTGCTGATACCCAGGCAAACAGGGTCTGGAGTGGACCTCTAGCAAACTCCAACAGACCTACAGCTGAGGGTCCTGTCTGTTAGAAGGAAAACTAGCAAACAGAAAGGACATCCACATCAAAAACCCATCTCTACATCACCAAAAGCAAAGACCAAAAGTAGCTAAAACCACAAAGATGGGGAAGAAACAGAGCAGAAAAACTGGAAACTCTAAAAAGCAGAGCACCTCTCCTCCTCCAAAGGAACGCAGTTCCTCACTACCAACGGAACAAAGCTGGAAAGAAAATGACTTTGACGAGTTGAGAGAAGAAGGCTTCAGACGATCAAACTACTCCGAGCTACAGGAGGAAATTCAAACCAAAGGCAAAGAAGTTAAAAACTTTGAAAAAAATTTAGATGAATGTATAACTAGGATAACCAATACAGAGAAGTGCTTAAAGGAGCTGATGGAGCTGAAAACCAAGGCTCGAGAACTACATGAAGAACGCAGAAGCCTCAGGAGCTAATGCGATCAACTGGAAGAAAGGGTATCAGCGATGGAAGATGAAATGAATGAAATGAAGCGAGAAGGGAAGTTTACAGAAAAAAGAATAAAAAGAAACGAACAAAGCCTCCAAGAAATATGGGACTATGTGAAAAGACCAAATCTACGTCTGATTGGTGTACCTGAAAGTGACAGGGAGAATGGAACCAAGTTGGAAAACACTCTGCAGGATATTATCCAGGAGAACTTCCCCAATCTAGCAAGGCAGGCCAACATTCAGATTCAGGAAATACAGAGAACACCACAAAGATACTCCTCGAGAAGAGCAACACCAAGACGCATAATTGTCAGATTCACCAAAGTGGAAATGAAAGAAAAAATGTTAAGGGCAGCCAGAGAGAAAGGTCGGGTTACTGACAAAGGGAAGACCATCAGACTAACAGCGGATCTCTCGGCAGAAACTCTACAAGCCAGAAGAGAGTGGGGGCCAATATTCAACATTCTTAAAGAAAAGAATTTTCAACCCAGAATTTCATATCCAGCCAAACTAAGCTTCATAAGTGAAGGAGAAATAAAATACTTTACAGACAAGCAAATGCTGAGAGATTTTGTCACCACCAGGCCTGCCCTAAAAGAGCTCCTGAAGGAAGCACTAAACATGGAAAGGAACAACCGGTACCAGCCGCTGCAAAATCATGCCAAATTGTAAAGACCATCGAGACTAGGAAGAAACTGCATCAACTAACGAGCAAAATAATCAGCTAACATCATAATGACAGGATCAAATTCACACTTAACAATATTAACTTTAAATGTAAACGGACTAAATGCTCCAATTAAAAGGCACAGACTGGAAAATTGGATAAAGAGTCAAGACCCATCAGTGTGCTGTAATCAGGAAACCCATCTCACGTGCAGAGACACACATAGGCTCAAAATAAAAGGATGGAGGAAGATCTACCAAGCAAATGGAAAACAAAAAAAGGCAGGGGTTGCAATCCTAGTCTCTGATAAAACAGACTTTAAACCAACAAAGATCAAAAGAGACAAAGAAGGCCATTACATAATGGTAAAGGGATCAATTCAACAAGAAGAGCTAACTATCCTAAATATATATGCACCCAATACAGGAGCACCCAGATTCATAAAGCAAGTTCTGAGTGACCTACAAAGAGACTTAGACTCCCACACCTTAATAATGGGAGACTTTAACAACCCCACTGTCAACATTAGACAGATCAATGAGATAGAAAGTCAACAAGGATACCCAGGAATTGAACTCAGCTCTGCACCAAGCAGACTTAATAGACATCTACAGAACTCTCCACCCCAAATCAACAGAATATACATTTTTTTCAGCACCACATGACACCTATTCCAAAATTGACCACAAACTTGGAAGTAAAGCTCTTCTCAGCAAATGTAAAAGAACAGAAATTATAACAAACTGTCTCTCAGACCACAGTGCAATCAAACTAGAACTCAGGATTAAGAAACTCACTCAAAACCGCTCAACTACGTGGAAACTGAACAACCTGCTCCTGAATGACTACTGGGTACATAAATAAATGAAGGCAGAAATAAAGATGTTCTTTGAAACCAACGAGAACAAAGACACAACATACCAGAATCTCTGGGACACACTCAAAGCAGTGTGTAGAGGGAAATTTATAGCACTAAATGCCCACAAGAGAAAGCAGGAAAGATCCAAAATTGACACCCTAACATCACAATTAAAAGAACTAGAAAAGCAAACACATTCAAAAGCTAGCAGAAGGCAAGAAATAACTAAAATCAGAGCAGAACCGAAGGAAACAGAGACACAAAAAAACCCTTCAAAAAAGTAATGAATCCAGGAGCTGGCTTTTTGAAAGGATCAACAAAATTGATAGACTGCTAGCAAGATTAATAAAAAAGAAAAGAAAGAAGAATCAAATAGATGCAATAAAAAATGATAAAGGGGATATCACCACTGATCCCACAGAAATACAAACTACCCTCAGAGAATACTACAAACACCTCTACGCAAATAAACTAGAAAATCTAGAAGAAATGGATAAATTCCTCGACACATACATCCTCCCAAGACTAAACCAGGAAGAAGTTGAATCTCTGAATAGACCAATAACAGGCTCTGAAATAGTGGCAATAATCAATAGCTTACCAATCAAAAAGAGTCAAGGACCAGATGGATTCACAGCCAAATTCTACCAGAGGTACAAGGAGGAACTGGTACCATTCCTTCTGAAACTATTCCAATCAATAGAAAAAGAGGGAATCCTCCCTAACTCATTTTATGAGGCCAGCATCATCCTGATACCAAAGCCGGGCAGAGACACAACCAAAAAAGAGAATTTTAGACCAATATCCTTGATGAACATTGATGCAAAAATCCTCAATAAAATACTGGCAAACCGAATCCAGCAGCACATCAAAAAGTTTATCCACCATGATCAAGTGGGCTTCATCCCTGGGATGCAAGGCTGGTTCAATATACGCAAATCAATAAATGTAATCCAGCATATAAACAGAACCAAAGACAAAAACCACATAATTATCTCAATAGATGCAGAAAAGGCCTTTGACAAAATTCAACAATGCTTCATGCTAAAAACTCTCGATAAATTAGGTATCGATGGGATGTATCTCAAAATAATAAGAGCTGTCTATGACAAACCCACAGCCAATATCATATTGAATGGGCAAAAACTGGAAGCATTCCCTTTGAAAACTGGCACAAGACAGGGATGCCCTCTCTCACTACTCCTATTCAACATAGTGTTGGAAGTTCTGGCCAGGGCAATTAGGCAGGAGAAGGAAATAAAGGGTATTCAATTAGGAAAAGAGGAAGTCAAATTGTCCCTGTTTGCAGATGACATGATTGTACATCTAGAAAACCCCGTTGTCTCAGCTCAAAATCTCCTTAAGCTGATAAGCAACTTCAGCAAAGTCTCAGGATACAAAATCAATGTACAAAAATCACAAGCATTCTTATACACCAATAACAGACAAAAGAGAGCCAAATCATGAGTGAACTCCCATTCACAATTGCTTCAAAGAGAATAAAATACCTAGGAATCCAACTTACAAGGGATGTGAAGGACCTCTTCAAGGAGAACTACAAACCACTGCTGAATGAAATAAAAGAGGATACAAACAAATGGAAGAACATTCCATGCTCATGGGTAGGAAGAATCACTATCGTGAAAATGGCCATACTGCCCAAGGTAATTTAGAGATTCAATGCCATCCCCATCAAGCTACCAATGACTTTCTTCACAGAATTGGAAAAAACTACTTTAAAGTTCATATGGAACCGAAAAAGAGCCTGCATCACCAAGTCAATCCTAAGCCAAAAGAACAAAGCTGGAGGCATCATGCTACCTGACTTCAAACTATACTACAAGGCTACAGTAACCAAAACAGCATGTTACTGGTACCAAAACAGAGATATAGATCAATGGAACAGAACAGAGCCCTCAGAAATAACGCCGCATATCTACAACTATCTGATCTTTGACAAACTTGAGAAAAACAAGCAATGGGGAAAGGATTCCCTATTTAATAAATGGTGCTGGGAAAACTGGCTAGCCATATGGAGAAAGCTGAAACTGGATCCCTTCCTTACACCTTATACAAAAATCAATTCAAGATGGATTAAAGACTTAAACGTTAGACCTAAAACCATAAAAACCCTAGAAGAAAACCTAGGCATTACCATTCAGGACATAGGCATGGGCAAGGACTTCATGTCTAAAACACCAAAAGCAATGGCAACAAAGCCAAAATTGACAAATGGGATCTAACTAAACTAAAGAGCTTCTGCACAGCAAAAGGAACTACCATCAGAGTGAACAGGCAACCTACAAAATGGGAGAAAATTTTCGCAACCTACTCATCTGACAAAGGGCTAATATCCAGAATCTACAAAGAACTCAAACAAATTTACAAGAAAAAAACAAACAACCCCATCAAAAAGTGGGCAAAGGACATGAACAGACACTTCTCAAAAGAAGACATTTATGCAGCCAAAAAAACACATGAAAAAATGCTCACCATCACTGGCCATCAGAGAAATGCAAATCAAAACCACAATGAGATATCATCTCACACCAGTTAGAATGGCAATCATTAAAAAGTCAGGAAACAACAGGTGCTGGAGAGGATGTGGAGAAGTAGGAACACTTTTACACTGTTGGTGGGACTGTAAACTAGTTCAACCATTGTGGAAGTCAGTGTGGCGATTCCTCAGGGATCTAGAACTAGAAATACCATTTGACCCAGCCATCCCATTGCTGGGTATATACCCAGAGGACTATAAATCATGCTGCTATAAAGACACATGCACACATATGTTTATTGTGGCACTATTCACAATAGCAAAGACTTGGAACCAACCCAAATGTCCAACAACGATAGACTGGATTAAGAAAATGTGGCACATATACACCATGGAATACTATGCAGCCTTAAAAAATGATAAGTTCATGTCCTTTGTAGGGACATGGATGAAACTGGAAATCATCATTCTCAGTAAACTATTGCAAGGACAAAAAACCAAACACCGCATGTTCTCACTCATAGGTGGGAACTGAACAATGAGAACACATGGACACAGGAAGGGGAACATCACACTCTGGGAACTGTTGTGGGATGGGGGGAGGGGGGAGGGATGGCATTAGGAGATATACCTAATGCTAAATGACAAGTTAATGGGTGCAGCACACCAGCATGGCACATGTATACATATGTAACTAACCTGCACATTGTGCACATGTACCCTAAAACTTAAAGTATAATAATAATAAAATAAAATAAAAAGAATCTGCCGAAAAAAAAGCATTAAAAAAAAATTTAACTGACATACCTGACAATGACATGTAAAAAAAAGAAAACAAGATTAAGGGCTCTATAAAAGGTATATATGCAAAGGTAACCACCAGAACAAAATTACAAACTTCCTAAATACCAAAAGAAATTTTTTAAAAGAACAGAGAAGAAACATCACATAGAAAATGAAATTATAGTACAATAAACAGTACTATAAAATAATGTGATGAAGTTAACATCAAACATATCAGTAAGTGTTATAAGCTTACTTCAATTAAAAGAAGAATATTTCCAAATTGTCTAACAAGGCAAGACTGAACTCTGCATTGTATACAAGAGACATACTTAATACAAAATAATTCCAGAAGGCTAAATATATTAAACATCTAAAATACAGAAAGCTAAATGTAAAAAGCCAAGATAAGCCAGGAAATTGGAAACAAGAAAAAAGTAGAGGTTTCATTCCTGATATTAGATGAAGTAGAAATGAAGTCAAAAGGTATTAAATGTGACAAAGCATACTTTATAATGCTAAAAGTTATAAATCACAATGAAGATATAACACTTATGTTCCAAAAAACATGGACCAAAAAACACAAGAATCACTTTTATAAGAAAGGAAGTATTTAACTCTGAACAATTAAATATACTTAAACAAAATGCAAAGAGAAATAGAAACATACTAGTAGTAGGAGACTTTAATACACCATTCTCAGAAGAAAAGAGTGGCAAAAATAAGTAAGGATACAAAAGTATTCAACAATATAATCAGTGAGGTAGATCTATGGATATATCTTTAGAACTTTATACCTTGTTAGAGTATATACCTTCTTCTCAGGCACACACATGGAACATTTGTAAAAATTTGATCATATATTAGGTCACAAAGAAAACATCAAGTTCCACAGGTAGAAATATTACAAATCACACTCTGAATGTAACGTAATAAAACTAGAAAAACAAAGAGGCTCTGGAAATTTTTTTTTAAATCTTCTATTAGACAATTTTTTAAAAAATTATTATTATACTTTAAGTTTTAGCGTACATGTGCACAATGTGCAAGTTAGTTACATATGTATACATGTGCCATGCTGGTGTGCTGCACCCATTAACTCGTCATTTAGCATTAGGTGTATCTCCTAATGCTATCCCTCCCCCCACCCCCCACCCCACAACAGTCGCCAGTGTGTGATGTTCCCCTTCCTGTGGCCATGTGTTCTCATTGTTCAATTCCCATCTATGAGTGAGAACATGTGGTGTTTGGTTTTTTGTCCTTGCGATAGTTTACTGAGAATGATGATTTCCAATTTCATCCATGTCCCTACAAAGGACATGAACTCATCATTTTTTATGGCTGCATAGTATTCCATGGTGTATATGTGCCACATTTTCTTAATCCAGGCTATCATTGTTGGACATTTGGGTTGGTTCCAAGTCTTTGCTATTGTGAATAGTGCCGCAATAAACATACGTGTGCATGTGTCTTTATAGCAGCATGATTTATAGTCCTCTGGGTATATACCCAGTAATGGGATGGCTGGGTCAAATGGTATTTCTAGTTCTAGATCCCTGAGGAATCGCCACACTGACTTCCACAATGGTTGAACTAGTTTACAGTCCCACCAACAGTGTAAAAATGTTCCTATTTCTCCACATCCTCTCCAGCACCTGTTGTTTCCTGACTTTTTAGACAATTCTTAAGTAAACATGAAAATATAAACTGAAATTACCTCATTCCTAAAGTAACAAAACACTACATACCAGAATGTATGGTACACATTTATAGTAGTGATCAGAGTAGAATTCAGAGCCCTAAACATGTTTATCAATTAAAAATAAAAGAATGAAAATGAATGTATTAAATTCTCAACTAGGGTTACTAGAAAAAGTAAACAAAAAAATGCACAACGAAGGAAATAAAGACAAAAGCAAAAATTGATGAGGAAGAAATCAGAAAACTAGACCTCTAACTAATAAATTAAAAATGTTAGTTCTTCAAAAATTCATAAAATAGGCAAACCACTAAATAACCTAATTTTAAAGAAAGAGAACCAAAATAAATGATTGAGGAGAACAAGTAAGCACTGAAACAAAATTTTTTAAGAAGTATAGAGATTATTGGCACATCTCTATAGAAATACATTGATTAACCTAGATGAAATGGAAAATTTCCTAAGAAAATATAACTTATAAAAATTGGCTTGAGAAGAAATAGAAGCTTAAATAAACAAGCAAAGTTACTATGGCACTTCCCCACAGAAAAAAAAAAAGCACCATGCGCAAATAGTTTCAAAGGAGGAAAGCTATCAGCCTCAAAAAACAGATAGTCTCAGTGCTATATAAATTGTTCCAGGACTTAAAAAATTAGAAAAATCTTCCAGATGGTTCTTATGAAATCAAGTACCGCATTGTTACTTCAATCTGATAAAGGCTGCAGACACAAAAAAACTACAGAGAATATCATTTATGAATTTTAACACAAGAATACTAAATAAAATATTAACAAACAACCTCCAATACTCCATTAATGAAAATAACACATCATGGCCAAATAGAATTTACTGCAGAAATGCAAGGATAGCGCAATATTAGGAAACTCATAACATAATGTACCATATTAAGAGACATAAGCAGAAAACTCATATGATTATCTCTATAGATATTGAAAAAGTCTGATAAAATTAACACTTATTACTGATTAAAATAAAACAATCAAGAAAACAAGAATTGATTGGCATTTCCTTAGCATTGTTTAAAAAAAAATGTATCTGGGTATGGTGTTTGCATGCCTGTAGTCCCGGCTACTAGAGGCTGAGGGAGGCTGAGGTGAGAGGCTGAGGTGAGAGGATTACCTGAGCTGTGATCACACCACTGCACTCTGGCCAGGGTGACAGAGTGAGATCCTGTCTCAAAAAAGACTAAAAATAACAATGATTTTAAAAATTTAAAGAAAGAAAGAAAGAAAAAAGACCTCAGTACTAAAGCCAATACCTTACTTAAGAGGAAACAATAGAAGCATTTTCATACAATCAGAAACAAGGCAAGGATCCCCACTATCTCCATTATTATTGAACACTGTCCTATAACTAATAAAATATACAAAAGAAACCAATTAGAGGTGAAAGACTTAGATAACAAGGAAAACAATGTCTATTTGCAGATGAGATGACAGTCAACCTAGGAACCCCTAGAAAATCAGTGCTAAAACTAATTCAACCAAGATTCAATAAAGTAGCAGAATATCAAGGCAACACATGGAAATCAGTAACTTTCATAAAAACAAAGAATAACTAGTTAGGAGGTATAATGGAAGACAAAATTCCATTTAAAAGAATAACAAAAGCCCCAAAACACTTAGGAATAAACTCAGTAAGAAATAAGCAAACTCTATATGAGAGAAATGTTAAGACGCTGTTGAAAAACAGAAAAGTAGACTTTTTTTTTTCTAGTTTTTTTTTTATTATTATACTTTAAGTTCTGGGGTATATGTGCAGAACGTGCAGTTTTGTTACATAGGTATACACGTCCCATAGTGGTTTGCTGCACCCATCAACCTGTCACCTACATTAGGTATTTCTCCTAACGCTATCCCTCCCCTAGCCCCCCCAACCCTCCAACAGGCCCCGGTGTGTGATGTTCCCCTCCCTGTGTCCGTGTGTTCTCATTGTTCAACTCCCACTTATGAGTAAGAACACACAGTGTTTGGTTTTCTGTTCTTATGTTAGTTTGCTGAGAATTATGGTTTCCAGCTTCATCCATGTCCCTGCAAAGGACATGAACTCATCTTTTTTATGGCTGCATAGTATTCCATGCTATATATGTGCCACATTTTCTTTATCCAGTCTATCATTGATGGGCACATGGGTTGGTTCCAAGTCTCTGTTATTGTGAATAGTGATGCAATAAACATATGTGTCCATGTGTCTGTATAGAATGATTTATAATCCTTTGGGTATATACCCAGTAATGGGATTGCTGGGTCAAATGGTATTTCTAGTTCTAGATCCTTGAGGAATCGCCACACTGTCTTCCACAATGGTTGAACTAATTTACACTCCCACCAACAGTGTAAAAGCATTCTTATTGCTCCACATCCTTTCTAGCATCTGTTATTTCCTGACTTTTTAATGATCGCCATTCTAACTGGCGTGAGATGGTATCTCATTGTGGTTTTGATTTGCATTCTCTGATGACCAGTGATGATGAGCTTTTTTTCGTATGTTTTTTGGCTGCATAAATGTCTTATTTGAGAAGTGTCTGTTCATATCCTCCACCTACTTTTTGATGGGGTTGTTTTTTTCTTGTAAATTTGTTTAAGTTCTTTGTAGATTCTGGATACTAGCCCTTTGTCAAATAGATAGATTGCAAAAATTTTCTCCCATTCTGTAGATTACCTGTTCACCATGATCACAGTTTCTTTTGCTGTGCAGGAGCTCTTTAGTTTAATTAGATCCTCTTTGTCAATTTTGGCTTTTGTTGCCGTTGCTTTTGGAGTTTTAGACCTGAAGCCTTTGTGTATGCCTATGTCCTGAATGGTACTGCCTAGGTTTTCTTCTAGGATTTTTTATGGTTTCAGGTCTTACGTTTAACTCTTTAATCCATCTTGAGTTAATTTTTGTATAAGGTGTAAGGAAGAAGCCTAGTTTCAGTTTTCTGCATATGGCTAGCCAGTTTTCCCAACATCATTTATTAAATAAGGAATCCTTTCCCTATTGTTTGTCTTGGGTTTGTCAAAGGTCAGATGGTTGTAGATGTGTGGTGTATTTCTGAGGGCTCTGTTCTGTTCCATTGGTCTACATATCTGTTTTGGTACCAGTACCATGCTGTTTTGGTTACTGCAGCCTTGTAGTATAGTTTGAATTCAGGTAGTGTGATGACTCCAGCTTTGTTCTTTTTGCTTAGGATTGTCTTGGCTATGCAGGCTCTTTTTTGGCTCCATAAGAAGTTTAAAGTAGTTTTTTCTAATTCTGTGAAGAAAGCCAATGGTAGCTTGATGGGGATAGCATTGAATCTATAAATTACTTTGGGCAGTATGGCCATTTTCATGATATTGAGTCTTCCTATCCATGAGCATGGAATGTTTTTCCATTTGTTTGTGTCGTCTCTTATTTCCTTGAGCAGTGGCTTGTAGTTCTCCTTGAAGAGGTCCTTCACATCCCTTGTAAGTTGGATTCCTAGGTATTTTATTCTCTTAGTAGCAATTGTGAATGGGAGTTCACTCATGATTTGGCTCTCTGTTTGTCTGTTATTGGTGTATAAGAATGCTTGTGATTTTTGCACACTGATTTTGTATCCTGAGACTTTGCTGAAGTTGCTTATCAGCTTAAGGAGATTTTGGGCTGAGACGATGGTGTTTTCTAAATATACAATCATGTCATCTGCAAACAGAGACAGTTTGACTTCCTCTTTTCCTACTTGAATGCCCTTTATTTCTGTCTCTTGCCTGATTGTCATGGCCAGAACTTCCAATACTATGTTGAATAGGAGTTGTGAGAGAGGGCATCCTTGCCTTTTGCCTTGCCCATCCAGTATTCTATTGGCTGTGGGTTGGTCACAAATAGCTCTTATTATTTTGAGATATGTTCCACCGATACCTAGTTTATTGAATTTTTAGCATGAAGGGGTGTTGAATTTTGTCAAAGGCCTTTTCTGCATCTATTAGGTTAATCATGTGATTTTTGTCTTTGGTTCTGTTTATGTGATGGATTACATTTATTTTTTTGCATATGCTGAACCAGCCTTGCATCCCAGGGATGAAGCCAACTTGATTGTGGTGGATAAGCTTTTTGATGTGCTGCTGGATTCCATTTGCCAGTATTTTATTGAGGATTTTTGCATCGATGTTCATCAGGGATATTGGCCTGAAATTTTCTTTTTTTGTTGTGTCTCTGCCAGGATTTGGTATCAGGATGATGCTGGCCTCATAAAATGATTTAGGGAGGATTCCCTCTTTTTCTATTGTTTGGAATAGTTTCAGAAGGAGTGGTACCAGCTTCTCTTTGTACCTCTGGTAGAACTCGGCTGTGAATCTGCCTGGTCCTGGACTTTTTTTGGTTGGTAGGCTATTAATTACTGCCTCAATTTCAGAACTTGTTATTGGTCTATTCAGGGATTCGACTTCTTCTGGTTTAGACTTGGGAGGGTGTATGTGTCCAGGAATTTATCCATTTCTTCTAGATTTTATCCATTTCTAGTTTATTTGCATAGAGGTGTTTATAGTATTCTGATGGTAGTTTGTATTTCTGTGGGATCAGTGGTGATATCCCCTTTATCATTTTTTATTGTGTCTATTTGATTCTTCTCTCTTTTTTTCTTTATTAGTCTGGCTACCAGTCTATTTTGTTGATCTTTTCAAAAAACCAGCTCCTGGATTCATTGATTTTTTGAAGGGTTTTTCATGTCTCTATCCCCTTCAGTTCTGCTTTGATCTTAGTTATTTCTTGTCTTCTGCTAACTTTTGAATTTGTTTGCTCTTGCTTCTCTAGTTCTTTTAATTGTGATGTTAGGTGTCAATTTTAGATCTTTCCTGCTTTCTCTTGTGGGCATTTAGTGCTATAAATTTCCCTCTACACACTGCTTTAAATGTGTCCCAGAGATTCTGGTATGTTGTGTCTTTGTTCTCTCTGGTTTCAAGGAACATCTTTATTTCTGCCTTCATTTAGTTATGTACCCAGTAGTCATTCAGGAGCAGGTTGTTCAGTTTCCACGTAGTTGTGCGGTTTTGAGTGAGTTTCTTAATCCTGATTTCTAATTTGATTGCACTGTGGTCGGAGAGACTGTTTGTTATGATTTCCATTCTTTTGCATTTGCTGAGGAGTGTTTTACTCAATTTCAGAAAAAGTACGATGAGGTACTGAGAAGAATGTATATTCTGTTGATTTGGGGTGGAGAGTTCTGTAGATGTCTATTAAGTCTGCTTGGTCCAGAGCTGAGTTCAAGTCCTGAATATCCTTTTTAATTTTCTGTCTCATCGATCTGTCTAATACTGACCATAAAGTGTTAAAGTCTCCCCTACCCAAGGGAATCCAGGAGGGACTGAGCCTGAGGAACCTTGCACTCTGACCCAGATACTGTGCTTTTCCCACAGTCTTCGCAACCCGCAGGCCAAGAGACTCCCTCCAGTGCCTACCCCAGCAGGGTCCTGGGTTTCAAGCACAAAACTAGGGGGCCGTTTGGGCAGACACCAAACTAGCTGCAGGAGTTTTGTTTGTTTTTTTTTTTTTTTCCATACCACAGTGGCGCCTAGAACGCCAGAGAGACAGAACTGTTCACTCCCCTGGAAAGGGGGCTGAAGCTAGGCAGCCAAGTGGTCTGGCTCAGCGGGTCCCACACCACGGAGCCCAGCAAACTAAGATCCACTGACTTGAAATTCTTGCTGCCAACACAGCAGCAATCTGAGATCAACCTGGGACGCTCGAGCTTGGTGGGGGAAGGGGCAGCTGCCATTGCTGAGGCTTGAGTAGGTGGTTTTACACTCACAGTGTAAACAAAGCCACCAGGAAGTTCAAACTGGGTGGAGCCTACCGAAGCTCAGCAAAGCTGCTGCGGCCAGACTGCCAGATTTCTCCTCAATGGGCAGAACATGTCTGGAAAAAAAAGCAGCAGCCCCAGTCAGGGACTTATAAATAAAACCCCCATCTCCCTGGGACAGAGCACCTGGGAGAAGGGGCGGCTGTGGGCACAGCTTCATCAGACTTAAACATCTATGCCTGACGGCTCTGAAGAAAGCAGCGGACCTTTTAACAAATGGAAAAATATACTATGTTCTTGAATAGCAAAATTCAACGTCATAAAGATGCCAGTTCTCTCTAGTTAATTTAATAATAAAACATGGAATACTATGCAGCCATAAAAAGGAATTAAATCATGTCCTTTGCAGGGACATGGATGGAGCTGGATGCCATTATCCTCAGCAAACCAACACAGAAAACAAAACACCACATGTCCCGCTTTTAAGTGGGAACTGAACAATGTAGTCTCTAATAAAAATACAAAATTAGCCAGGCCTGGTGGCGCATGCCTGTAATCCAGTTTCCTGGGAGGCTGAAGCAGGAGAATCACTTGAACCTGGGATGTGGAGGTTGCAGTGAGCCAAGATGGCGACACTGCACTCCAGCCTGGGCAACAGAATGAGACTCCATCTCAAAAAATGAAAAATAAAATAAAATACTGAAAATAACCTAAATGACCATATATATATATATATAGTATATCAAATATACTGTAGTTTATTTGACCATTCTCATATATATATATATATATATATGCCCACAAGAGAAAGCAGGAAAGATCTAAAATTGACACCTAACATCACAATTAAAAGAACTAGAGAAGCAAGAGCAAACAAATTCAAAAGTTAGCAGAAGACAAGAAATAACTAAGATCAAAGCAGAACTGAAGGGGATAGAGACATGAAAAACCCTTCAAAAAATCAATGAATCCAGGAGCTGGTTTTTTGAAAAGATCAACAAAATAGACTGGTAGCCAGACTAATAAAGAAAAAAAGAGAGAAGAATCAAATAGACACAATAAAAAATGATAATATATATATATGAGAATGGTCAAATAAACTACAGTACATTCACACAATTTAGTACTATCCAACTGTTTCATTTTATTATAAAAATGAAGAAAAAAATACCTGTGTAAACTTATGAACAGCTATGGGGAGATTTCCAGGATATATCATTAAGTGGTAAAAGCAAATATAAATGGATATGTTAATTACCCCAATCTGATTACTATACATTATATGTATCAAAACATCTATGTACCTCATGAACATGCACATTTATTGTCAATTAAAGTAAAAGAAAAGCAAATATAGTACGTTACCTTTTATATAAGAAGAGAAAATAAGGAGTATGTTATCTTTTATATAAGAGAAAATAAGGAGATATATATATATATATATATATCTGCTTACATTTATAAAAAGAAACACAGAAAGAATAAATTTAAAAACTAAGGAAACTGATCACCTACAAGGGTAAGTGTAGACGGGAACTAGTTAGAAGGGATAGGGGATGGTGACTGACACTACCCTGAAAACAGCTTTTTGTATAATTTTGTCAAAAAGAGAGGTAAAAACCTAAAATTGAATACAAATAGAAGCAAATGAACCTAATTATATTTCAAATGAATACAATAACCTTTTAGAAATCTGCAAACAATCTTGAACTCTACTTAGCAGGTTTATTTTTGCAGTAGTATGGGCGCAGCAATTCCAAAACTATTTTCTATGTATTGCAGGATTGAATATGAATAAATATACTTGTGTAATGTTTGGAGACATGCTGCTCAGTGTTAAAGAAGAGTGATACAAATGTGGAATAAGAAGACCAAGATAAAACCAATAGTGTTAAATTGGACTTAGAGGTATCACTGTAAATTCATGATTTATAGCTAAATAGACAGAAAACTAGATACTAATATAGATATGTTCATATACATATGACTATAGGTATATATATGTATGTGTGCATATATATGTATCTGTTGGTCTAAAAACAATGACTGCCAAGTGCAATAAACGCATCTAATACTTAGAGCTTGGTTTTTAAATACCCTTCTTTAATAAAATGAGCTAAGGATTCTTGAAGAAATGGTTGATTCCAGGGAAGAGAAAGTATAATAAGAGCTATGTTGTGCCAGAAATTAAACATTAAAGAAGATACGTTAAAAGGACACAGGAATTACTTGAAGAAGCTCCCAAATATGTGACAAATAAACATCAAAATAAATAAAAGATAAAACAGTATAATCCATTGAAGGAACGTGGCAGACATCACTGTAACCAAATGATGAAAGTTAACAGCACCAATAATTAAACCAAGGTGTCACTGCCTCTTGATATGACACATTGAGGACTTAACATCACTTTAGGGATATTCCTGCCCAAAATGCATAAGTAAGCTGAGTCTAATAATGAAGAACTTATAAGACAAAGTCAAACTAGAGGGAATTCTGTAAAATAACTGCCCTGTACTTCTTCAAAACTATAAAAATGTCATAAAAGGCAAAGAAACACTAAGATTAGATTTTAGAAGATTCCAGGTTTTTTTTAAAAATGAAAAGACATGAAAACTAAATATAATAAGTGATTACGATTAGTTCTTCAATCATCCAAAAAACAAAATAAACATTACTGTGACAACTGGAGAAATCTAAATAAGGTCTATGGATTAGATAATAGTGTTAAATCAATGTAATTTCCTGATTGTGATCATTGTACTGTGATTTTATCTGAATGAATGCTCTTTTTCTTGGGAACCACACACTGAATTATTTAGGGATAAAGGAACATGAAGCATGCAACTTACTTCCTAATAGTTCTTTAAAAATGTATGTTAGTCAACTGCAAAAATATGGAACCAAACTAAGTGCCCAACGACCAATGAGTGGATAAAGAAAATGTGGTATAGACACACCATGGAATACTACTCAGCCACTCACACACAAAAAAAATAATAATGTATTTTGCAACAACTTGGATGGAGCTGGAGACCATTATTCTAAGTGAAGTAACTGAGGAATGGAAAACCAAATACCACATGTTCTTACTTGCTAAGGAGCTAAGCTATGGATATGCAAAGGCATACAGAGTGATATAACAAACTTTGGAGACTCAGAAGGGGGAGGGCGGGAGGTAGGTGCGGAATAAAAAACTGCATATTGGGTACAATGTATATTACTCAGGCGACTGGTGCTCATGTGCATGCATGCATGTGTGTGCATACTCAGAAAGGAGATAAAATGATAAAAGAAATGTGGAAAACATTAATAATTGATGAATCTGAGTAAAGAGTATACAAGAGCTTTTTATATTATCCCTGCAAATTATTTGGAAATACCAAAATAAACAAATTTTTAAATAAAAATAAACTCCCATTTAATAAAAAATGATGCAATAGGCAAACATTGAAATGGCCATGGAAAAAACCTGAGAGTTGTAAATATTTATGCCATATACACATACCTGTCTGTATTCGTGTTAGACTGAGAGTTTAGAGAGTTATCCAACTCATTCTCATTCTCACTTTCTCCTGACTGGCTATTAACAGTTCCTTCTTCTTCACCATCTACATCATTAAGAGCCTGTCTCAACACAACAATAAAAATAGCACAAGTTGATTATATATATACTCAGACTTTCTTTTTTTTTTTCTGTCATAACAGAAGAGAGTTCCCTCCTCCTAAGCCCTCCACATGTTGTAGAACACAAATCTTCTCACATCCTTCCACTACTATCAATTATCCTATCTCTCTACCACATTTTCAACATCTGTCTCTGTAGTGGCTTCAGTTCACCAACATTTAAATGTGAGCAAGCCTCTCCCATCTTAACCTGACCCTATACTTACCTTAAGCTATATATATCTTCTTTCTTCTACCACCAAACTTCTTGAAAGAGTTGTTCCACCCTCCTCACTCACCACCTATGCCCTGCAACTTTGCTTCTTCTGCCCTATTGCTCTACTCAAACTGCTCTCTACAAGGTCAACCTCAACACACTTATTTCTAACTCAAATGGATATTTCTGTCTTTGCCTTCCCTTACTTCTCTGACCACTCATTTCTTTCCTTTAAAATCCACTTGGCCAGGTGTGGTGGCTCATGCCTAAAACTCTAGCACTTTGGGAGGCCAAGGCAAGTGGATCACTTGAGCCCAGGTGTTGAAGACCAGCCTGAACAACATGGCGAAACCATGTCTCTACAAAAAAATTTAAAAATTAGCCAGGTGAGGTAGCCCACACCTGTAGTCTCAGCTAGTCAGGAGGCTGAGGAGGGAGAATAACCTGAGCCCAGGAAGGTCGAGGCTGCAGTGAGTTGTGATCGTGCCACTGCATTCCAGCCTGGGCAACAGAGCAAGACCCTGTCTCAAAAAAAAAAAAAAAAAAAAAACGCTACTTGATACACTTGTTTTAACTCCCATAATACTGTATTTTCTTAGATTTTCTCCTACTCTTCTGGCCATTCCTTCCCAATCTCCTTTACTGATCTTATTTTTCTACCCTTTCCTTGTATCTGATGATGTGACTCAAGTCACATCACACCTACTAAGTAAGCACTCAATAAATTTTAGCTATTATTATCCAGTCTTATCTTGTTTGGTACAAACGTTACTCACAGGAAGTGCAATACACTTAAGTAAAAGCAAATCTAGCAACCACAACTAGCATTTGTTGATATTTAAACTTTTAAAATATTTACCAAAAGGCCTATATCAACCTTTTCTCCCCTCATCTGATCCACTTTCTGAATGTTTTTATCTAATTCCAAAGCTGTAATTACAAATGAAATGCTATTAATTTCCAAACCTCTATCTTCACACCCAGATCTGTCCTAAGCCCCAGACATTCATATTCAACTGCCTATAAGATATCTCTATTCTGGCCAGACACAGTGGCTCATTTCTGTAATCCTAGCATTTTAAGAGGGCAAGGCAGGAGGATCATGTGAGCCCAAGAGTTTGAGACCAGCTTGGGCAACGTGGCAAAACCCCGTCTCCACCAAAAACACAAAAATTAGGCAGGCTTGGTGGCGTGCACCTGTGGTCTCACCTACTCAAGAGGCTGAGGCAGGAGGATTGCTTGAGCCCAGGAGGTAGAGGCTGCAGTGAGTCATGATTGTGCCACTGCATTCCAGCCTGGGTGACACAGCAAGACCCCATCTCAAAAAAGAAAAAAAAAAATCCCTACTCAATAGGTCCAAGCTGAACAGCTTTCTAAGCCCTCCAACCATTCTTCCAGAAACTTTGTTCCTGCCAATATTACCTAAGACCATGAACAGTGTCACCATCTACTCAAATGCTCAAGCCAGCAAATGAGGAGTTATCCTTCTTTCTCACTTGTCCTGTCCTATCGGCCACCGAATCCTGCCAACTCTACCTCATTTTAACCACTCTCAAGTCTATCCCTATTCTCCTCTATTTCCTTCCCTATTGGCATGGCTTTGGGTCAGGCCCTCACCACTTCTAAGATGCCCACCTAAGTCTTCTAACCAGACCCTCTCTCCAGTCTTGTCCCTCCCCAATCCATCTTCCACACTATACTGGATCTCATCATGACTCCACTCTTTAAAATCCTTCAGTGACTCTACTTTTACTTTCCAGTCCTTAGTCCTTCAGGACCTAGGTCCTACTTGTCTCTCTAACCTCAACTCCTGCTATTTCCCTAATCCAATGACAGAGACATGCCTTAATCATCTATGTATCTTAGCATCTAGTGCATGATCTGAAATATTACATGATGAATAAGTGAGTAGGTTTAGTCTCACTAATTCCTATATGGATGAAGAAACTAGGACCCAGAGAACTTAAGTAATGCAGTTACAATTCATTTTTTCTTGGTGACTCAAGATTATCTATAGCAGGCCGGGCGTGGTGGCTCACGCCTGTAATCCCAGCACTTTGGGAGGCCGAGGCGGGCGGATCACAAGGTCAGGAGATCGAGACCATCCTGGATAACATGGTGAAACCCCGTCTCTACTAAAAAATACAAAAAAAAAATTAGCCGGGCATGGTGGCAGGCGCCTGTAGTCCCAGCTACTCAGGAGGCTGAGGCAGCAGAATGGCGTGAATCCGGGAGGCACAGCTTGCAGTGAGCCAAGATTGCACCACTGCACTCCAGCCTGGGCGACAGAGCGAGACTCCGTCTCAAAAAAAAAAAAAAAAAAAAAAAAAGATTATCTATAGCAACACCAATTTCCTTTCTGATGTATAGTGGTCCTCTGCTTATCTATTCAGGTATCCTCTCTCTCCTCCCTCACTGCCATTTTTCTCTGCTACCTCTGCTTTGAGAGGCTCACATCACTGTTTTTCATCTGCTATCAGCTGTAAATTGAGAAAGTACTTAAACCAGGTAGGTAAATTAGTTGTATCAGTAACATTAATTTGAAATTCTACTGCTGTATTAATGGTAATAAGCTCAAGTGTGCGAATGGACTCTTCAACAGAATAAAATCTGACTGCTTTATTCCATGTTGCTGGGATACATCGTGTACTTGTTTACAGGCTCCAATTAACTGAAAAAGTACTTAAAGTATGACTGAAATAAATAGGGCACACTTCACTTATGATTTATTTAAATAAAAGTAAAATCTTCAGTTGAACATACTACAGCAATAAGATATTCTAGGGTGATTAAATTTCCAGCTATCTGAAAGCTAACTTCTCATTAAGTGCCAAAACATAAATGGTTTTTGCCGGAAATATGGTAAAAGGTTTTTGGCTATTTAAAATATGTGTAACATTTTACTTAATTGCCTTTGGAAGTATGAAACAATATAATTAATATATCTTTTATGATTCTGGACCTTGCAACTCCCTAGGAATATCCCTCTAATTGATGATTCTCTTCTTTTTTCATAGAAACTATAACTTAGGAAATTTCATTAAACAGGTACTGAGTCCTAGTCATGCATAAGTTGTCTTATTTTAGTATTAAATTATTCACGGGCTTTAAAAAAAGTTTACTATCTCAAAATTCTAAACATTTTCATTAATTAAGAATTCCCATTAGGTTAGAATACAGCCAATTAATGTTTTACTACTGTAATACAATTCTCCCATATAACTAGTTGATACATTGCAAGTTTCTTGTGAAGCTATTTTTTAAATATCCTAATACATTAAAAGAGACTAACATTTACAAAGTACTATGTTCCTGGTATTATACCAGGAATTTTACATAACTTTTCGCACCTGATCCATGCAACAATGATATCAGGTACATTCTAGTCCCATTTAACAAAAAACGAAGAAGCAAAACACATTCTGAGCCCACCCAGATATATTAAGAAATCAGCTCAAGAACAAACAGCTAGTAAGTAGATCCACCTGACTCCAAGTGGAAAGACTCCCTGCTGTCTCCATAATGATCGATGGTGGCAGTCTTGTTGAGCCACATGGCCTAGATTTGAATCCCATCTCTGATGCAAACTATGTGATCTTGGCCAAGTCACCTAATTTTTCTCAGCTTCAATTTCTTCATCTGCCAAATGGGGATAAAGCAGCATATACACCTACTAGGTAAGCACTCAGTAAATTTTAGCTATTATTATCCAGTCTTGTTTGATACAAACATTACTCACAGAAAGTGCAATACACTTAAGAGCAAATCTAGCAACCACAACTAGCACTTGTTGATATTTAAACTTTTAAAATATTTACCACAAGGCCTATATCAACTTAAACTTCCTTTCAGCATGAGTGTTATAGCTGTGAGTGGAACACATTACCTGAGGTTCTATGACAGACTCATTAAAGATAGATTGGGTGATAGGGTCTTGATTTACCACAATGGGACCCTGAGAGGAATCAGGAGCCACTGTTACATTTGGAAACCCTGCAAAAGGAAAAGAAGTTGTGATGATTTGTTTCATTTAATTAACTTGACTTCACAAGCTCTATACTGCCATTGGTTTGCATCATCATATGAAAATCTTAAACAGCAGCTCACATTAATGTAGTGCTTACTATATGCCAGGCACTGTTCTAAACGTACTTACATATATTAACTCATTTTACTCTCATAAAACCCTATAAGTACAATTACTATTTTACAGATCAGTAAACTGAAACTCACAGACATTAAGTAACTAGCCCAGAGTAACACTAATAGATTGCCAAGCCGGAATTCAAACCTTACATGAAAAACTAATGATGTTTCTAGAAGATTAAGATAAACAATGAACTACACACACATTAAAATAAATAATGCGTGTATCTGACAAGAGGCAAAGTTCCTCTTAGAGAGAGACTGAAGTTGCTTTAGGTTTCAAATTAAGCTTTATTCAAGTCACATTTTAAAATTACAAAATCCTGTACTTTACACCATATTTTAGTAGATTAAAACAATTTACTTTTCCTTAGCTGAATTATTTGTAATACAAGTAGTTAATATTCTTAGTGGAAAGGAAACAGATTATAATGACTCTAACCCTAACAACCCTTGTAAATCCACCCTACAATACTTGTAATATAAATAATATGATGCCTAAGAAAGGACTTTAAATTCTTCCAAATAGTCAACTGTGGGCTACAGTTAATAAAATAGAGAAGCTTTTGTTTGAATTGAATACCTGTGCGCCTACGAGGAAACAGCTCTTTTGCTGCAGCTATTAGATGATCAGATTTCTCCAACACATCTTGCATCTGGTATTGATCAGAAAGAATCTAGACATGTGTTAATGACAAATATTATTATTCAGATTATATTTACTTTTCAAATCGCAAAGGAAAAGACCATAAAAAGGCCTGGAGCATGAAAATAACCATAGGCTACCTTCCTAAAAACCTTCAGTAGCAATATCCTTAAGAACCAGTAGATGGGGCTAAGACAATAATTAGTGGCTTTCCAATACCTGACTGAAATCCAAAGTAAGAAATATTCACAATTGGCCGGGCGCGGTGGCTCACGCCTGTAATCCCAGCACTTTGGGAGGCCGAGGCGGGCGGATCACGAGGTCAGGAGATCGAGACCATCCCGGCTAAAACGGTGAAACCCCGTCTCTACTAAAAATACAAAAAATTAGCCGGGCGTGGTAGCGGGCGCCTGTAGTCCCAGCTACTTGGGAGGCTGAGGCAGGAGAATGGCGTGAACCCGGGAGGCGGAGCTTGCAGTGAGCCGAGATCCCGCCACTGCACTCCAGCCTGGGCGACAGAGCGAGACTCCGTCTCAAAAAAAAAAAAAAGAAATATTCACAATTGTGACCCACCACATTTACATACACATATACAAAATAAAAGTTTTAATTAAATAAAAAGTTAATTAAAATAAAAGTTTTAATTAACCTTGCTCCATGAGAACCACTGATATTTTCTTGTTAATTTCTATTCTATTTTTTAAATGTTGGCAGCAACTCACTTCACAATTCATTAACAAATTATAATCCATAGTTTGAAAAACACAGATGAAAGATATGAATCTTTGAGCCATAAACTTAGAGGTGTTTCAACCACTAGAGTGAATTCAGAATCCACTAATGTAATCCACTAATGTGTCAAGTCATGACCTACAACTTTAAAAACATGACATAAGATATGAGTTTTAGCATTAAACAAAAAATGTGAGGCCTCTGTGTTTAAAAACAAATCAGTTTTTTACCCTGGAGAGGTAAGAACACAAAAAGTAACATTACAGTAGTGCCTCTGGATTATGCACTTTCAACTTAGGAACTTTCATAATTAAAAGTAAGGCCACAGGCTAGAGTAAAAGCCAGATAATTCTCTCGGCACCACCACCAGATGGCATTCTCAAGTTAAAAAGTACCTGGAAACTGCTCAGTTTCCAACACTTGACTCAAATTGATAAAATATCTGATAACAAATACTCTTACCAGAATTTCTCTATACTACAGAATCAAATACATACACAATGTGACCTCAGTTATTGTTTTAAGACACAGAAAGAAAAATAGCAAGAGTCACATTCTTAATTTTTCCCCTTCTTCCCCGGCTATAGCCAAGCAGGTTGGCTGACTCAGTGAGAAGAAAGCCCTGAATTTATTCCTTCTACAAAGAGTAAGCTTTGGAATGGTATCAGGTCAAGAGCACATCAGACCCAGAAGACTGAGAGTCCAGTCCCAGTCAACAACCCTTCCCCAGCCCCACAGGGGTGGTAGATGGATATGGAAACACTGAAAACCTATATACCACTCTAGAGATGTTTCAGAATTTTGCTATAACTTAAATTATATTATCCCACAAACCAAATTTCTATTCTTACTTAGCCGTCTTGCAAGTACAAGGAATTATGAGCTTAGGAAAGAATGTGAATGAATGAGTATAATCTTTCACTATACCAGAAAAATTACACAAAGCTTATTTCCTAATAATAATTTTAAGAGTTTACTATTTTTTAAAAGCATTGACCTATCAAAATAAAGAGATGGAATTGACACATGAAGATTATAATCTTATAACCATATTGAGACCTGATATTGATTATAATGAGGTCTCATGTAAAAACCATTATCTGTCACCTTCTGCTAGTCCAAGCTTGTCCAACCTGTGGCTCAGGATGGCTTTGAATGTGGCCTAACACAAATTTGTAAACTTTCTTAAAACATTATGAGATTTTTTTTTTACAACTTTTTTTTTTTTTTTTTTTTTTTTAGCTCATCAGCTATCATTAATGTTAGTTTATTTTATGTGTGGCCCAAGACAATTCTTCTTCTTCCAATGTGCCCCAGGGAAGCCAAAAGACTGGAAACCCCTGTTTAGTCCCTGCCCTTGGGAAAAATGGTTTGAGTGATCAAAGATCAGTGTATTGGCTTTTACTTCTTCTTTCTAGATTTATAACTCCTCTCATAAAGCCCATCCATTTGACAGGTAAACTGATCTCTACAAGCCTAACTCTATCTATTACTCCTCAAATGAGTTTGCAGAGCACAAACTTAAACCTGTAAGTGGTGGTACACATGTTGGATTTTCAAAGGATCCCAGTCTCTACAAAAAAAAAGACATTATCAGAAACTCGTCATCTTAGCCCTTTTGTACCACAGTAAAAGACATGAGGTAGAATTGGGAAATTACAAAGAGGCTTTAGGAGTTATTACATTTTGGGGATTTATAAGATCTTTTTGAAAGCCTCTCCATGAGTGAGAGGGAACCCTAATTTGCTTGATTCCCATGGCATGGGTACATCTTACAGCAAATGAAATCTAAGATTATGCTGGCCAAAGAGCTTTCTCTTAATTTATGTTAATCTGGGAGTCCAGCTTCAGGTGGATGGGTCCTGTTAGCTTTAATACATAATGATGAAGCTTATGTGAATATGTCTAAGGAGGCTTCTTCCTTTGGTCCACTGCATCCCTTAAACAGAGACGTTGCAAATTTACCAACATTGAAATAAAAGATGCACATATCCATTGACTAAGCAATTCTACTTTTAAGAATTTATCCTGAAAATATACTTACATGTGTACCCAAAAACATTTTCAAGGATATTTATTACATTATTGATAGTAGCAAGGTAGAAGACAATCTGTGGGTAACTGACAGTACTACTTAAGTATCCAGCAATGTTCTTTTGGTTTCTCCTTTAACAGCAGAACTCCTGCATTTTAGCCAATTACATAGCTAGATTTCCCAACCATCTTTGTAAGTGGGAATGGCCATGTGATGACTTTCTGGCCAACAGGATATATGCCAGAACTTCTGGGTGACATGTAATAGGAGTAGCATGCACTGTTCTTCCTGTTTCCTGCTGGCTGGCATATAGCTGAATGAAGCTGCTATGGCCATTTTGTATTCAGAGACAGAAGCTGTGTAATAAAGGACTGCAGAGTTCCCTACCAGCTACCACTTTCCTCTCAACTGTTTAATAAACAGAAACAAATTTGTTTGTTTAAAGCAAAACATATAGGAGGGTATTTTTTTATTTCCAGAAGCTTAAACTATACTCTAACACACAACCTAAGTGTTCACCAATAAAGCACAGGATAAATAAATTGTGGTACATCTATATGCTAATGGCCATCAAAAAGAAAAGGTAGATGTCTAAGCACTGACAGGAAATTATCCCAAGATATGCTGGTAGAGAGAAAATACCTGAATCCTGATGAGAGCTGAGGTGCTCAACCCCTGCAGCACATTCAAATTACATAGGAACTGTCTAAAAAACACCTACATGGGGCCACATCCTAGGTCAACTAAATCTGAATCTCTGGGTATAGAGTCCAGATATAGTTATATATATATGCATACATACATAGAGAGAGAGAGAGAGAAAGAGAGCTTTTTTTTTTTTTTTTTTTTTTGAGACAGAGTCTCACTCTGTTGCCCAGGCTGGAGTGCAGTGGCACAATCTCAGCTCACTGCAACCCGGATTCAAGCGATTCTCCTGCCTCAGCCTCCTGAGTAGCTGGGACTACAGGCACCTGCCACTGTACCCAGCTAATCTTTAGGGCTTTTTTTTTTTTTTGGTTTTGCTGTTGTTGTTTTTGAGACAGGCTGGAGTGCAATGGACCAATCTCGGCTCACTGCAACCTCCGCCTCCCAGGTTCAAGCAATTCTCCCACCTCAGCCTCCCAAGTAGCTGGGATTACAGGCACCCGCCATCATGCTCAGCTAATTTCTGTATTTTTGTAGAGATGGGGTTTCACCATGTTGGCCAGGCTGGTCTTGAACTCCTGACCTCAGGTGATCTGCCCGCCTTGGCCTCCCAAAATGCTGGGATTACAGGCATGAGCTGCCACACCCAGCTGTTATATATTTTTTTAATGGAGCTTCTTGACCCTGACTGATTCTAATGTGCAGTGAGAGTTGAGAACCACTATACTAGTGCCTGAGGCAGCAGATCTACAAAAAGAAGGCAAAGAAACATCACTCATCGTCTCTCACCACCCTTCTTTAAACACCTACTTCTACCACATCTATAACTTGTATGAGAAATTCAGGACATGAGCAGGAACCACTAGAGAAAGGAAAATAAGCCCAGAGTCTGATGCAATCCAAGCAGGCTGCCTTTTTTCGTGGTGAGATCTGTGTTTTTAGGCCTTTCACTGAGAATTACCCCATAACATTTAAATGTATGCGACTTGTCCAAGATCACCAAAAGATACTTACCTGTAAAGAAGCATTCTCTCAATCAAGCCACTGTTCTTTTCTCAAGCTCATGTAAACATTTATTTGGGAGATATTATTCTTCCTGATGATGTCTAAGACTGAGACTTTATTTCAATAAGAAGCCTAACAAATTCCTCAAAAGAAAATGTATGATTCAAAGCTGCCGTGAAAGGTCAGACAGCTAAGTGCTGTACATAAGCTTCAATATGAACAAGGAGCAACACTACAGACAAAGCACATTCCTTCACAATGACTTCAGCTCAAATTTAAAAAGGTTATTTGCTGTAGTTTCCTCTTATTTCCCATATTGTTTATCCCTACATATCTGATTACTTATCTGAACACCCCACGTCTGGCAAAAGGTTAAGCCAAAGACAAGTTGCTTATTACTCAGTTGGACAAGCATACAACATCATTTTTTTTTCAAAGTAACCTAACAGCACTGCTGTTAAACTGAGAAAAATAATTATAGCAGCTTATATATAAAAAGAGGAATAAGAAAAGATTGTGCTAATCACTTTACTGAGAAAAATTATTATAGCAGCTTATATACAAAAAGAGGAATAAGCAAAGATTGTGCTATTCACTTTGTAAGTATTATATCACTGAAATCTCATAGCAATACAAGCAAATAATAATTTTAAATATGAGAAAATTCAGGCTGAAAAGTTAAATAATTTACTTAGGGTCACACAGCTGGTAAGTAGTAGAACAGGAATTCAAACCACCAAACCAGACTCCAGTCACCACTCTGTTGCTTTTTTTGAAGTCCACATGTAGATTATTGAATAAGAATGCAGTGATTACTAGAGTCTCTCCAACGTGAATCAAATTGAAGAAAAACAAAGAACCCTATTTATCTCCTTTTTTTCTTTCTAACTCTAATGCAGTTTAGCATTACCTCCTTCATGATAGACAATCTTCTTTTCTCAAGATTTAAAGTTTCTGGTTTCTGCTTCCTCCATTTTCTCTTCAAAGCTTTTTCTTGGAGTTCCCAGTGTACTAATGCTCTATTCTTCGATTTGTGTATTTCATGACGGCGTACCTATACAGAAGAGAAAAGTACATAAAGGAATGTTTCAGACACAAAGAAGTTGCCTATTCAGATGATGAGATCACCTACTCTAGTTCATCACTTTTTAAACTTTTTCTGGTCCAATATGTGCATGTTTATATATATTCATAGCCAAAATTTTCAGTCCCCTAAATTTTCAAAAATGATCTTAAAGAAAGCAGTATATAGAACTGGTAAACCTACCTAAAAGATGTACAGAAAGAAATAATAATTTCTACTACTTTTCTGCAAGACTATCCAGCAAACTAGTGTTTTTCAAACCACAGGTTGGGACTCACTTAATGGATGATAAAATCAATTCATGGGTCAAAACCAGCATTTTTTTTTAACATACACATACACACATATACACACACTAACTGAGCACAATGTAAAAGGTACAAAATCCACCGAGTCATCTTTGGCAAAGACACACTCATTTCATGATCATCACACTACTACCAAGAAATAATAATGTAGTGTTTATAGCCCTTCAATGGCCTCATGTGGGAGTGGGTCACTGAAAATACAGAAGTCAGGGAAATAGAGTTCCTGAAGTACAAGAAGAGATACGCGCCACAGATCTCAAGTGTTAGAGGGTTCACTAAGGTGGGTTCACTAAGGTTCACTAAGGTGGCTAAGAAATAAAATTAGATATTTGATTTTACAAGTACTCTAGTATTCAGAACTATGAACATGAACATATATGATAAAATGTACTACTGAGTTTTCACCATGTAAATAAAAAATCAATCCATTAAAGAGACAATAACAAGTATTACACAAGGATTCTGACTCACAAAAAACAAATGAAGATGACATTTTTTAGACAACTGAGGAGATTTGAATATGGGCTAGGTATTAGGTGTTACAAATAATTATATTTACTTTTGTTGGATGTAATAATGGCACTGTGGTTATGTTGAAAAAAAAAAGGCTTACATTTTTAAAAAATGCAAACTGAATATGTAAGCACAAAATGATGTGTTCTCTGGAATTTGCTTTAAAATATTTCAGAGAAAAAAGAAAAGGGTAAGATAAATGAAGCAACTGTGGCAAATTTTTAATAACTATCCTATCTGGGTGAACAGTACATAGTAGTTATTTCTATTTTTATCTCCATTTTCCCTTGAGTTTGAAATTTTTCATTTAAAAAATATTAACTCAGTTGGGCATAATTATTATTCTCAGTAAATAGTTAATGAGCACCTACTAGGATTAAGACTCCTGGGTACACAAAGATGTATAAGATATGGTCTGTATCTCTCAAAAGCATTAACAATCTGCCCATTGAGATTGGGCACATCCTTATAAAGACAAATGATATACATTAGATGTCATATACTCAATGCCTAAGTTAGGTAGTAATAGTTCAGAGGAGATAACTGTTGGTCAGTTTCAAAAACAGGACTTCAAACTTACTATAAAACGACAGTAATCAAGACAATGTGGTACTGGCATAAGGATTGACATATAAATCAGTGAAATAGAATTGAGAGTGCTGAATAAACATTTATATTTATGGACAAGTGATTTTTCAACAAGAGTTCCAAGATCATTCAATGGGGAAAGAATAGTCTTTCCAATAAATGCTGTTTGGACAATGATTATCCTTTAGCAAAAAATAAAGTTGGGCCCCCCTCCCACCACACACCATACAGAAAAATTAACTTAAAATGAATCATAGTTCTACATATAAGAACTACAACTATAAAACTCTTAGAAGAAAACATAGGAGTATGTCTTTGTGAACCTTGGGTTAGGTAACAGTTTCTTAGGTATGATACTAAAAACTCAAGTGACAAAATAAAAAACAGGTAAATTTGACTTCATCAAAATTAAAAACTTCCCTGCTTAAAGGACACCATCAAGAAACTGAAAAAACAACTAAGAAAATGGGAGAAAATACTTGCAAATTATATCTGATTAGGAACTCAAATCCAGAATACATACATAATTTTTATAACTCAACAATAAAAGCACAAATAATCCAATTTTTAAATGACTAAGGTATTTGAATAGACATTTCTCCAAAGAATATAGTAGAAATGGCCGAAAAGTACACAAAAGGATGCTTAACATCCTTTATCAATTAGGGAAATGCAAATTGAAACCACAATGAGACAGCACTTTACACCTACTAAGAGAACTAAAATGAAAAAGGTGACAGTAACAATGTGAGGAAACTGGAAGCCTCATACATGCTGGCGGGGATGTAAATGGTGCAGCCACTTCATAGAACAGTTTGACAATTATTTAGAAAGTTAAATATGGAGAAATTATATGACTCAGCAATTTTACTCCTAGATGTATACATATAAAAGAACTGATAATACATGTTCACACAAAAACTTGTACATGAATGTTCACAGCAGCATTATACCTAACAATGCAAAAGCAGAAACAATGCAATGTCCACCAACTGAACAACAGATAAATAAAATGGTAGATCCATACAATGGAATATTATTTGGCAATTATAAGGAATAAAGAACTACTATGAGCTGGGCGTGGTGGCTCATGCCTATAATACCAGCACTTTGGGAGGCTGAGGTGGGCAGATTCCTTGAGCCCAGGAGTTCGAGACCAGCCTGGGCAAGACGGCAAAACCCTGTGTCTACAAAAAATACAAAACTTAGCCAGGCGTGGTGGCATGCACCTGTAGTCCCAAGTACTCAAGATGCTGAGGTGGAGATGGCTTGATCACAGGAGGTGGAGGCTGCAGTGGGCAGAGACATACATGCTACAACAGGGATGAACCTTGAAAATATTATGCTAAGACAAAGAAGCTAGACACAAAAGGCCACGTGTTGTATTCCGCATATATCAAACGACCAGAATAGGCAAATACATAAAAGCACAAAGTACATTGGTCATTGCCACAAACTGGGAAGAACTGGGCACAAGGAGTGACTGTTAATGGGTAGAGGGTTTCATTTTGGGGTAATGAAAACATTCCAAAATTAGATAGTGACAATGGTTGCACAACTCTGAATATACCAAAAATCACCAAACTGCACACTTTAAACAGGTAAATTTCATGGTATGTGAACTATATCTCAATAAATCTTAAAAAAAAAAAAAAAAAAAAAACCTAAGTGGAAACATAAAAAAAAAAAGTAGGATTTGAACTAGGATAAGGAAGTAAGGTAAGATTTGAACGGGTAGAGAAGAAGGTACAGAAACTGTTCCAAGTAAGGAATGGGGGCTCAGACATGGAAATACACAGAAATTATTACACTGACTAGAACAATATGTTTGTATAGGGAAGTAATAAATAATGCTGAAGATATCTATAGATTTTTTAAAAAGGCAGATAGATAGATATATATCAGGCAGTACTAGACTGAAGAGATTTCAACTATAAACCCAACATATTTAATGAAACTCTAATACATACTAATTGATATTCCTAGCTCAAATCAGGAAGTCCAGAAGATAGGCGTTTTGATTTTATATAGACATAAACAAGATTAAACATAACTGAACAACTTCCAGGAAGTGCCTATAGTTTCTATTCTAAAGGTTACAAGTCAAATACCAAATAAAACACTGAATAAATGACTTAAGTTTTGATATTAAACTCACCAGATCTTCGGGAGTTGCCCGATGAACGGTTAGATCAGTCACGGTATTCTGTAAAAAAAGGTGGCCTTTCTTTAAAAAAAAAAAAAAGTTTTCTTATAAAATATACACATTTATTGGATTTTAATGGCTAAAATGGTTTCAAAATCCTAGGACCAAAAATTCTTTCTTTCTAGGAACCAGTATTCTCAATTTAGATATGAACACATATTAGTTTTAGGTGTCCTATTTATAGAAAATAACAGACTAATTTTAGATGTCTTACAGAAAATAAGTACTGTATTCACCAAGCAGTCATACACTATAGTAAAACAATGAAAATACTCAAAATGAATATATGATATATGAATAAATGGTAGTATATATTCAAAATGAGTAAGTTTAACTAAAGTTTTAGTTTTCACACTGTAGTCTATGGAATCCCAGGATTCCACAACGTAACGCTAAAGGTTCCTAAAAGAAAGTGAGATCACTGGCTGGGTACAGTGGCTCATGCCTGTAATCCCAGCACTTTGGGAGGCTGAGGTGGGTGGACCACCTGAGCTCAGGAGTTCGAGAACAGCCAGGCCAACATGGCAAAACTCCATCTCTACTAAAAATACAAAAATTAGCCAGACCTGGTGGCGGGCACCTGTAATTCCAGCTACTCAGGAGGCTGAGGCAGGAGAATCACTTGAACCTAGGAGGTGGAGTCTGCAGTGAGCCAAGATTGTGCCACTGCACTCCAGCCTCAGCAACAAAGCGAGTTTCTATCTAAAAAAAAAAAAAAAAAAAAAAGAAAGTGTGATCACTATAGAGAGGTTCAATTTGTGTCTGCAAACATCTTAAGCATAGATGCTACTACAATGGAAGATGAAATTTGAGGGCAATGCATAATTTCATAAAATGTAAAAACAGTCAGTTAAATTAAAAGGCACTAAACTATCATGGCAGGGCTACCACCCTGCACAACTCCATAAGTTACCATTAATATCAGAGTCCGTGTAAATAGCACCCCTTGAAATTGTGTGGTACACAGGCTGCACAGCTCTAAGTAGCAACCCTGTAACTTGGCCCTTTCCAAAGCAACTTCAGCCATTTTGCTACACAGATTTGGTAAGGCAGGAAATAAAACAAGTTAGTTTTACTTCTAAGTGACGAGGAATACGAACAGTCAAAAATGGCTTCTGATCAAAGACTAAACTTTTTGGCCATGATTTATATTTGGCTCAAGGCTTTTCTGTATGAAAACTGTTATTACTTTTACAATGATTTAGAAAGGTACAAGAGCCAGGCATGGTGGTGTGCGCTTGTAGTCTCAGCTACCCAGGAGGTTCAGGAGGCCGAGGCAGGAAGATCTCATCATGAGCCCAGGAGTCTGAGGCCAGCCTGGGCAACATAGCAAGACCTTGTCTCAAAAAAAAAAAAAAAAAAAAAAAGGGAAAAGGAAAAGAAAGGTACAAGGTACAACTACAGGATCATGAGAATTGTTTTTAATAGGCATTTAAAAACTCAGGCATACAAGTAAGTGATAGGCTTGAAATTTGTTCTCATGGAAGAAAATAATAATTCCATCAATACTAAAACCATTGCTTAAAACCATTTTCTTTTGACATTCCATTTAAATCTAATCTACAAGCCATTTCAGAAAATGTTTCACTATTTTTATCAAGACAGTAATAATCAGTTTGATCTCTTCTCCATCATTTACCATTTACTCCAAATGACTTATGACTATTTTCCAAGTTCAGTCTACCTTCAAAAAACAAAAGATTTTTCCAGCACTGCAGATAAAATGAGGAAGGTTCTTAATGCAATTTCAAATGATAGATTTCAATTAAGTTTTAAGCAATAGTGGCATATTGGAATAAATGCAGTCATCCCACAGTATCCAGGACACCCACATATACCAAAATCCACACATACTCAAATCCCACCTAATTGGCTCTCCATATCTGGGTTTTACATCCTGAAAACACTGTATTTTCAATCCACCTTTCGTTGTAGAGGTGGAACCCCAGGATACAGCCAACTGTATTTATTGAAAAAAAATTCATGCGTAAATGAACCCGTGCAGCTCAAACTCATGTTGTTCAAAGGTCAACTGTACTAAACTTCTCAAAGTAACCACTCTGAAGGGGAAAATATGTTATCACATATTTTTTTTTTCCGATTTATCAGTTTCCTTACCTTAGAGTCACATCCTTGTTATTAAAATTTTATAGCCAATCAGACAGCAACAAAACAATCTAAACACAGAGAAGTCCCGCTGCCCCACTTCAAAGGCTGTCAGTTTGCCCAGGATATCTGGCTAACATGGTAGGTTGCAAACAAGAAGATTCCAAGTCCAAAAGAATCCCTGAGATCCAAACTAATCCCTAACTAGTTACTCTTCACAATGGAAAGTAAAGACACCTAAAGTCTCATGGTCCAAACCAAAGTATCAGGTCACAAAAGAGAAATCTAGCTGGGTGCAATGGCTCGCCTATAATCCCAGCACTTTGGGAAGCGAAGGCACGAGGATCGCTTGAGGCTAGGAGTTTAAGACCAACCTGGGCAACACAGCAAGGACCTGTCTCTACAAAAAATATTTTTTTTAAGTTAGCCAGGGGTGGTGGTGCATGCCTCTGGTCCTAGCTACTCAGGAGGCTAAGGCAGGAGGATTGCTGGAGTCCAGGAGTTTAAGGCTGCAGTGAGCTATGATGGCATCACATCACTCCAGCCTGGGTGACAGGACATGACCCTGTCTCTTAAAAAAAAGATATAAATCCCCTTGGTAACACCAGGCAATATTCAGGTTAGGAGCCATACATCACATGTTACAGGTACTTCAGCCTTGTCTTATACCACAAGAGAACATTTGTTCTGAAACCGATCAACCTCTGGAATTGAGCAATTCATGGGATAAGAGAGCAAAGGTCACCTATTTTTTTCAGCCAAAACTGGCACTCACATGGTTATGATATCACTGGTTGCTCTGAGCAAACCTAAAAAAGGTACCGAAAAATTCACAGACTTCATTGACACCAGTGAGCTAGAGTTGCCTTTATGCAGTGAGTTCTCAGAGTCAAAGTGAAAAGACGTTTTTTAAAATATGCTCCCCATCCCCTTAGGATTCCAATTCTTCAGAGGATATAGAGGTTACAGCCTGGATGTGTGTATTCTAAAAACCTCCCCCAAAGGATTCTGCTTTTCCCTCCAAGACCTAGAATATCACATGCCCAGAAACCTATTCCACCCTATTACGTGATGAGCCCCATTCAGAACACCATCTTGCATGACTAGGGCCATATCACTGTGTCCATTTCTCCAGAGTAATGTTACATTATTTACTATCCCACCTATACTCACATCCCATTCTTGTTTCACTGAAGTTTTCTTCTTCTTTACTTTCGGTGTCTTTCTTACACCAACTCGGGGACCACAGCGGTTCACTCTGACAAATGACATCTAGGAATAATAATCACATCAAATTTTTAAAATACAAGAAAAAACAATAAGCATCACCAGAGTGGGGGAAGACACCTGAAAAAAAAAACAAATTTTAAAATGCCAGAAGAAAAATTTAAGCATGATGAAAGGAACAGCCTATCAAAATACTTAGTTCTTTTATTTTACAACTAATAAATGTTGGTACTGATAATTATAATAAAAGAGGTCTCAAGTCAATAACTTATATATTTGATTAAAAAAGAACTCTAGGAATGCAGAAATTATGGCCTAAAGCCGAGAACTAAGACATTCGTCATAAGCTTTGTCATCAGTTACACAAATTTACAATTAGTAGAAAATAGCCCAGTCACAAGCTAACAATATGAATGTAAGGTGAAGGGAAGAAAGGGCAAAAGAGAGTTGGAGTTCTTTTTTAAGCACTCTAACACTCAAAATCACTACCAGGTACATATGGGCTTACTTGAAAATAAAAGTAGCTAAACTTTAGAGAACAAATGAGGTATGATATCACTTCTAATATATCTGTCACATAATGCTAAATGGTGCTAATTATTGATTTTTTTCTATTGCTGATAAACAAATTAATAATTATTGATTTTAAACTAGAATTTTTAAATTGCCAACATTAGTTTGCCACTGTTTAAACAGCAATGCTAAGCACACTAGACTACACATTACACCAAATTAGAAAAAGACCCATAGTCCCCGAACACCAGGATTTTACAATACATATATATGACTTTTAAAAAGCAATACATATACATGACTACTATTGCAGACACTTTTAACCTACCTAAATAATTACAGGACTTTCCAGCTGACCCCCTTACTCCCAATTAGTCTAAAACAAGGACTCTAGTATTTTCCTTAAGTACTTTTTTTTAAAAAAAAATCATTGTCTACTATAATAAAAATGTCTAAATACAAGTATTTCTTAAGAGTTTGCCCTCAATCTTCCTTGCACTCTGTACTCTCTCTTAACAAGAACATTCACTCCTTAAACATGGTATCTAATTTCAGCATTTACAATTTCAGCCAAAGAAAACAAGTCACATACAAGTTAGAAAATAACATTTAAGTTTTATGATGGTAATGATGATGATAGCCACGGTGGTAATGATGGCATCAGCTAACAGATACCGTGTGCTTACTATAAGCCAGATGCTATTCTAAGCTCTTTAAACATTATTTTCTTGAATCCTCACAATAACCCCATGAGGTACTTACTATTTATTCCTCATTTTACAAACGAGAAAACTGAGAGACAAAAGTTAACCAACCATGAAGGTCACACAATTAGTAAGTAGCAGAGCCATAAGTACCATTTAAAAAGATACAGAATATAATAGAACAAAGAGTCTAAAACAAACCCTTACATTTATGGTCAGTTTTTCAACATGGGTGCCAAGACAATTCAACGGGGAAAGAATAGTCTTTTCAACAGATGGTGCTGGGACAACTGGATACGCATATGAAAAAGAATGAAGTTGGACTCCTACCTCACACCATATTCAAAAATTAAATTGATTCATGGATTTAAATATAAGAGCTAAAACTACAAAATTCTTAGAAGAAAACATAAGAGTAAATCTTCGTGAGCCGTGGGTTAAGCAATGGTTTCTTAGAAATGACACAAAAAGCACAAGCAACCAAAGAAAAAAATAAATTGGACGTAATCAAAATTAAGAATTTTTGTGCTTCGAAGGCACAATCAAGAAAATGAAGACAACCAATAGAATGGGAGAAAGTATCTGCAAATCCTCTATCTGATAAAGGACTTGAATCCAGACTATATAAAGAAATTTTACAACTCGACAATTTAAAAAATCCGATTTAAAAATGGGCATAGGACTTGAATAGACATTCCTCCAAGGAAGATACTATAGACAGCTAATAAACACATGAAAAGATGTTCAACATAATTAGTCATTAGGGAAATGCCAATCAAGATACCACCTCACACCGACTAGGATGGCTATAATCAAAAAGACGGACAACAACAAGCACTGACAAAAATATGGAAAAACTAGAATCCTCACATATTGCTCATGGAATGTAAAATAGTGTGGGCACTTTGGAAACAGCTGGCAATTCCTCAAGAAGCTAAACACAGAGTAACAACATGACCCAGCAATTCAACTCACATATTTACATCCAAGAGAACTAAAAACATACGTCCACGTAAAAACTTGTACATAAAAGGTCACAGCAGCATTTTGAACAGACAAAAAGTAGAGACATCCCAAATGTCCACCAACTGATGAATGTATTAATAAAATGTGGTATATCTACACAATGGACTATTACTTGGCAATAATAAGCAATGGTGTACTGATACATGCTACAACATGAATGAATCTTGAAAGGGTTCTAAACACAGAAGGCCCCCTATTGTTTGGTATCATTGATATGATGTGTCCAGAATAAGTAAATCCACAGAGACATAGATTAGTGATTGCCAGCATCTAGAGGGAGCATATAATGGAGAGTGACTGCTAATGGGTATAGTGTTTCTTTGGGGAGTGAAGAAAATGTTCTGAAATTAGATAGTAATGTTAGTTGCGCAATTATGTGAATTGACTAAAAACCTCTGAACTGTATACTTTAAAGGGTGAATTATAGCTCAATAAAGCTGTTATTTTAAAAGATAGGAAAACAATAGTTATTCAAAGACATGAATCTAATGTATTTTAACCACTTAGATCTTTAACCACTTATATCTCCAATTTACTCTGCAAAAACAAGAGTCATAAAATGTCAGTATACCTATATGATGAATTATGTATCCATTAAAATTAAAAATGTTTAATGACAGGAAAATACATAAGAAGTATAAAAAGTAGAATACAGAACTGTATGTATAGTATATTCTCAATGATGTTAGAATATAGGCATTATTAATAAAGCACTTATCTCTGCTAAGAGCTTCACATTTGATCCCACAACCCTGTGAAGCCTGTTCTGTCTTGAGAGACAATATAGTATAAAGGCTAAGAATACAGTCTGGAATCACTGTCTGGGTTCACATCCCAGCTTTTTCACTAACTATAAAACAGAACTAATTAAATATATAAGTGCTTAGAACCCCTGCTGATATGGTTTGGCTGAGTCCCCACCCAAATCTCATCTCGAATTGTAATCCCTATAATCCCCATGTGTCATGAGAGGGACCCAGTGGGAAGTGATTGGATCATGGGGAGCAGTTTCCCTCTTGCTGTTTTCATGATAGTGAATTCTCATGAGATCTGATGGGTTTATAAGTGTCTGGCATTTCCCCTGTTTGCACTCACTTTCTCTCCTGCCACCTTGTGAAAAAGGTACCTGCTTCTGTTTGGCCTTCTGCCATAATTGTAAGTTTCCTGAGGCCTGCAAAACTGTGAGTCAATTAAACCTCTTTTCTTTATAAATTACCCAGTCTCGAGTATTTCTTTATAGCAGCATGAGAATGAACTAATACACCTGCCTAGCATACAAAATTGTATTTAAATGTTGAGGATAATGATGTCAGTGACAACAATTAACCCTTTTCCCAAATAAGAAAAATGAGACTGGAAGAATCAATACAGTGAAAATAGCCATACTGGCATTTTTAAGTAATTTATAGATTCAATACTATGCCTATTAAACTACCATTAACATCTTCACAGAATTAGAAAAAACTATTTTAAAATTCATATGGAACCAAAAAAGAGCCCATATGGCCAAGACAATCCTAAACAAAAAGAACAAAGTTGGAGGCATCATGCTACCCTACTTCAAACTATACTACAAGGCTACAGTAACCAAAACAGCATGGTACTGCTACAAAAGCAGACATATAGACCAACGGAACAGAATGGAGAACTCAAAAATAAGACTGCACATCTACAACCATCTGATCATCAACAAACCTGACAAAAACAAGCAATGGGGAAAGGATTCCCTACTTAATAGTGTTGGGAGAACTGGTGAGCCATATGCAGAAAATTGAAACGGGACCCCTTCCTTACACCATAGACAAAAATCAACTCAGGATAATTAAAGGCTTAAATGTAAAACCCAAAACTATAAAAACCCTAGAAGAAAATCTAAGCAATACCATTCAGCACATACACACAGGCAAAGATTTCATGATGAAAATGTCAAAAGCAATTGTAACGAAAGCAAAACTTAACAAATGGAATCCAATTAAACTAAAGAGCTTCTGCACAGCAAAAGAAATTATCATCAGAGCAAACAGACAACCTACAAAATGAGAGAAAAATTTTGCAATCTCTCCATCTGACAAAGGGCTAATATCCAGAGTCTACAAGGAACTTAAATTGACAAAAAAACAAACAACCCCATTAATAAGTGGGCAAAGGACATGAACACAAACTTCTCAAAAGAAGACATTTATGCAGCCAACAAACGTATGAAAAAAAGTCAACATCACTGATCGTTAGAGAAATGCAAATCAAAACTACAGTGAGATACCATCTCATGCCAGTCAGAATGGCGATTATTAAAAAGTCAAGAAACAACACATGCTGGCAAGACTGTGGAGAAATAGGAACAATTTTACACTGTTGGTGGAAATGCAAATTAGTTCAACCATTGTGGAAGACAGTGTGGCGATTCCTCAAAGACCTAGAACCAGAAATACCATTTGACCCAGCAATCACATTTCTGCATATATACCCAAAGGAAAATAAATCATTCAATTATAAAGATACACACACATATATGTTCACTGCAGCACTATTCACAATAGCAAAGAGATGGAATCAACCCAAATGCCCATCATTGATAGACTGAATAAAGAAATGTGGTACATATAAACCATGGAATACTATAAAGCCATAAAAAGGAATGAGATCATGTCCTTTGCAGGGGCATGGATGGAACTGGAAGCCATTACACTTGGCAAACGAATGCAGGAACAGAAAATCAAACACCACATGTACTCACTTATAAGTGGGTGCTGAACAATGAGAACACATGGACACAGGGAGGGGAGCAACACACACTGGGGCCTGTCAGATGGCAGGGGGATGCAGGGAGACAGAGCATCAGGAAAAATAGCTAATGCACGCTAGATTTAATACCTAGGTGATGGGTTGATAGATGCAGCAAACCACTATGGCACACGTTTACCTATGAAACAAACCTGCACATACCGCACGTGTACCCTAGAACTTGAAACAAAATTTAAAAATATTAAGAATATTAAAATTCAAAAAAAATGAAAAATGAGGCTTAGAGAAAGTATATAGCTCAAAGTTATACAAATAATAACAGGCAGAGCCAAGAGCTGACACTCAAGACCAGGTCTGACTGACTGTAAAGCACATGCTGGAAAACTTTGCCAGAATTGGGTTACCTCTGTTTGCTTTTATATTTCCCAAATTTTCTATAATGGACCTATGTTACTCTTAAAAATGGGGGGAAAAGTATTTCAAGTTACATTTAGAATATTTTACTTATTCAGAAGCTAAAACTCCAGATGAGAATGCATACTGGCCAACGACTTGATTACAGCTTTGGAAGACCCTAAGCAAAGAATCTAACTAAGCCATGTCCAAACTCACAACCCACAGAAATTGTGAAATGATAAATAGTAATTGTTTTAGGCCACTAAATCTGTGGTAATTTACTACCTGTGTACAGTAGGATAACACAGGTATAGTTAAGCTGCTATCCCATCTTTGCCCTTCTCTTGCCATCCAGCTTCATGAAAAGGTACACTTTAGCACCTGTATTTACTAATCCTTAGTTCTACCTCCAAGTTTTATTAATTACAAAAACTCTGACCCCACCTTTGCACTGAAAAGCTTTCTTTTTTTTTTTTTTTTTTTTTTGAGACGGAGTCTTGCTCTGTTACCAGGCTGGAGTGCAGTGGCACGACCTCAGCTCACTGCAACCTCCACCTCCCGGGTTCAAGCGATTCTCCTCCCTCAGCCTCCTGAATAGCTGGGATTACAGGCGCTTGCCACCATGCCCGGCTAACTTTTGTATTTTTAGTAGAAACGGGGTTTCACCATGTTGGTCAGGCTGGTCTCGAACTCCTGATCTCGTGATCTACCTGCCTTGGCCTCCCAAAGTGCTGGGATTACAGGCGTGAGCCACCACACCTGGCCTCTTCTATTCTTTTCTCCTTTTCTTCACAGGCTCTATTGTCCTCCTCCACACAAACAATTTAATCAAGGATTTCCACCCAGTTCTATCTCAGTTCTCATTCTTCTTGTCTTTCCATTAGATACCCTCTCCTTTCATTCAATAATTATTTGGGGGAGTGCAGCACACACCAGGCACTGGCTAGGCATTAGAGATACAAGTAAACAAGTAAACTAAGTAAACTAAATAAACTAAGATATTAGTAAACAAGTCTAATATGGTGCCAGCTCTCATGGAGCTGCTTTCTTGATCACAAAGGGGCAGTTCACATCCTCCCTCAGTGACCTCACCAACTCCCTTGAGCAAAGCTATGAATGTATGGACAAACAAACACACTGTGAAAATGAGTCCCAAATCAATGATTCACACCTTTCCTCAAAACTTCAAACACAGTGGCTCGCATCTGTAATCCCAGCAACTCGGGAGGCTGAGGCTGGAGGATCGCTTGAGGCAGGAAGCTCAAGACCAGCCTGTGCAACATAGCAAGACCCTGTCTCTAAAAAAAAAATTTTTTTTAATTAGCCAGGAGTGGCAGTGAGTGCCTATAGTTTCAGCTACTCAGGAGGCTGAGGTGGGAGGACTGCTTGAGCCCAGGAATTGGAGGCTGCAGTGAGCTACGATGGCGCCCCTGCACTCCAGCCTAGGTGACAAAGTGAGGCTCTGTCTCTTAAAATAAACAAACAAAAACAAAACAAAAACACCAAATGCTCATTTCTAACTACCTACTATATACATCTCCCAAATATCACAAATACAGTATATCAAAATACAGCTCATCATCATACCCCAAATCTCTACTTGCTGATATATAACTGGTTGACTCGATAAATATGTTCAATTAAGCTGAATTTACAGAATTACAATCCTAGTTGCTCCAATTTAAAACCTCAGCATCACCTCTGTTCCTTATCTCTTAGTGAATCAGATAACAGAATCTATTAACTTTTTCCCTAAAAATCTCTCTTGCCCGCTCTTCTCCATCTCTACTAAAAATATTTTTGTTCAGGCTCTCATTATTCTAATTAGTCTCCCTTTCACTCTTCACTCACTGACTTCATCATCCATCTATTAATGTAACTAATATTTTGAAGCACCATCTAAAAGCGAGGCACCAGATATAACAAGAAAGTAGAATAGTCTATGCCCTTGCAGAGTTAAGAGTTTCTAAGAGGACCGCAATTAAACAAGTATTTACAACAAAAGGGCAGCATGGGAAGTAAATTCTGTGTGCCATGAAAGTACCTAACTAACTCTATGCAGTAAGTAAAAGCTTCTCCTCTCTGTAATACCCCCAAAAATGTTTGCACTGAGAGCTAAAATACGAATAAAAGTTAGAAGCAGGGGAAAGAATATTCCAGGCAAGGGAAAATGCATTTACGAAGAGTTTGAGAAGTTCAGTTCAATTAACAAAGATCTGAGAGGGTGAGAGGTTAAAGGAAGAAAGGCAGACAGCAGATTGTAGTCTTGTGAGCCACAGCAATCTGAACACCTAAGACCATAGGAAACCACTGAAGAATTTTAAAAGGGATAGTTATGACTGGACTTAGTAAATCCACTCTGACTGGTGTGGAAAACTGATCAAAGAGAAACAAGAACTCTTTCCAAACACTGTTGAATCAATCCTACCTAAATACATGGATAGAGAATAGATCTGAACCCTTTACCTACTTCCTCTAGATTCGGATGGCTCCCCACTGTCAAAAGCAATCCAACTCAGCTTGGCATTCAGACCCTCTCCCCCATATGGCCCGGCTGACTTTTCTTTCCAGTGTTCTCTCACATCTCCCGCAAATCCTAAAACCAAGCTCTCGCCTCACACACAGTTGCAACCATTCTTTTCCCTCTGCTTGGAACACTCATTAGGCTCACTCTCTTCTCTACTGGGTTAACTTCCACGGACTCCTCAAAACTCACAGGAGGAGCCTTCTGAGAAGCCCCTCTGACATCCATCGATTTAAATGACGCTCCCGGTCCCAAAGCACCCTGGATAGTTTGCCTCTCTCCTGCTACACGGTGAACTCCCCCAACGCTACAATCGAGCACCCCCAATTACCAGCTCTGTGCAAAAGCTCCCGAAAGCGGTGCGCACGCGCATACTCGAGGTGCTCTGGCGCCACGCACAAACATACCCAGACACGCACCCTGACACGTACTTGCACTCTCAAAACACAGAGCCGCGGCTGCGCTTCCTGAAGTAAGGATTCCCCAACCGGGCGCCTGGATCCCAGGCAACAGACAGATGCCACCACCGTTCTCCCCACCCTTTTGGTAGCCCTGGTCCCTAAGGCTCGTTGGGACTGCGAGCTGCAAGCCTCAGATCCATCATCTCAACCTGCCTTGCAGTCGGTCCCGACTGCCGCCGCCACCGCAGCTAAAACTTCAGGCGCCGGAACCGCGGAGCGCGCCACAGGTTAACCCAGCCAGCGGCTTCCGGGCTGTTGCCTGGGTTACCAGAGCTCCGCCCCACGCCCTTGCGTATATCCGGCGAGCCCAGTGCGCAGGCGCCTCCCAAAGCCTATCTCGGGTCCTGAGTCTAAGGGAGAGAGGTTCCTCTGCAAGGTTCAGGGCAAATTATTAAAGAATAGGTATATAGCAGGCCGGGCGCGGTGGCTGACGCCTGTAATCCCAGCACTTTGGGAGGCCGAGGCAGGCGGATCACGAGGTCAGGAGATCGAGACCATCCTGGCTAACACGGTGAAACCCCGTCTCTACTAAAAATACAAAAAATTACCCGGGCCAGGTGGCGGGCGCCTGTAGTCCCAGCTACTCGGGAGGCTGAGGCAGGAGAATGGCGTGAACCTGGGAGGTGGAGGTTGCAGTGAGCCGACATGGCGCCACTGCAGTCCGGCCTGGGCGAAAGAGCGAGACTCCGTCTCAAAAAAAAAAAAAAAAAAAAAAGAATAGGCATATAGCATTAGCCGGTGCCTCGAGAATTCTCCAAAAGAAAGATGTTGCTCTCCTCACCAGACTTCACATATCACTTAATTTGCTTTCATCTCTATTCATTTGTTTACAAATCTTTAGTAGTGGAATCCCAGCACTTTTGGAGACAGAAGCAGAAGGATTGCTTAAGCTCAGGAGTTTGAGACAAGCATGGGCAAGATGGCGAAACCCCGTCTCTACGAAAAATTAAAAAATTAGCTGGGCGTGGGAACACGCCTGTAGTTCCAGCTACTCAGGAAGCTGAGGTGCGAGGATCGCTTGAGCCAAGGAGGGCAAAGCTGTAGTGAGCCACAGTCATACCACTTCACTCCAGCCTGGACGACAAAGCAAGACCTTGTCTCAAAAAAAAAAAAAAAAGTTGTTTATTACAACCTACAAATGTGCGGGAGAGCTAGGTTCTATGGGGCTAAAAACAGGCAAGGTGGGAAACTTACAGCATATTAACAGACAGTTATCAATGACAAAAACATTAAAATTATGACGAGTGCTAAGAAGGAAGCACTCTAACCAAATACTTAGCTTATTATTATAGTAATATTTGAATTACTCAGGAAAGCTCAGACATGAATAGGCCAGTGGGGAAGGGGAAAGCATTCCTGCAGAGGGAGCTGCATGTGCAAAGATGTGGAAAATGCAAGGGACAGGAAGAGGTCCAGTGTGTCTGAAGTTTAGAGAACAGTGGGAACTTGCTGTGAAGGGGAGGCGCCCTGATAGGCTGGATCCACGACAGTCAGAGCTGCGTGGACCACGTTAAGAACTTTACAAAGCACTTGATTCAAAAACAGAGTTTATTTGCTCTGGTAAGACAATTTCCTCTAGCCCCTTGCTTTCTGCTGTTACAATACACCCATGTGTGGTCTGCAAATACATGCCCAAAACCTTCTAGAGGAAAGGTACTGCCTTTAATAGTTTTCACTCTGATTGAGGAAGTTTGATGTAGATATATTTAATAATCAACAATCATCCACTTGCTTGCATCCTCAACTCCCTGCCCCTCTCTAAATTGCTGTAATCACTTGGCAAAATGACCATATTAGCCATCCCTACTTTACACTTACTAAGTGCTTGCACCCATGCAGCTGAATCTGAAAAAAAACACCCAATCATGCTGACTTTAAATTCATGATTACTGATGTTAAGTAGGACCTTAAAGATGCTTGAACATCTCATTACAGGTCCCTGTTCATTGATTTTCCTACATATTAGTTTTATACCTTCATTCATACCCAATGCCTTGTCTCCTATCCTCATTCTCACACAATGACCTTGCTTCCTACTGCATTGATTACACTGAATTATTCAAAAGAGAACTTCCCTAAGCTCCCATCATTATTTTAATCCTTCTGTCACTATCTTTACCCACAGACCTGCCTTCAGAAGCTCAGCATAAGAAATATGAAGAAAGCTAATCAAAATACTTCATAATCAAATTGCTCAGAACGAGTGATAAAAGAATCTTAAAAGCATCCAAGGAAAAAAATACATGTCGTATACAGCAGAACAAAACTAAGGATTACATCAGTTTCTCATTAGAATCAAAACAAGCAAGAAGACAGAATAACAGTTCAAACATATTCAAAGAAAAAAAGCTATCAACCTAGAATCCTTATACTATTCCTTTTTTTTTTTTTTTTAAGACAAAGTCTCACTCTGTCACCCAGGCTGGAGTGCAGTGGCACGATCTCGGCTCACTGCAACCTCCACCTCCCAGGTTCAAACAATTCTCCTGCCTTAGCCTCCGGAGTAACTGGGACTACAGGAACACACCACCATACTCAGCTAATTTTTGTATTTTTAATAGAGACGGGGTTTCTCCATGTTGGTCAGGCTAGTCTTGAATTCCTGACCTCAGGTGATCTGCCCGCCTTGGCCTCCCAAAGTGCTGGGATTACAGGTGTGAGTCACCGCGCCTGACCCTTATACTATTCCTGATACCACTTAAAGGTAGACTATGATAAAATAAAGATGTATACTATAAACCCTAAAGCCGCCACTAAATAATAAAAGTTATTGTTAAAAGCTTACAAAAGTCATGTAAAGGATAACGAAACAAATACTTGATTAATCTAAAAGTATAAAACAAGAAAAAACAAAGAAAAGAGAGAAGTAGGAAAGAAATTGCAAGATGATAGACTCATAAATCATATTAAATGTAAATTGTCTAAACACACTGAATAAAAGGCAGAGATTGTCAGATTGTCAGAGATTGTTTAAAATCTTGAATTTTTTAAATTGCTGCTTATAAGAAGGGAAACATTAAATATAAAGACACAAATAAGTTTAAAATACAAGGATGGAAAAAAGATATATCATGCTAACACTAGTGAAAATAAAGTGGAGTGACTTTATCAATTTTAAACAAAGTAGAGTTCAGAGCAGAGAATATAACCAGAGATAAAGAAGATCATTTAATAATAATAAAAGAACCATTTAATCAAAAGGTCATAACAATCCTAAACATTTTTGCATCTAATAACAGGACTTAAAAATATATGAAGCAGAAACTGATAGTACTGCAATGCGAAATTGAAAGATCCACAATAGTCAAATATTTCAATGCCCCTTTCTGAATAATTTATAATGCAAATAAGCAGAAAATCAACAAGGTTATAAGAGACTTGAGCAACACTATCAACCATCTTGACCTGATTGACATTTATTAAACACTCCAATAATTGGCAGAATACACATGGTTCTTAAGCATATACAGAAAGTTTAGAAGATGGACAATAATCTGGACCATAAACAAATGTTAACAAATTCAAAAGGATTGAAGTCATGCAAGATACATTCTCTGACCACAATGTAATTAAATTAGAAATCAATAACAGACTGATTCTTGGAAAATCCCTCAAAATTTGGGGAATAAAATACACTTCTAAACAAGCCATTGCTATGGTCTGAATGTGTCCCCACAAACTTTCTATGTGACAATTTGCCAATGTGATAGTATTAAAAGGTGGGGCTTTCAGGAAGGAGGTGATTAGATTATGAAGGCTCTGCTCATCATGAATGGGATTTGTGCCCTTAAAAAAGAGTCTTTTAGGAAGCCTGTTTGTCCCTTTTGCCCGTTTTGCCCTTCTGCTATGTGAAGACACAGGATTCACCTCTTCCACCATATGAGGACACAGAAACCAGACACTAAATTTGTTAGTGCCTTGATCTTGGATTCCCCAGGCTCCAGAACCATGAGAAACAAATTTCTGTTGTTTATAAGTTACCCATTTGAAGGTATTTCATTATGGTAACCCAAATGGACTAAAACAGAAGTTGGTACTGAGAAATGGGGTGCTGCTGTAACGATTACCTAAAAATGTGGAAACAGCTTTGGAACTGGATAATGGAGAAAGGCTGGACTATAAAGGGATGCGATAGTGTGGGCTCAGAAGGAGAGAAGAGCTGTAAAAAAAAAAAAAGCCTCTGTCTTAAGTGGTCATGATCAAAGTGTTGGCAGTGAACGAAATTCTGATGAGGTCTCAGGTGGAAATAAGGAATAAAATATTGGAAACTGGACAATACGCAAACCTGGTTTTTAAGTGGTAAGAACTTGGTTAAATTGTGTTTGTGTCCTAATGTTTTGTGAAAGAAGGAGTCCAATATCCAGTCTTAATAGAAACCTCTCAGATAACTAGAAATAGCGAGGAACTTCCTCGACCTGATTAAGTATATCTACAAAAGACCTACATCTAACGCGATGCATAATGGTGAAAGACTGGATGCTTTCCTCCTTAGATCAGAAAAAGACAAGGATGTCTAGTCTCACCACATCTATTCAACATTGTACTGGAGTTTCTAGTTAGTGCCATCAGACAGGAAAAATAAATAAAAAGCATTCAGATTGAATAGGAAAAATATCTTTATTCCCAGTGGAGTGAATGTCTATGTAAAAAAATTCAATAAAATCTGTAAAAAGAGGCCAGGCGTGGTGGCTCACACCTGTAATCCCAGCACTTTCGGAGATTGGGGCAGGAGGACTGCTTGAGGCCAGGAGTTCGAGACCAGACTGAGCAACATAGCAAGACCTTGTCTCAAAAAAAAAAAAAAAAAAAAAGAATATGTGAAAAGAAAAATGCCATTAAAATTAATAAGTGAATTTAGCAAAGTTGCAGGATACAAGATCAACATACAAATATTGAGTGTAGGCCGGGCTCGGTGGCTTATGCCTGTAATCCCAGCACTTTGGTAGGCTGAGGCAGGCAAATGACTTGAGGTCAAGAGTTCGAGACCAGCCTGGCCAACACGGTGAAACCCCGTCTCTACTAAAAATACAAAAATAAGCCAGGCGTGGTGGTGCATTCCTGTAGTTCCAGCTACTCGGGAGGCTGAGGCAGGAGAATTGTTTGAATCCGGGAGGCGGAGGTTACAGTGAGCCAAGATCGTGCCACTGCACTTCAGCCTGGGCGACAGAGCGAGACCCTTTCTCAAAAAAAAAAAAAAGTATATATTGAGTGTAATTCCATATATTAACAATGAACTATTAGAAATAGAAAATCTTAAATGCATTTTATGACATCAAAAAATTAAATATTTAGACATAAATCTAACAAAAGATATGAAAGCCCTGTACATTAAAAACTGCAAAGTATTGCTGAAAGATATTTTAAAAGACCTAAATATGTAAAGGCATACCTCATTCGTGGGTTGGAAGACTCCATATTGTTAGATGTCACTTACTTCAAACTGATCTCATATATTCAAGTAATCCCAATCAAAACCCCAAAAAGTTTTTTGTAGAAATTGATAAGTTGATTCTGAAATTCATATGAAAATGCAAAGGACCTAGAATAGACAAACAACTCTGAAAAAGAGCAAAATTATGTTACTACAACTACCTAATTTCAACACTTATTATAAAGCTACGGTAATCAAAATAGCATAATATTAATAGAAAAATACACAAATATATCAGTGAAACAGGATAGAGTCCAGAAATAAACTCATGCATATATGGACAACTGATTCTCCTCAAAGGTGCAGGCATAATACAGTGGAGAAAGGGAAGACCATTTGATAAATATTTCTGAAATAATTGTATATAAATATGCAAAATAATGGATCTATATCCTACACCATATGCAAAAAATTAACTAAAAACATGCCATTGACCTAAATGTAAAATCTAAAACCATAGACTCCTAGAAGAAAACACTGGAGAAAATCTGTGGGTTAGGTAAAGATTTTAGACATGATGCCAAAAGCACAATTCATAAAATAATAAATCCATAAATTGGATTTAATAAAAATTAAAAACTTCTCTTTAAATCACCTTCTAAGTGATCAAAAAAGCCACAGACTGGGAGAAAATCTTTGCAAAGTATATATCTGGTTAAAAGACATATCAGAAATGTGTTTTAAACTCTCAAAACTCAATAATAAGAAAACAAGCCAGTTTTTTAAAACTGGGCAAAAAATTTGGGCAGGCACCTCACTAAGGAAGATATGCTGATATCAAATAAGCATCTGAAAATGTGCTCAACATCATTAGTCATTAGAGAAATACAACTTAACACCGCGGTGAGATACCACTACACTCCTACTGGTGTGTCTAAAAATTAAAAGACTGACCATACCAAGTGTCATTGAGGATGAGGAGGACTTGGAGCTCTCATTGCTGGTGGGAATGTAAAATGGTTCACAACTTGGGAAAATAATTTGGCAGTTTCTTATACAGTTAAAACACACTACCGTATGATCCAGTCATTCCACTTCTGGATCTTTACTAAAGAGAAAAAAAAAAAAACATAGGTTCTTACAAAGTCTTATGCACGAATGTCTATAGCAGGTTTATTTGTAATAGCAAAACACTGGGGTAAGAAAACAAATATCCATCAACAGATGAATGAAAAAAATTAGAATAGATTATTGTATATCCATACAATAGAACACTACACAGAAACAAAAACTAATAAACTATTGATACACACAACAACATGAATGAATCTCAAAATAACTATGCTGAGTGAAAGAAGCCACATTTTCAAAGAGTACATACTGTGTGATTACATTTACATAAAACTCCAGAAAATGAAAACTAATGTAGACCGAAGGCATGTGAGCAGTTCCTTAAGAATGGAAAGGGAACAGGGAGGGGCAGGAAAGATAGACTTAAAAGAGTGAGAAAACTTTGGAGGGTGATGGATATTTATTTTGTTGACTGTGGTGATGGTTCCACAGCTGTATGTGTGTATATAACATAGGTGACTTGCATGTGACTTTGTGCAGGGATGTGTGTGTCAAAACTCATTAAATGGTATGCTTTAAATATATAAAATTGGATGTCAGTTATACCTCTAGAAAGCTATTTATTTGGCTTTTTCTTGTTGCTCCAAATATGATCCAAATATGCTCCCCAAAGAATAAGATGTCCTGCTACTAGGTAATCCACATCCAGATTCCCCATACCCTTAATCAGAGCATTCCTGAAAGTTGCCCTTTATTTCACTATAAACCTTTCCCACTCCCTTTCCTGTCTTTGAGTCTCTGCCAAATGCTAAATCCCTTACTATGTATATCAGACTCTGAATAAATGGCCTTTGTTTATTCTCATTTGAGTGATCTTCATTTATTTCCTCTGTGTGTCTGTGTGTGTGTATGTGTGTGTGTGTGTGTGTGTAGTTTTACTATATTGTTGGGTTTTCTTTAATATTGGGAAAACCCATCTTGAGTACAACTATAATTTAAGATGCCTAAACTGGGATAAAATCATATGAATCTCTGGTTGGCTCTGGGGGGAAAAAAAAGTAGAGAAACTGGCAGTCATGACCAAATCCTGACCATTCTGGGCTAACTGCTGCAGAGGTTTGTCCAACTGTTCTTTGATTGTCCTTTGAATATTCAGTCTCTCAGCCCTTTCTCTTTTTTTTTTTTAAATGGAGTTTCACTGTGTTGCCAAGGCTGGAGTGCAATGGCCTGATCTCTGCTTACTGAAACCTCTGCCTCCTGGGTTCAAGTTATTCTTCTGCCTCCCAAGGAGCTGGGACTACAGACATACACCACTATGCCCATCTAATTTTTGTATTTTTAGTAGAGACAGGGTTTCACCATCTTGGCCAGGCTGGTCTTGAACACTTGACCTCAGGTGATCCGCCCGCCTCGGCCTCCCAAAGTGCTGGGATTACAGGTGTGAGCCACCGCACCCAGCCTCAGCCCTTTCTTTTGGTCATTCTTTCACTTCCAAGAGATTGACCAATTCAGAGAAGGCTAAATATCCATCCATATCTTTACCACTTGGGGATTCTCCAATTATCTCTATAGTCAACCATATTGCAAGATCTTGACCTTTTTGTTGTGTCATGATCATGACCACGTGATGAAAGAGCAGCTGCACAGAAATATATAGAACTTCAGATAGAATGCAAAGAACCTACATCATAATGACTATTGACATAAACAACAATAATTAACAGTCCCTGTAAGATGCTTCAGAAACAGGAACCCCAGCTGCCTAACCCAGGCCAAGAGAGTAATTCCTGAAGGCCATGAGGATCAATCTTACAGAGCCAATAAGCTCTTTTGTTCAGATGTTGTTTAGCCTGTCTTACCTTGTTTGTTTCACATGGCAAGAAGTATATATAACAATGGCACAGACACAACCATGACTAGCAAACAAGAAATCAAGAACAATGAAATTGTCCATCACTGCTCATGCCAATGAATTGGCATCGGTCTGTATTTCCTCCAGGGCGGAGGTGATATCACTAATAACTTCTGCCAGAGTTAATAATAAGTTTCTTACAGTCTCTTTCTATTTGTATGATTCGCAACATTGAGAAAACAGCTCTGATTGTTCATATAAACAGTGAGTCAGTAATTCCTTCAGGTAGAGTACTTGAATAATCAAGGTGGCCTCCTTTTGGAGTTTGCATCTGAGTCAAAATTTTCATCCTTGGTGGTTTATAGAATTAGAGTCTCTGTATACAGACAAGTCTTGGAATACCATTATTAAAGTGCATGAAGTGTTAGTCTGAGGTAAAGAGGATCATGTGTCCTGGGTGCAAAGGAAGTAATAGCGTTAGAGACACATGGAAATGCAAGAAAAAGATGTGCATGACATGAAGTCAGAACCAAGGCCTTTACGTTTGCTGGGTTACATATTTGGATATCTATTAGTCTTTTTCAGGTGACAGGTATTTGGCTCATCAACCTTCAAAAGTTGTTGAATTCAAATTTAGAATTACCTGGGATCTGACAAACAGATTTTAATACTTCATTATTTTTCTGGGAGAAAAGAAACTAGCAAGGTTATGGGTTAATTTTTCCAGTAGGTGCAAGTGAAACTGCCATAGGCTATAAGTCCCTGTGGTCTAATTTGATGAGACTGGAATTACCCACACGTTTTTATCTTGGGGGTCCAATGATGGATGACATATCCAACAGTCAGTAAGATTGATGGCAGTGGCTACTGTTTCACATAATCTGAGAATTGTGTTAGAATAAGTATATTCTGACCTGTCAACAAAGAGGGTACCAAAAGAAAAAAGGGATCGTTATGGTAGAAAATAACCAGTGGTCCATAGTTAACGAGAAGAATGATTATCAATAAGCAGGTCAAAAACAAAAGAGGAATTATACAGGGGTCTTTGTCCAATGTGTTAGGTAGAAGCTGTCCATTAAGAGGACATCTGCTTGTTTGAAAGGTCTTGGGTCAAATGTCTATTGCCAAAGATAGGCTGTTTTTGAGGATCTCTGAGAATTCTCAGCATGAGGTATCCTATGGACTAGTCTTCCAAAAGTGTGGAATTCTGGCTTGTTTCTTTAGTGGTGAAACATAAAGTTGAGGATTGGTCTGCTGCAGTTTCACTGCTGTATTTGTTGTTAACAGTACCTGATAAGGTTCCTTCCATTGAGGTTCAAGAGCAGTTTTTTATCCGATGTCTATTTCAATAGATGAAATTTCCTGATAGATGCTCCTGAAGAGCCAATGTAAGAAGATGTTGTAGCAAGGTGGCCTTAATTTATTGGTGATAGGACTGGGTATAGTACATGAGTCCCTTGCAATATTTTCCCATATCTGGATGCAGCATGGAAGAATCTAGCATCAGGATGAAATTTCTAAATGCTTGGGTCTTCCTGGTAGCAGTTCATAATCAATATGACCCCAAAATAATGGATTATATGGCCGTAAGAGCTCAGGTGATTACCTTTAGCAGGGAAGTGCAAGGATTTATGAAAGTTTTCTTAATTTGAATTTAAGGATGCCATTGGTTCTTTCAACCTTTACAGAAGTTTGTGGGTGGTAAAGGCAGTATAGTTTTTGAGAAGGGGTATCACCTTATTAAGTTGTTTTATAATGGTTCCTATAAATTGTGTGCCTCAGTCAGTTGACATAAAAGTTTGTATACCCTAGTTGGAAACATAAAATCAAGAAGCTTTTTAGAGACTGAAAAGGCTGGAGATTTTCAGCAAGAAAATTATTCAACCCATTCTGAAAATAGACAAATCCCATCTGAAAGTGTTCAAAGGGTCTTTGAGGCTTTGGTTCTTGGCCATGCCTCACCTTTATAATTTTTCCAGGATTATGTTGTTCACAAGTAACACATGACCCCAAAACAATCTCAGCTGTCTTTTTAAAGTTTTCTCACCAATGTTGATTTAAGATAGTAATCAATTTGTCTTTAACATAATGAGTAGCTTCATGGAGAAATTCAGCTAATACTCATTTGAAATCACTTGGGGCCACCAAAAGGCCATCTTGAGTTCCAAGGATTATCAGAGGTATGATTCATCAACAAATAACATAAGGTCAGGAATTTTTTTTTTTTGAGATGGAGTTTCACTCTTGTTGCCCAGGCTGGAGTGCAAGGTCCCAATCTCGGCTCACTGCAACCTCCACCTCCTGGGTTCAAGCAATTCTCCTGCCTCAGCCTCCTGAGTAGCTGAGATTACAGGCACCTGCCACCACGCCTGGCTAATTTTTTTGTTGTTGTATTTTTAGTAGAGATGGGGTTTCAGCACATTGGCCAGTCTGGTCTCGAACCCCTGACCTCAGGTGATCTGCCCTCCTCAACTTCCCAAAGTGCTGGAATTACAGGTGTGACCCACTGCGCCCAGACAAGGTCAGGATTTTCAATGAGAGTTACTAATACATCTGAGCAAAGTATTTAAAGTTCTCTAACTAAGGTAAGACATTCATGAGGTTCCCCTTCTTTTGGTAAGTTCAGGAGGATGGCAGGATGCAGCAGTGAATAGTAATGTGAGATGGAGAGTGCAGCTGGAACTCTTAGGAGGTTAATTGTGCCTCAATGGGTGGTAAAGTCTGTACTGCATGAGGAAACATCAGGTCAAGCAGGAAGCCTAGAACTAATTCAGCAGATTTGACCAGTTCTATAGTGGTGGTAATATCCTAAGACAATCTTGGATTTGCAACTGGATTGAGGGCAAGGCTATAGTAAGTGATGGGTTTTCAATAATTCCTATGAAGTTGAATTAAAATACTGAGGTTTGTCCAGAACACTCATGCACAAATAGACAAAAGTTTTAGTTCAGGATGCCTACGGAAGGAGGCTGTTGAAGAGCTGTCTTCAGATTATAGGAGGCTTTTTCAATACTTGGGCTCCCAGAAGAGAGGGAATGTTACTGAGGACTTAGCCATTTCATAAAGAGGTGTCACAATCTCAGGAAAATTTGGCACCCATTAACAAGAATATCCCATTAGACCTAGAAATCATTTCAACTGTAGTTTTCTGGGGATCTAGGATAAGTCTGGATAATACTTAGTCTGTTAGGAGAGAATGTTCTCCTCCTGCCCTAAATGAACTATGTTTTGGCAAAACTCTGTGTTTTAAAACTTTATGTCCCTTTTCTGCTAAGGCTGAGAGCAAGTGAGTGGAATCTTTTTACCAGCTTCTCTAAACAAGTAGGAGATCATCTACATGTTATATCAGAACTGGATCACCAGAGAAATTTGGATCTTTTAGTTCTTAATTAAGGGCATAGGAAAAATAGGAATGGGTTTCAGTAAACCCCTGGCACCTAACTGTTTATGTATGTAGTGTTGTCCTCTCAGATGAAGACAAAGGTATTGACTGTTCTGGTGTAATTTAACAGTGAAAAGGCAGAGCAATTATCCACTACACTGAAGCAAGTGGTTTGGGGAGGAAATGATGACAAGATAGTATTTGGGTTGGGCACCAAGGAAAAGTAAAGACAACAATTTTATTTGTGTCTCTGAGTTCTTGAACAAGTCAATATCCCTGTCCATTTGGTTTCTTTACTGGCAGGGCAGGAATATTACAAGGGGTAGTGCAGGTTGTAAAAAGGCCTTTGAATATAATGCCTTCAGTTATAAGTTTGAGGCTTCCTTTGCTCCTGGATTTAAGAGATATTGGGAAAGTTTGGGTAGCAATTTGGAAGGATGTATCTGAATTTTAATAGATTCTGCTCCAATTACTTTTTCTGTCAGTGGAAATTTTAGCCCATAGAGTGTCAGGTACAGCCTCAAGATCTTCATCTGAGGTATACAACAAGAACAGTGGAGAAGGCAAAGGTATATATAGACCAGATACAACTTGATTGTAAATAGAATCCTCTGAAACCTCAAGAAATCTTTCCTCTGGTATGCATTTAATATTACAATTGCATAGGCAAAGCATAGCTCTACCTATTAAGCTTGTAGCAGTGGTATCACAAAGCAGGAGAGAATATTTTTCAGGCAAGGGTCCAAGGTTATGGTTAAGTGAGAGAGATAGGAAAAAAAAATGTGTGGGTTACTTGAAACACCTACCACTTGTGTGCTATGTTAGGTCCAAGGAAGAAGTTGAGCAAAGATGGCAGGTTTAATGTAGAAAGACTAGTGTTGTCAGAAGGTGTTTTCTAGGCCGGACGCGGTGGCTCATGCCTGTAATCCCAGCACTTTGGGAGGCTGAGGCGGGTGGATCACTTGAGTCCAGGAGTTTGAGACCAGTCTGGCCAACATGGTGAAACCCTTTCTCTACTAAAACTACAAAAATTAGCCAGGCATGGTGATGCACACCTGTAATCCCAGCTACTCTGGAGGCAGAGGCACCAGAATCACTTGAACCCAGGAGGCAGAGGTTGCAGTGAGCCGAGATTATGCCACTACACTCCAGCCTGCGCGGGAGACTCTATCTTAAAAACAAAAAACAAAAAATTTTTAAAAATGGTATTTTCTAGTAGTCTACCCCCAACTCCAACTACCTCATTTAGTTACATATCTTGTTTGTTTCTTTGTTAACATGATTTAATTAAGGTCCAATCAACTTTTTTTGGAAATGTTTCACATATGTCTTTTTTGAAACTTTGATCTACTTTACTGGTTTTTGTCTTTTGTTTTGGGATTTTTTGACTCTCAGGTTTATTGTAGAGAGAGAAATCCTGCAGGTCTCTTTCTGCATCAGTTCAATCAGTCTTTGCTATCCAATATCTGATGTTTCAACCAACATATGCACAAATTGATATAGGTCAGGTACTCCTGGGTCATAGGCACCCAAAAAAATTCCAAATTATTCTACAACTATTTGCTCTTCTTTTTGGGTTTAGGGAAATCTTCAGTGATAGCTCTTAATTCATCTTGGGTTCAAGGTTTAAATTCTACAGTTGCCTACATACCTAGCTCATGGAAGGGATGCATCCTTAGAAGCAAATGGCATTTTGAGTTTTAAGAGGACTGTTGGGGAAGAAGGTGGTCTGCATGAGAGGAAGGCAAGGAAGGAGATGCAGAAAAAGAAATATCAGAAAAATAAAGACGAAGAAGGAAAACTGAACATAGAGTGATAACTGGAAACCAAAAAGGAGTAGAATTTACCAAGGAAATAATTCTACTTTGTTGTTGTTTAAGTCATCAGATTGCTCATTCACTTTAACCAAAGAATCTTATAGTGAAGCAATTTTAGAACTGAGTTTTATTTGTAGACTTTTGCATACCAATTAGAAAATTATCCATTACATCTGATAAATCATTTTCTCTTTCTTTTCTAAGGTGCTTCTCAGATAATTGTTTAAGTCCAGTGTTTCCCAGCATGGCCATTGAAAGCCCAAATAATCTTTGGTGAAATTATGCTATTTAGAGAGGTGGGCACTAGAATTAGAATTAGAATAAGTATATATATATAGGAAAAAGGAGTTTTTCCTGTAGGAGTGGAAAAATCTGACTTAAATGGTCCCATAAGAGCTGGCAAAAGTTAAAAGTAAAGCTTGTGTACTTTGTATCTTGAGCCCCCAACCTTGAGGATGAGTTGCCTCTAAATGCACACCTGACAATGTGTCTCCCCAGGCAAGTATAACACCAGAGAGAATGCTCTTTCTGGATCAAAACCAAATTCTCAGAACAAAAATCTAGATGAGAGGATAATCTTATCTAGTTTTATTGGTAACCCACAGCAAAGTTTGTCCAAATGAATGCCAGTCAAATGAAAACTACATTGGTCTGGGAGGACAGCTCAAATTAAAGGCTTATAGGGCCTATGCCTGTGTTCTACTCTATGACAACACTTCCAGATTGCACAATGCAAAACAGAAGCAGAAAAGAGAGAAAACAGAGATGAAAAGGAATAGCCTGACTCCACCAAAGATGCCAATCAAATGGGAAGTGATAACAAATCCTAGGTACCAAAGTGAGACTAAATAGCCAAAGAACTCAAAATCAAAGAGCAGAGTTCAGAACCAGTGCTGACCCAATGTGTCAATGCAGACTCAACTGTGTGCAGTGAGGCACAAGAAGCCTTGGTGGGTACTGCACCTGGCAGAGAACTGGGATCCATGGTGACATGCAGTGCAGACAGTATCTCTGTGGAAACTTCAAGAAAACTACAGAAACAAGTGAAGCTCACACAAATGAAAACAAACAGAGGCTAATTATTCAGAGCTTGCTCTAGCAAGGGAGTTGACCACCATCACTTCTGCTTAGTAGAGACTCAAAGGCAGGAAGGGGAGTGAGAAAACTTCATAGTTATAAAAGGGGAAGGTTTCAGGTATGCTCTGACTGGATCTTGCTGTTGGAAGCTGGAGGCAGGCTAAGTAGGAGCAGGGCATTTTGTGGTTTGGGAAGCATATTTAACTTTCTCTGATTGATCCTAAGTTGGAAGCAGGGGCAAAAATTGGGGAAATTGACTCATTGAGCAAGACCTAATTCTTTTGGGCCATTTGCTGCAGCAGTTGTAGTTTGATTTCTTGGACTGGTTGCTGCTAAAGTGTTTTTGTTTCCTGAGCTGATTGCTGCAGAAACTGTGGGTCAGAGTTAGTTGTATTGCTATTTATGGTCTGGCCATTGCCCACTTGCATATTTAGTCTCTCACAGTAGAATCCTGACATTGTAGATATTAAAAAAAAAAAACTGCCTTTAAAATCAAAACAATTGAACTCATGGAGAAAGAGAGTAGAAGGATGGTTACCAGAGGCTGGGAAGGGTAGTGGGAGAGCTGGGGGAGGAAGGTGGGGATGGATAATGGATACCAAAAAATGGAATGAATAAGGTGTAGTATTTGATTGCACAACAGGCTATAGTCAATAATAATTTAATTGTAAATTTAAAAATCACTAAAAGAGTATAATTGGGTTGTTTGTAACATTATGGATAAATGCTTGAGGTGATGGATATCTCGTTTTCCATGATGTGATTATTATGCATTGCATGCCTGTATCAAAATATCTCATATACTCCATACATATATACACCTACTAAGTACCCACAAAAATTTAAAATAAAATTCCTTTTAAAAATAAAGAAAAAAACCACCTACCTAATGGACCACATTTTATTTTTTAGCTATTGAACTAGCAGTCACACCATAACAGTATTTGTTCATTCAACACTTTAAACTTTTTAATGTACTTTCAAATACATCATTCTCCCTTTTATCCTTACAACAACCTTGTGATCCTGAGAGGTTAATTACTTGAGGTCACTGAATGACTTTTGGCTAGAATAAGGATTAGATAATATTACAGAGTGACTTGTAATATATAACTCAAATTGTTAGGTATAGATAATCCATACAAATGGCTTTAAAATAAATATTTTGGGTTTCATGCTATGATGAAGGATCTGTTCCATTTGCTTCCAATTTAGTTGCGTAAAGTTGAGATAAAATCTTGAAGGAAGGGTCATAGCACCATTTAAATACCCACAGGTCTGTCATGTGGAAGAAGTATTAGGTTTATTCCTATGACTCCAGAGGGCAGAACTAGTACAAGTGAGTAGAAGACAGGCAGATTTCAACTAAGAATATGAAATGTCTTTCTAATAATGAGACACTTGCCCCCAAAAGAAGGTGTTGACTTGTGAAAGAACCAGTTCCTCATCTCTTATAGTGTTTAAAAAGAACGCCATAATAGAACTCCATAATCCTAGAGACTCCTTTAACTGGTCACACCAGCTAACCTCCAGGACCTTCGTAGATTTCAAGTTTATGAAATGTTGTTGAACTTTGAAAAGAGGCACAGATATTTTGAATACAACAGTTTAAAGTCATTCAAATTCTGGATGAAATTATTTCGTTATGCTCCTCAAAAACAGTGAGTTCTATTTGAAGTTTTACCCCCAGACTCTCCTTTGAATTAGTATTTTTGCCCATATACCCATATATTTTCAAGAAATTTCTTTCTTTCCTTCCTTCCTTCCTTCCTTCCTTTCTTCCTTCCTTCTTCCTTCCTTCCTTTCTTCCTTTTGAGATAGGGTCCTGCTCTGTCATCCAAGCTGGGGTGCAGTGGGGTGTTCACGGCTCATTGCAGCCTCGACCTCCCGGACTCAAGCAGTCCTCCCAACTCAACTCCCAAGTAGCTAGGACGACAGGCATGCACCACCACGCCCAGCTATTTTTGTATTTTTTGTAGAGATGGGGTTTCATCATGTTGCCCAGACTTGTCATGAACACATGGCCTCAAGCTAGCCCACCTCCCACTTCAGCCTCCCAAAGTGCTGGGATTACAGGCATGAGCCACTGCACCTGGCCAAGAACATTCAAAACTTTAAAACTGAAAATTGTCCTAATAAGGAGTCTACTAACTTAATCTTCCATCAGCATTGTTTTCTGATTTCACAGAAAACTTTACAACAAATGTATTGCATTCATTCTTGATGTTTTAAGAAATTAAAGGAATTAGACAAGGTAAAAACAAAAACAAATCTATCTCTTTAAAGATGGCAAGGACTAGGATTTTAATCTGTAATCTTAAATTTTTGAAAAAGATCTTTTCCTTCTTAATGACTTCTTTTTAAATGGTCCTTCAGGTTGAACACAATTACATTCTTTTATAGTATACAGTAATGAAGCTGAAATAAAACAGTGAGTTCTCTTCCACACGTAAATTGTGATTGTTCAATGTTCTGCAAGGTCTTCTGATGGCCCCATTCTCACCCTGCTCCTTACCTGCCTCTTTAACTCTTTAAATCTAATCCCCTAATTTTTATCAGAAAAGTATTTCCTTTTTACGATAGGCTGTGGTTTCTGCCTTTAAAAAAACAATCCTGGGGTTTCTCTCAGAATCTGGAAGAAGTCATTGCAATGGTAAAGTAGGTAAGAGGCTGGGGTGGAAAGAAATGCCTTCTGCATAAATCTAGTTAGTCTGAGTCGTTTTTTGACAACTTCCGGGACCAGACTTCAGGCAGTGCTGGAAATTGTTCTCTTTACCATATCTTTTTTTTTTTAACTGTACATATTTACATACATACACATATGGTGAGGGAGAGAACGTGATGACGTGAGACTCTCCATGGAGAGTAGGAGGTAATAAAGAAATAAAACAGGTGTCTGAGGAGAGGTTCTATTAGAGAGGGGAGAATAGAGAGTAATTATCGTTCAGACAGGCAAGAGTTCTCTGCAGGTAGCAGCCTGGGAAAGCGAACTCGCGCACCCTCTTGGGGGACGGGCTCTTTTGCTTTCTATTTCTTCTCCTGCAGCCAGGGTGCACACGTATTTGAAACAGACCGAATTTCCTCCTCGATGTGGCGTCAGGTTGACTTTTCGAGACTAGCGGGTATTTCTTTTTAATGACTCCAATGCCTTTTTATTATTGCTGTTATTGAGGTTGAGGGAGAAGAGATCGGTCTAAATTCTGGCTGGGTAAGTGGGGGGATTCTCGGCGATGAGAAACGGGGGACTTAGAAGCCGGAGGAAAATCAGCAGCCCCACATCTCCACTTCTCCAGTCCGCCCTACTCTCCACCCGTGACCTCCAGTGGAGACCCCAGGCGGCAGCATCAGTATTTGATCGGCCCTTCGTCAGCACGCTGCCAGCCCTGGCCGGCTGGGTTCGCCAGGCATCACCCGCTCGGCTCTGAAGCGGACGCCTGGCCCTGCACCGGGCTTTGGAAGGACCCTCTCTGCGCTCGCCCCCTCCCCAGGGTGGCTCCGCTTTCGAGCCCGGGCGCGGTGCCCACCATGCGCGGCTGCCTGCGGCTCGCGCTGCTCTGCGCGCTGCCCTGGCTCCTGCTGGCGGCGTCGCCCGGGCACCCGGCGAAATCCCCCAGGCAGCCCCCGGCACCGCGCCGCGACCCCTTCGACGCTGCCAGGGGCGCCGATTTCGATCATGTCTACAGCGGGGTGGTGAACCTCAGCACCGAGAACATCTACTCTTTCAACTACACCAGCCAGCCCGACCAGGTAAGACACTCGCTCCCCTCGCTCGACTCCTAGAACTTGCCAGATCTCAGAGCCCCGTCGCTGCTTTGGAGTCCCCTGGGAATTGACCTTGGGAGACTTCGGGGACCAGGGGACTTTCTTTCCCTTTCTCCTCCGAAGCAATCGCTGCCCTGCCCTAGCTGCCTCAACACGCCTCGGGGACAACTCTGCTTCGCCTCGCGCCTCTCCTGGCCTGGTCAAGGGCATTGCTGGGCTTTGCAGAGGCACCAGTTCCCCGCACCGTCTGCGGGTCCTGGGTCCCTGCTGGGTCTTTCTCCAGGAAAGTCCTGATTTCTAGGGTTGCGGGGTGTGGTGTGGAGTGCGAAGAAGAACCGCACCTCGGTTCCTAATCCCCTGCAGGGAAGAAACCTAATTTCAAGTGGCTGATTCAGCCAGACCCTTCTATTTCATAGCGCATGGGGAGGGAGAACTGCTCAGAATCTAAAATGGAAATTGTGTGAAAATGGACGGAAGCTGCAGAACCTCTGTGCATTCAACAGTCACTTCCTGCGTTTTTGTGCCATTGTCACACGTTGTGCTTCAGAGACGCCAGAAGACCTGGGCAAAGACGTGAGAACTGCAGCCATCAGCTGATCAATCCAGGTTTTGATTTTAAATAAGGATGGATAATTGTGTGAAAGTTCTAGACCTATTTTTGACAAAAGTTGAGGGAAGATAAGGAGGGAAAAATGTTCCAGTGACTATCCCTTTGACATATATACTCCGATTATATAACGTAAGAAGATGCATATAGTTCATTTCTTTCCTCTAGTGTGGTACCTCTGGAGCACTGGGCGGGGAGAGAGAGGGAGACAGAGAGAGAAAGAGAGAAAGAGAGACAGAGACAGAGACAGAGACTCCCCAGTGTACCAACCTCTGGATCTTCTTCCCATATAAATGTGTTTATGTATCCCTTACTATACCAGCATCCCCTACCCTCTAGGGAAATTCCAGAACTAGATGATTGGGATACCATGATATGCCTCCGTCTGATTCTCACTCCAGATCGGAACTAGAAAACCTCATCACTTCCCAAAGTGAGGGTGGTTTGTATTGAGCAGGGGGGACCAATGTGCCTAACACTGCTCCTAGACATCTTCCAGCTGTGTGTAGCCAGAAAGTGCCCTGAGTGCCCCATCTCCAGTGTGGCACCAAATCCTATGGCACTGTTACCATGGCAGCACAGCCCTCACCCTGCTCTGTCCTCCAGTAACCTTCAGGTTATATGTTCTGTAGTGAGCAGAGTGGCTGTATGCAGAGCCATTTCATGGTAGACAAGGGAGAGGCTGCAGTTTTTGTTTCCCAAACGCCATATACCCAGCCTCTTTCTATCTAGCGTGGGAGAACTCATCGACTGGTTGACATGTTGCACGTGAGGTGTGTTCCTAGTCCTGTGATTGGCTGGGAGCAGAAAAAAGTCTGAAAACTCCATGATCTCTGGAGTAAGTCTCAGCTTCCCCCTAAATCATTGGTAAGAAAACTCAAATTACATGTGCTAAGTAAATCCTGACATCAGGCTTTGGTATTTCTTGCAGTTCTGCATAGAGATAGAGCATCTACTTATGAATTGTTGCCTTTACATTTTCCCCTTGTACTGTGTGAGTTTTGCACTTGAGATCACCTGGTTGACTTCCCTAGTAAACCTTGAGATATTGAGGGCAGGGGCAAAGTCATGTTCATCTCTGCCCTCCAGTACCTAGCACAGTGAATGGCACATAAGAGGTTTATAAGCCAGGCATGATGGCTCACACCTGTAATCCCAGCACTCTGGAGGACAAAGTGGGAGGATTGCTTGAGACCAGGAGTTCAAGACCAGCCTGGAAAACATAATGAGACCCTCTCTCTACAAAAAATTAAAAAATTAGCTGGGTGTGATGGCACATGCGCCTGTAGTCCCAGCTACTTAGGAGGCGGAGGCAGGAGGATCACTTGAGCCCAGGAATTTGAGGCTGCAGTGAGCTGAGCTCTTGCCACTGTACTCCCACTGGGGACAGAGTGATACCCTGTTTTTTCAAAATGTTTTTTTTTTTAAAGAAAAGAGAGGCTTATAAAAAACATTTAGTGTTTTCCAAAAATGAACAAATAAGTGAATAAAGGGTTATTAGCTAAGGCTAAATAAAATGAAATGTATACTGTTTTCAATTCAATAGTTTGGAAAATGTGAGATCATTTCAGATAAAAACATAAAAACAAATTTCTTTCATAAAACAAATTTGGTTTTTATAAAAACACATTTTAAAAATTGTTCTATTATGCCCTATTTTGTCTGTGTGTGTTAACATGTCCTTTATTTTATGAAACAGTTTTGAAAATATTTTTGAATGACACAGTAAAAGGTTGATGACCCAAGCAGTCCCTAGAATTTTTGTTAAAATATTACTAGTCTGAGAAATACAAAGTTGGGAACCATGGGAACAGGAGATAACAAGAATTTCAATTATTTTAGTGCCAGTATTCTCAATATAAGCCAAATGTCCTCAAATCTTACAGCCTTCTGGGACCAATCTTTAATATGCAAATGCTGTAGTGGAGCCCTCAAAAGCCACTTATTGTGGGAAATTAACCTCCTGTCCTACCAGCCAGTATTCCTGTTGCTTTCTCCAGAGAAGACATTTTCTTGATCTGTCTGTCCAAACCATTACCTTCGGTTCCTACTCTCTTCTTAGTTCTTCTTATCCTGCATAAGATATCAGCAGCCCCTTCTTGCAGGTACACAAGGCTGTTGGATGTAGCAGAATTTTACTGAAGGTTTGGAATAACATAGAGGAATGACATCACAGCACAAGATAGGTGATAGATTAAATCAGAAACCTAGGCCATACTGTTCCGACAATTTACCACCAGGGGGATTTCAAGATAGCGACGCTCTCTTTCAGGCGCTGGTTTGTCACTATCTTCTTGGCCATCCCCTCATACCTCCTCAAATGCTGACCCCCACCCACTAAATTTTTGTTACTCTCCCATGTTGTGCAATTTTTGCCATCATTGCTTATCCTACACTCACTAAGAGGCTCTGTTAAATAGAGATGTATGACCCCAGACCTACGATCTTTAGAGCAGAAGCTTGGACATGACTGGTTTCCCTTTAACCTGAACAAAGTCTTGATAAGGTAAGTCTTTCTAGCCTGCAGGGTCATTGCCCACCTCCCCTCTTCAGTGCAACAAAGAATTTGGTTTAGGGAAAAAAATGGCTAGTTTTTGAGCTTTAATCTTTGTTTTCCTCTTTCTTCAAGCCATTGTTGCTTGACATTATTTTTCCTGTGCCTTGGAGGAGAAAGTCTATTCTAAGTTTAGGCTTAAAGACAGGAAGCTGTTGTGGGAGCCATTGCTCCTAATCTTTCCTGTCAGCCACTGCATCTCCCATACCAAACTGTCCCAGAGAACTATTTTGCCAAGCTTGTGTCATACTAGTTAGCTGCACTCAGCACCAGGAAAAGTCTCATATGCCTTCCAGGCATAGGGTAATGTAAATATGAAGTTGCCTTCAAAAAAATCACTGAGAGAATGGAATGACTGCTTCAAATAAGAATGATGAAAATAATAATTGGAGGTGCAAGTTAGGCAAGATCATGATTCATTTCATTTCTCTGGAAGGAAGTGTCTGGAGACTCTCTTTAAGAGGAGGAGGGCTATACTGTGCAAACAGGGTGTTCTATAACCACAGGGCTCAGCCAGGCTAGAAGGAAACTAACTTGTTGGGAAAGTTGCCAGGGATATGTTTGACTGGGACAGAAGGCACAAATGCAGGTTTACTGGGAAATGAGAATACTCTTGTAGAGACAGTTGGCAGCAACAATCAGATGTTTCTATTTGAGCTAGATGGTGATAAGAAACCCTTAAATAAAATCTAACCACTGGGCAACAGGCTGTCTTCTCTGAGGTTTTCCTGTAAGAATTTAGTTTGCCATAGATTTTTTAATTTGAAATATCTCCCTGGAAGTATTTCTTTTATCTCATTTATTAACTAAGGCATTTATCTTTTAATGACATATATTATACTTTTCCATGCCCAAGGAACAACCCTCATCTTCATTAATATAAACCAGTAGTTGTATACCTAGAACCAGTTAAACCAGTCTCTTGGATCCAGATTCAAAAAGCCTACCCAGTCCTTAAGAACAATGAAATGCCCATGTGGACACTCCAGTGGTAACCTCTAGCTATATGCATTACTAATTATATGGAAGAATTTAAAACTTTGATATGATGGCCTGAGTTCTCCATGTCTCATATAGGAATGCTTACTCTTTATGTACTGAGGCCAAGAAGCCTCCTCTGCTGTCCTCCCACATCCTTTTGCTGAACTGCACTAGTGCTTGTTGGAGGAAAGACTCATCTCATTAGCACATTATCTGAATGATTGGACTGTCTCAGTCCACCTTGGCGGATATAACCGACCACCATTGGCTAATCTCATGTCTGGTGAGGCCCTGCTTCCTGGTTTGTAGACAAGCTCCTTCTTGCTGTGTCCTCACGTGGCCAAGAGAGCAAAGAGAGAAGAATAGTCTTTCACGTGTCCTCTTCTTCTTTTTTCTTTTCGAGACATAGTCTCGCTGTGTCACCCAGGCTGGAGTGCAGTGGCACGATCTCGGCTCATTGCAACCTCTGCCTCCCAGGTTCAAGTGATTCTAGTGCCTCAGCCTTGCTAGTAGCTGGGATTACAGGCATCCACTATCAAGCCTGGTTCATTTTTATATTTTTAGGAGATACAGGGTTACTCCATGTTGGCTAGGCTGGTCTCAAACTCCTGGCCTCACGTGATCCACCCACCTCAGCCTCCCAAAGTGCTGGAATTACAGGCATGAGCCACTGTGCCTGGCCTCATGCGTCTTCTTATAAGGGCAGCAATCCCTCCATGAACACTCCTGTGACCCAATTACTTTCCAAAGGCCCTATTTTCAAATCCATCCTATTGGGGATTAAGTTTCAACATGTGAATTTTGGTGGGGACACAAACATTCAATCCGTAGCAATCACCTCCTACATTTTTCTCAGAGACTGTGAAAACAGGGCATCAGTGTGTGTCATGGGTTGTTTAGGAGATAACATTACTCCAGTTATGGGTCTGATGTTATGGAGGAGCTGCCTTCTGCCTACGCAGACTTGATAATCAGGTGGTAAGTTGTGTGATGGATTCTGTAAGCCTGTGCTGTCCAGTGGCTATTGAGAACTTGAAATGTGACTAGTCTGAATGGAAATGTGCTGTTAAACATAGAATACATACCGGATATTGAAGACCATACAACAAAAATAATAGAAAATGTGTCGTTAGTATTTGTATGTTGTGTTTAAGTGATAATACTTTTGATGTATTAAATTAACTATAGTCATAAAATTAACTATATCTGTTTCTCTTTACCATTTTAATGTAGTTACCAGAAAATTTTCAAACACACATGTGGCTCACATTTTGTTTTTATTGAACAGCAGTTCTCCAAGTACTGTAAGATTTAAGAGAGAACATACCTCCTCCACATAGCTTTGTTGGAGGAAATGAGATTTGAGAAGGTTATGATAGGTAAGCAGTATTTTGGTCGGCAGAAAGAAAGGGGAAAGGCATTTCAGATACGGAAAAATATATCCAATTTATGTTTTGGCAAGACTACGTCAAAGGTGGTATGGTATATTTCTTCCAGAAAGCACATAATTTCTGATTGTGTCTTTTTTTTATGGTAGCCACCATTGATCATCATTGCCTAGTTCCATGAATTCATTAGGAGCAGCAAGATAATGATATTTTAATTCTCTTATTTATTTTTCATTTTATGAGCTGGAATACTTCTATAACGGGAAACTTCACCTTGTGGGCTATTTGGTTACCTTAAGCTATCGTTTGTAAAGAAAAAATGAAATAAATGCTTTATTTCTTTACCTTTACCAATTTTTAAAATAATGAGTTGGTCTCCTAATAGCCTATAATGATGATCAATGAGATTTTACTTAGCATAATCATGAGCTTATGCATTTAAACATATCTGATATATTTTATTCCATTACAGTTATTATCCTTATTTAAGTTTAAATTGTTCATCTTTGGCCAGTGAAAGGCAATTCAAGTTGGCTCCTGAATTCTTCTGGTAAAACTCAAGTGCTCTTTGACAGCTTCCTTGCTTTCTTGAATGAAGTTATTCCTTTCCCCAACCTGCAACCAGTCATTTCTGCAGGAAGGTCCAAGTCTATTCCTTGGAGCAATAGAGTTTTTAGAGACCACAGTCTGGGAACTAGGGGTCCTTATTAAGAATGGATTGGTAACATTTTCTAAGCCTTTTCAGTGGACATGCTAAGAAATAGATCATAAGTTTATACTATGACTTCCAATTCAAATTCAGAAATATACGGTTTTTATTTAACCTCATCCTTAATGGAAGATATCACATCCACATCTTCTTTCATTCATGCCAAAAATCCTAGTTCTCAACTAGATCAACTTAGTTACTATCTTAGTGTGTTTGTATTCCTTTGAGGTTGGGTAATTTATAAGGAATAAAAAGGTTATTTGGGGAGGCCAAGGTGGGTGGATCACCTGAGGTCATGAGTTCGAGACCAGCCTGGCCAAAATGGCGAAACCCCATCTCTACTAAAAATACAAAAAAGTAGCCGGATGTGGTGGCCCATGCCTGTAATCCCAGCTATTCAGGAGGCTGAGGCAGGAGACTCACTTGAACCTGGGAGGCGGAGGCTGCAGTGAGCCGAGATCACGCCACTGCACTCCAGCCTGGACAACAACAGTGAAACTCCGTCTCAAAAAAAAAAAAAAAAAAGTGCTGGCTGAAAAGTATTGTGCTGGCTGAAAGATGGCCACTTGGAGAAAGCCATAGGCTGCTTCCACTCACGGCAGAAGGTGAAGGGGAGCCAACCTGCACAGAGATCACATGGTGAGAGAGAAAGCGAGAGACAGAGGGGAGGTGCCAGGCTCTTTTGAACAACCAACTCTCATTGGAACTAATAAAGTGATAACTTACTCATTACCACGAGGAAACAGGTGGCACCAACATATTCATGAAGGATCTACCCTCATGACTCCACACCTCTCATTAGGTCCCCACCTTCAACATTGGGGATCAAATTTCAGCATGAGTCTTGGGGGACAAACATCCAACTACAGCAATTACTCATTTGCTTTATCCCCAAAGAAACACACAACCATTTTAGAAAACAATACTAACATTACTACCAACAATAAGATGACTGGAAACAATTTAAGATTTATTTATACAGTTTGTTTTCTTAGATTATATTTCATCATGGGTGTTGAGTGAAATTACTGTGCTTTAAGGTAACATTGCATAGACCCTGTTAGTGCTGTCAACTTGTTAGGCTCATTGTTTCATTTTACTTCTGAATTTTAGATATTGCATCTTAATTTTGTTTGAAAATTAAAAACAAAAATCTGCAAAACATGGGATATTCAAAGCATAGCTTCTGTCCTTGTCTTCTGTACCCCCTTCCCTCTCTTCCTCTACAAGTAACCATTAAAAAATTTATAAGGTATAAAATAAATTGTTTTTTTAAACAAAGTTTTTGTCTTTGTTCTAATGGTTTCCTTTGTACTAATACATTTTATAATGCCCTTAGTCTCCCCTATTTTTGTCTATTGTCTATTCATCCTCAGTGATAAGCAATATTGAAATTAGCTGATACCTTCACCCTCTCTTTCTTCAATAAGATGACTAATTTAGACAAAATCTAAATAACTAGTTAATACCCTTAAAGAAAGTAATGAACTTATTCTATCAGATATTCTCTCCATTCATCCTCCATTTTTGGTAAGTTGTATTTGCATTGTTAGAGTATATAGCCATTACGAGCTATATTGTCTTCCTTCTAACCAACTGTCAGTCTTAGTTCTAATATATATATATATATATATATACACACACATACACACACACACACACACACACATATTTTGAGATGGAGTCTTGCCTGATGACATTTCTCTCTGTCACCCAGGCTGGAGTGCAATGGTATGATCTCTGCTCACTGCAACCTCTGCCTCCCGGGTTCAAGAAATTCCCCTGCTTCAGCCTCATGAGTAGCTGGGATTACAGGCACCTGCCACCACACCCAGCTAGTTTTTGTATTTTTAGTAGAGAAGGGGTCTTACCATGTTGCCCAGGCTGGTCTTGAACTCCTGAGCACAAGTGATCCGCCCACCTCGGTCTTCCAAAGTGCTGAGATTACAGGCGTCAGCCTCCGGGCCCGGCCAGTACATATATATTTAAAGTTCTAGTCCTTATGTTAATGTCATCCAATCATTTCGATTGTCTAAATTTTATTCTCCAGGGAATATTGGGTTGGTGCAAAAGTAATTGCAGTTTTTACAATTAAAAGTAATAGAAAAACCCACAATTACTTTTGCACCAATCTGAGACTTCAGGGAGGACTCACGAGAACCATATTCTCACTTTCATGTTTATAACAGCCTATATGTAGCCTTTGTACTTGAAGGTCTGTTTAGCTGGATATAAAATCCTTGTCTCACATTTTTTTTCTCTGCTTTTTCAATATGTTACTCCTTTGTCTTCTGGCAAAAGTGAAAATAAAATTTTTTTCCTTCCCTTATAAGTAACTTTACTACCTGGATTCCTGAAAGACTTTTTTCTTTAAAATCCAGTAGTTTTACCAGACTTTATCTAGTAGGTCAATTTTTCTTTTTCTTTCTTTTTTTTTTTTTTTTTAGATGGAGTCTTGTTCTGTCACCCAGGTTGGAGTGCAATGGCACGATCTTGACTCACTGCAACCTCTGCCTCCCAGGTTCAAGCAATTCACCTGCCTCAGCCTCCCCAGTAGCTGGGATTACAGGTGCGTGCCACCACGCCCAGCTAATTTTTGTATTTTAGTACAGACGGGTTTTCACCATGTGGGCCAGGCTGTTCTCAAACTCCTGACCTCAGGAGATCCACCTGCCTCAGACTCCCACAGTCTTGGGATTACAGGTGTAAGCCACCACACTTGGCATTAGTAGGTCAGTTTTTCCCAGGTATGTGATGTAACTTTTGAATATGTAGCTTCAGTAATTTTTTATGTCTGAAAATTTTTCTTAGAGTTTTTAGTATTAGTTTGTTCCAATACCTGATTATCTTATTTAGGGATTCTCTTTTTACTTATGTTGGCCCTTCTTTGGGGTTTTCTATAACTATTTTTCCAGAATTACTTTATATCTTTTTAAATATGCTGTCTGAATTTAAAGTTTTTTCCTTTTCATCTTCTATTTTCCTTAAGACATTATCACGATATTTATTATATTCTTAATGTTTTATAGACATGACTTGTTCACCATTTGAAATAATGTTTTCTGCTTCTTACTTTTTTTACTTACAGTGACTTTGTATGGAACATAACTGCAATCCTTATCTATTGCTCAAGTGTTTACATTAGATTAGTATTTCTTACCTTTAGAAGGGAAGGGAAGATCTGGGTAGCTTTCCTAGCATTCTTCTGTTGTGTTTGTGAAGTGATCAAAACATGATTTTCTTTCTGAGATCTGCTTCCATAGCTTCCTTCTTTCATTTTATGGAGATTTTCTCTTCCTTTTGCCCCTATATTCTCCATCCTTCTCAATTTGGATTGCACTCCCATAGTTTTTCCTCAGGCAGGGCTTTTTCTAGGAAGAGACTTTTAATTAGTTTTTGCTTGGTTGTGTGTGTGTGTGTGTGTGTGTGTGTGTGTGTGTGTTTGTTTGTTTGTTTGTTTTTCAGATGGAGTCTCACTCTGTCACCCAGGCTGGAGTGCAGTGGCGCGATCTTGGCTCACTGCAACTCGACCTCCCAGGTTCAAGCGATTCTCCTGCCTCTGCCTCCCAAATAGCTGGAACTACAGGCATGCACCACCATGCCCAGCTAATTTTTGTATTTTTAGGAGAGACAGGGTTTCACCATTTTGGCCAGGTTGGTCTCCAACTCCTGAACTCAGGTGATCCATCTGCCTCAGCCTCCCAAAATGCTGAGATTACAGGTGTGAGCCACCACGCCCAGCCCAATTAGTTAGTTTTGAGAATTCATGAGGCCAACACTGTTCCAGAATGTTCTGTACTTCCTGAAGCATCCTTACACTTACCCAAAAATTGGAGCCTACAAAACCCTCCTCAGTTTTAATTGCCGTTCTCAGATTGGCCCTGCAGTCTTCTCACTGAGCACTTTTTGAAGGATTTTGGGGTTCTCTGATCCTCAGAGCCATCAGAGCTCCATGCCTTTCGTCTGCTTCTACCCACACAATTGCCACTACTATGGAGGTGCTGAAGCTGTTGATAACTTGCTCCCACCCACTCATGTTTCGGGGTTAGTGGGGATACCTCGTCAACTTGGGGGTTTTTTTTAGATGTTTTCCCCAGAATGTTGGTTCTGTATCCCAGTTGCTCTGTTTTCACAGGGGATATTCAGAAAGATTAAAAAATCTATGCTGCTATTGACACTATCTTCACAGAATTCTCTATTTATTGCTTCTTTTTCTGTAACTTTAAATTTTGAAATAACTTCAAACTTACAAGAAAGTAAGAACAGTATAAAGAACACCAATATGCCCTTCTCTCATGTTTCCCAATCATTAACATTTTGTCCAATTTGCTTTATTATTCATTCTCCCTATAAGCAAATTATTTTTTCCTGAAACAATTGAGAGTAAGTTGCAGACATGCTGCTCTTTCTTTTGTCCCTAAGTACTTCAGTGTATATTTCTTTTGAATAAGGGCTTTTTCTTATATAGCCATTGAACAGTTATCCAAATCACAAAATTAACCTGTATAAACTGCTACTATTTTATATAACTTAGTCAAATTTCACCAATTTTCCAATAATGTCTTTTAATGAAAAAAGGTTTTTTGTTTTGTTTTGTTTTGTTTTTTTAATTTTCCCCTTTTGGTCCAGGATCCAATCCAAGAACACACATTGCATTTAATTATCATGAGTCTTTTTGTTTGTTTGTTTGTTTGTTTGTTTGTTTGTTTGTTTAAATGGAGTCTCCCTCTGTCGCCAGGATGGAGTGCAGTGGCATGATCTCGGCTCACTGCAATCTGCATCTCCCAGGTTCAAGCTAGTCCCCTGCCTCAGCCTCCCAAGTAGCTGGGACTACAGGCGCACACAACCACGCCCAGCTAATTTTTTGTATTTTAGTAGAGACTGGGGTTTCACCATATTGGCCAGGATGGTCTCGATCTCCTGACCTTGTGATCCACCCAGCTCGGCCTCCCAAAGTGCTGGGATTACAGGTGTGAGCTACCACGCAAGGACAGTTATCATGAGTCTTTACTTTAATCTTAATCTGGAACATTTCTTTGTTCTTTCTTTGTCTTTCAGGAGTTCAACATTTTTGAAGAGTATAGCCAGGTTTGGAGAATGTCTCACAATTCAGATTTCTCTGATGTGTCTTCATTATTAGATCCAGGCTATACATTTTTGACATAACACGCAGAACTGGCACTGCATCCTTAGTGCGTCGTATCAGGGGCACATGATATTGTGTTTCCCTATTACTAGTATGGTTAACCCTGGTTACTTAATTAAAATGGTTTCTCCCAGATTTCTCCACTGTAAATTTACTGTTTCCCTTTTATAATTAAAAAGTCATTTGTGGGCCAGGTGCGGCGGCTCAAGCCTGTAGTCCCAGCATTTTGGGAGGCCAAGGTGGGCAGATCCACCTGAGGTGAGGAGTTTGAGACCAGCCTGACCAACATGGCAAAACCCCGTCTCTACTAAAAATACAAACATTAGCTGGGCGTGGTGGCGTGCACCTGTAATCCCAGCTACTCAGGAGGCTGAGGCAGGAGAACTGCTTGAACCCAGGAGGCGGAGTTTGCAGTGAGCTGATATTGCGCCATTGCACTCCAGCCCGGGCGACAGAGCGAGAGACTCTGTTAAAAAAAAAAAAAAAAAAAAAAAAAAAGTCATTCGTGAAGTAATAATACTTGATACTACGTAAATATCCTGTGCTTCACCAAACTTTCAACAACTAGTTTTAGCATCCACTGATTATTCTTGCCTGAATTAGTTATTACTATGATGGTTTCCAACTAGTGATCTTTAAATTCATTGTTCTTTCTACATTTATCAGTTAATATTCTACTGTAAGAAAGAGATTTTTCTTCTCTCATTTATTTATTTACTTATTTCTTTTATTTATATCAGCATGGGCATATAGATTCTTATTTGATCCAATTATTGCTTTCATTTACATTAAAATCTTGTTATAAACAACCTACCATTCTAAGTATTTTATATTGTGGGTATATATTAAGAATCTCTCTCTCACTCTAACACAGAAATTAAGTTTCCTCTCTCCTCTCCCCATCACTAGCAAAATGATATTTCAGTGGCTTTTAAGGAATCACAAGGAAAGATGACATGATCGGTTGTCATCCAGTCATCTTGCCTGTTCCATCATCCAGATTATCTGTTGGATCACATGCAGATCTACCCCTAGACCATTTAATAAGTTTACTAATTCTCAGTTTTGAATTTGCAGTTAAAGAGATAAGTACATAATTTCTTTTTCATGAGAAACTGAAAGCCTGAATAGTGAAACAAATTATATCAGTGATACCTAAGGCAAGGACTCCTGAGTGCCTGATTTTAGGACCACAATTTTACTCAAGTCATGGACTGTTGAATTCTCAAGACATTTTTTATAGTATAAGTTTTCATTAGTGGTTTCTGAAATATGATAAACTTTGCATTATTTCTGGGTAGTAAGATTGCAGGAGATTTTAATGCTGTCTTCTGAACTTTTATGTATTTTCCAAATATTTCACAATAAACACATTTTACTTTTACGTAGGCAAGGAAAACAAACAACTAAGAGGCAGAGCAGTACTGGGGAAGAGCATGGGGTGGAGTACCAGGAGACACGTGTTTTTATCCCTTTACCTGAGGACCTTCAGCAAATCCTGTTTTCCCCCTGAGATTTATTTTCCCCACTGATAAGATGAGAGGATTGCATTTTTAACCTTTATTGAAGCATTAAGAGTCATTGTTCTGATATTTTTCCACCATGTGTCAGACTGTAATTTTTTTAACTATAGACAAGTAGAATAAGCTTCTTGCCAAAAAGAACATTTCTAACTCTTTGTCTCATAAAAAGAAGCAAATGAAAATTTTACTGTTGCTTTAAAACTACTTTTTTTTTCTTCCTTTTTAGAAGATTCCCATAGGGTTCTTCACTTCTTGAAAGTGATTTTATTTTGTTTCCATCCACTCCTGCCACATGTGCTGAACTTATATTTCAGTTCCCTTTTTTCCCTTGCTGGCATTCCTGCTGAGTACCATGTCAATAAGATTGCTATCATGTTGAGTTTGGCTTTTTGGTTGTCATTTTGTTTTACTGTTTTACTGATGTGATGGTCCCTTCTGAGATATTTTAAGCATCTGATACAATGTATAGAAATTTTCAGAATTTCTTCGTTTCTTACTTTTGGTTTCAACTGTTATTTAAAGTATCTTCTATGTCATTTCTTTCTCTCTGTGGACTTGGTCTTGAAGATACTTGTGTTACCTTGAAACGTCTTTGTTGCTGGAAGATACCAGCATTTCTTTCTTCTTTTCAAATAGAAATAACCACACAGTTTTCATGTTACCACATGTTGCCATGCAGTACCCCAGAGTATGTTAACCAGCTCTTCCTACATCGTTTAACTTTGGAGCTAACAGAAATTTCATGTCAACACACCAAGATGGTGCACTAATAATTCTAAAGCACATCTAATGAGCTATTTGAAATGGGGCCTCACTATGCTTTCTGCTTATTTGAAAAGGAAAATATCAAGCATATCATGGATCTGCCAGATGATATAATCAATCTTTTTTATTTCACACACACATAAAAACCAACTTCACAGAGAGCTAGAAGAGCTGATTTTGAATGTTCCCAACACAAAGATATGATACATGTTTGAGGCAATGGATATGCTAATTACCCTGTTTTGGTCATTACACATTCCATACATGTATCAAAATATCACACTATCCCCAGAAATACGTGCAATTTTTACATGTCAATTAAAAATAATAATAAAAGCAAAAAACTTCTTTTTTAAAAAGAGTGTTCTGTTCCTGTAGAGGAATGTTCTTATTCATATGTGGAGGCTAAAAAAGTTGATCTCATAGAAGGAAAATTAAAGCTGAGTGTCATACAGCAAATATAAGTTATATATTAAATGTTGTTAATAATAAAACAAATTAAAAATTATTTGTTGAAATAATTCCTTACTTTGAATTCTCGTTCCCTCATTTTTTGTTTTTGCTGTGACAATAATAAACAAAGAAATTTATTTTGCCATTAGAAAGAAGGACATGGAGATGCTGATTTTTGTACAAGATTGAATAGGGCATTTTTCAGCAAGTTGAACAAGAAGAGTGAAGTTGGTTTAAAGGTATCTTATATTGAAAAGTGTGTCCAGAGAAAGTTGAATATACACCTTCTTTCCTGATAAGAAAGCTATTTATAATTCACTTTCCTGTCACAGCTCCCAAGAACCAGGAAGTTTTCTCCCTATTTGGACCACTGAAAAGCATTTTAGGAGCTATTTCTCAAATCATAATTTTAAGAAACTTTCTTTTGGACCTAGCCTTCTACAGTTGGTCTCAAGACTGGCCAGGGGTGCTAATACGTAATTATTAATAGTAAAGTATGATTAATTTAAAGGTGAGGATCACCTATGTTTTGGTTAAACTCTAAGCATTTGAATAAAATACTTTATTTCTTAAAATGGTGGCAAAATTAAAGTTTATCATGAAGTAATATGTTGTCCTGAGTAAAAGCATTCCCTGGTTGTCTGGGGTACTTAGAGTTGATACCTTGGACCTTCAAGAGCATAAATACAAGTTTGCCCTCTCTCTGCCTAACCCAGGATTCTAAAGTATTTTGACTTAATTTGCTTCCTCATTGATACCTTCTCTCCACCCCACCCCCATAAAATTTCCCTCATTATTAACAACTTGCATTATTGTGGTACACTAATAGTGAACCAATATGTATTTTTTATTAACTAAATCTGTATTTTACATTGGGGTTCACTCTTGGTGTTGCACAGTTCTGTGGATTTTGAGAAATACATAATGTTGTGTATCCACCATTATGGTACTGTACAGAATAGTTTCACCCTCTGAAAATAGTCTGTGTTCCATTAATTCATCCTTTATTCTCTTCTCTTGAACCCCTGGCAACCACTGGTTTTGTTTTATTTTTACTGTCTCTCTAGTTTTGCCTTTTCCAGAATGTCACGTAGTTGTGAAGGAGTTCGGAACATGCCACTCCACTATATGCTACTCTGGCATATTGACTATTTTGAGTTAAAACTACTTGAAAAACAACAGATGCAAGAAGGTCACTCTGACCTTCATTCTGTTTCTTAAAAGCAGGAACTGTAATTCATTTGAAAGATACTCTCTATATTAAAAGGAAAGTAAGATTCTCATCATCAAGGGTGGGAAGTTGCGAAAGAAGGTCCTCTGTACAAATGTTATTAGACTAACCCTTATCTTCCTGGCCACTTCTCCCTGCCATTAACTACCTTAGCCCAAGCCCCTTTGCCTTGTCACATTTTTACAATTTACTACTCTTTGTCTTATTCAATATATAAGTATTCAAATCTAACTGTGTCTTTGGGTCTTCATTTCCTCATGAGGATGTCCGTGTCACAAAAAACTATATTAACTTTGTATGGTTTTCTCCTGTTGATCTATCTTAGACCAATTTAATTTTCAGGCCCAGCCAGGACCCTAAGAAGGCAGAAGTTGAAATCATACAACTTGTAGCTTTTTCATACTTGCTTCTTCTACATAGCAAAATGTAAAACATTAAGGTTCCTCCGTGTCTTTTTATGGCTTGATGCCTCATTTCTTTTTAATGCTGAGTAATATTTCATTGTCTGGATATACCACAGTGTGTTTATCCATTCCTCTATTGAAGGACATCTGGTTGCTATCAATTTTGAGCAATTATGAATAAAGCTGCTATAAAATGTGTGTGCGGGTTTTTGTGTGGACATAAGTTTTCAACTCATTTGGGTAAATACCTAGGTGGATGATTGCTGGAGTATATAGTAAGACTATGTTTAGCTTTGTAAGAAAGTGTCAAACTGTCTTTCTTCTAAAGTAGCTGTATCATTTTGAATTATCACCAGCAATGAATGAGAGTTCCTGTTGTTCCACAACCTCATCAGCATTTGGTGTTACCAGAATTTTGTCTTTTAGCCATTCTAATAAGTGTATAGTGGCATCTGATTGTTGCTTTGCATTTCCCTTTAATTGCAAAACCCAATGTTGTTGATCATATTTTCATATGCTTGTTTACCATCTATATATCTTCTCTGGTAAGATGTCTGTTTATTTTTAAATTTGGTTGTTTTATTCATTATTGTTGAGAAGAGTTCTTTGTAGATTTTGGATACCAGTCCTTTATCAGATAAATATTTTGCAAATATTTTCTCCCTGTCTGAGCCTTGCCTTTTCATTTTCTTAGTAGTATCTTACACAGATCAGATATTTTTATTTTAATAAACAATCATATTAATTTTTTTCATGGATCATGCTTTTGGTGATGTATATAAAAAGCTGTCACCAAATCAAAAGTCACCTCAATTTTTCTCCTACGCTATCTTTTGGAAGTTTTGTAGTTTTCCATTTTACATTTAGACATAATCCATTATGAGTTAATTTTTATGAAAGGTATGAGGTCTCTGTCTAGATGGGAGGGATTTTTTTGCATATGCTGTCCAGTTGTTCTAGCATCATTTGTTGAAAATATCTCCCTATATTTTTAGCATTACACTATTGTGTACATGTTCACAATTATACTTTGCCTTGGTGCAAAGACTTGGAAGCAGCCCCACACCTGGTGCTCAGTGTTCTTATCACCATTCCCAACCTTCACTTCTGCTGCCAGCATTGCTAAACTCTACCATTCTCTTACCACTCCCTTTCCCTATGTATCTGTGTCTCTCTGCTTCTCCTATCCTTTTTGTCTTTCAAATTTCTTATGAACATGGTCAGCCCATCAAGATTCTCCCTCTTTTCTGGGTAATATCCTGTGATTGTTTGAGGCTTTGCTAATGGCAAGCATATTCTATTTTCTTATAATAGAGGTAAATTTTGTTCTTTACGTTCTGATTCAGAGCCATAACGAATAATCTCAGGTGCTAGAGGGCTGATCTCCCAATTATCAAGGTTTTTCTATAGAGTTCCAGTGGTGGAAATCTGTCTTCCAGTGGCGGAAGATGAAGAACACATGTTACTTGGGCAGTCAGTATATATTTGTATTGATGTCATGTGCCATCATTTCCTTTATCCAAGTCAATGAACTTATCTTTGTCAATTCTCTTTAGCTACAGAAATATAATTGGGCTTGCATTTGAGACTTTTTTTCTGGGTTTTTTTGTCCATCGCTAAAAGAAACATGTAAAAATCCTTTGAACCATAGGAAAGAGGTAGCTATATTTTAAGAATTCAAAAGACCTTTAAAAAAATTTTTTTAAGTTTTTTTCTTGAAATTTTATTTTATTTCTTTTTAAACTTTTATTTTAAGTTCAGGGGTATATGTGCAGGTTTGTTGTATAGGTGTCATGGGGCTTTGTTGTACAGATTATTTCATCACCCAGATTATTTTATCACTCAACTAAGACTAGTACCCATTAGTTATTTTTCCTGATCCTCTCTCTCCTCCCACCCTCCACCCTCCAGCAGGCCCCAATGTGTGTTGCTCCCCTCTATGTGTCCATGTGTTCTCATCATTTAGATTCCACTTATAAGTGAGAACATGCGGTATTTGGTTTTCTGTTCCTGTGTTAGTTTGCTAAGGATAATGGCCTCCAGCTCCATCCATGTCCCTGCAAAGGACATAATCTCATTCTCTTTTATGGCTGTGTAGTATTCCATGGTGCATATATACCACATTTTCTTTATCCAATCTATCATTGATTGACATTTAGGTTGATTCTATGTCTTTGCTATTGTGAATGGTGCTGCAGTGAACATATGCATGCAGATGTCTTTATAATAGAATGATTTACATTCCTTTGGGCATATACCCAGTAATGTGATTACTGGTTCGAATGGTATTTCTGTTTTGAGGTTCAAAGTACCTTTTAAATCTCCCAATCTCTTCCCACTTAACAAAGAAGAAAACTGAGAGTAAGTGATATAAATTACTTGCCCAAAATCATGTACTAGTTTGAAGCATAGCCAGGAATGTAACTCAAGTTCCCAAGGGTATTTCCTCAAGATAGTTGTACTAAATCACAAGATGTGCCCACGAGAGCACATCAGCTATGCTTATCAACAACAAAAATAATTTTTAAATATCATATTTTCACAGTCGTGTCTTTTGATCATGCAATTTAAGACTATGTCTGACTCCCTTACAATTACTGAAAACTGAAACAAGATTTTTTATTATCGTTTTCCCCCAACGAATTGTCCAGCCATCTGTTTGTCTGTGTACCAGGCAAGCTGGGTTGATACTAAGTAAAACTATAAAGTTGTCAAATTTTCTTTAGTGTTTCAAAGAGCCACAGCCTCCCATGAACCATGGTCTTACTCTGACTCCCTGTGGATCCCGGGGGTAAAGTTTTAGGGGTGTGTGTGTGTGTGTGTGTGTGTGTGTGTAGTGTGTGTGTTTTATTTTCATCAATGCTGGGTTCCTTCTTTGTGTCAGGAACAGGGCATCTTGGAGACCCGAGCAGTTGGCCTGTCTGTTACTTCAGGGAAGTGTTATTCCTGAGAACTGGTATTTCTGGGTCCCCACTAAGCCACCATGAAGATAAGCCATGACAAACAGGACTAACCGACTGTTTCTGTCCCTCTAGATTTAACTGCCCTTTTGTGAACAACGTGACTCACACCTATCTTAAATAAACGCCTACCTGGAGCATATGTTATGGGCCAAAAAGTTAACATTTGAGTGTCCACAGTTGTATTTTCTTCTTTTCTCCTGCCTTCTAAAAAATATCCTGTATTTGCGCTCCCTTTCTCTCCATATCACCTTCACCGGGGAGGAAGAATTATAGCTTTCTAAGAGTCAGACAATGTTCCTCTGGTTAACAAAGGGATAAGCATTGGAGGATAAGGAGGGAGACAAACAGTGGTGAGATCTAGGTGTGCAATGAAGATTTGGGGAGGTTTGTAGACAGGGAGACTCTAAAATGGCTGTGAGGTGTGAGTGACATGGACAGAAAAGGAAAGAGGACATAGGTTCGTGCAAGGGTCTTAGCTACAAACAACAGAAAGCAACTGGCAAATATAAGCAGGAAAAGAATTCATTAAAAAGATATCCAGTAGCTCACAAAAGTAAGTTACTGGGCTCAGACAACATTTCGGGACCAAGGGAGACTACGCTGCAGGAAATTATAGCAGCAGTCATGCCACAGGAATGGTTTGCTTGGGGTTCTTCCCCCACACCACTGCCTCCACTGCCACTAGATATGGTCACCCCTGGACCCCGCTGCTGTGGACCCTATTGATATCACCACTGCCAGTGAACTTGAAACTCTCCCTTCATTTTTGTGTCATTTACTCACAATTGAATGTACCAAATGGGCATATCCATCTACCCAAGCACAGGTCCTGTATCCGGCCCCTTTGACATCCATGGGCAGCCTTGCTTCCCGCAAAATTCACACAGTGGGTTGGAGGAGGAGTAGTTCCTCCAGAACATGCAAGGGTTTTGGATGCTGAGTAACCCCAAAACCAACCCCACCAAACATCTTCATGGAGGGAGCTGAAGCTGGGGCGTTTGTTAGAAACAACTTCGTGGGCCCAGACATAGGCAGGAACCAAGATGTGACAGGGGGAAAAGCTGGGGTGTTGCTGCCATCTACCTTCAACCATTAAAAGAGGAACATCTCCTCTGAGCATCAGAGTGAATTCAAGTGGCATAGATCATCTCTGCCACAATGTTCTTTCCACAATTAAAAATGGTTTTCTCTCTTAAACATGGCCTTCCCTGAAGTCCCTTCTGCTTGTCTCAAGAAGTTGTCTTTGAAGAGGAAGATGTTTGCAGATGATTGGTTTTGCTCATTTAGAAAGCAGTTTCCTTTAGGTAATCCTGACAAACACGTATTTAAAGTTATAAATGGCTCCAGTCTGGCAATAAATTATATCACAAAAATAAAAGGCTGGTAAGTGTCAGATCACAACACTTACAATCATAACAATAATTTTCTACTACTTTTCCATCTTCAGAGCATTAATTAAGTAGGCCCCAGAATAGCTCTAGAAGATACTTGCCTGCAATGTATAGAAATAAAATCCAGGGCATAGATACTTGAGATCTGCCTCAAACCAGAAAAATAATTATTTTTCCTTTTTCAATCCCCTCACAGGAGTATGAGACCTAGCAAGAGATAGAAAGAGACAGGAAAGATAAAGAGGAAAAAAGAAATCATGCACAGAAGATGAGCACATTCAGATACCTGCGAGGAGGCTGAACCAACCCAGGCTGTTGGCTGCCTTCCAGGAGCCAAGACTGGGGAAGTCTAAAGCCAGAGGGAGGTCAGTGGGACTGAGAAACCAATGAAGCCAGGCGTGGTGGCTCACGCCTGTAATCCCAGCACTTTGGGAGGCTGAGGTGGGCGGATCACCTGGGGCCAGGAGTTCAAGACAAACCTGACCAACATGGTGAAACACCATCCCTACTAAAAATACAAAAAATTCGCTGGGCGTAGTGGTGCATGCCTGTAACCCCAGCTACTTGGGAGGTTGAGGCAGGAGAATCGCTTGAACCCAGGAGGCAGAGGTTGTAGTGAGCTGAGATCATGCCATTGAACTCCAATCCAGCCTGGGCAACAAGAGTGAAATTCCATCTCAAAAAAGAAAAGCAAACCAATGCAAAAACTGAGGAACCTGGAGAGACAGAAAATGATTAGCTCTTGGAGTGAGAGGCAAAAGTAGCCCAGAATTGGTTAGATTCTTCAGGACATAATATCTTCACACCAGTTTCTGTGAAAAATACCCAGGACAGTATTTCCCAAAGTATGTTCGATGGAACAACTGCTCTTTAGGATAGTCTCACGATTTATTGCATGTTAAAAGGGTCCCAAGTGTAAGGGAGCTTAGTCATGTTTTGACTGCCCAATCTGAACCCCATTTGATATGGTTGGGCTGTGTCTCCATCCAAATCTCATCTTGAATTGTAGCTCCCGTAATCCCCATGTGTCATGGGAGGGGACCGATGGGAGGTAACTGAATCATAGGGGTGGGTTTTTCCCATGCTGTTCTCATGATAGTGAATACGTCTCACAAGATCTAATGGCTTTATAAAGAGCAGTTCCCCTGTACACGCTCTCTTGCCTGCCACCATGCAAGACGTGCCTTTGCTCCTCCTTTGCCTTCTGCCATGATTGTGAGGCCTCCCCAGCCATGTGGAACCATAAGTCCATTAAACCTCTTTTTCTTTATAAATTACCCAGTCTTGGGTATTTCTTCACAGCAGTATGAAAATGGACTAATACATCATTCTTATGTGTTTGGGGGTAATTCTCCATTCCATGAGTATTAGCTAGAGGTAGAACCCCTTTCGCGACAGAAGATCAACACCAAGCACTTACTTTCTCATCCCCCCTCTTATTTTTATCCCCCACCAAGCTCAGGCATGGGCATGTGGCCAAGGTGCTGCCAGTCAGATCTGCTTTCCCTAGACTTTGACTTGGGAACCAATGATGCAAGAAAGCAGCTGTTCAGCAGCAACTGAGGCAACATTGAGTTTCCAGAAATGAGCATGGCAACATGGTCATGGCACTTAAAACCTTCCAAAGGCTTTCTTTTGTCCTGAGAATAAAGTCCCAACTGCCCCAACATGACTTATAACACTCTTTGGGGTTATAATAGCCCTTTATGTACCTCATGCTCCAGCCAAACTGATTTTCTCTTAATTCTTCAAATATGCTTCTCTCACCGTCTCTCTTCTCCTTCCTTATGTCTACTACACTGTAGCCTTTGTTTGGAAATTTATCTTGCTCTGCCCTCCTCCTACTTTTCTGGTTAATTCCTACTCATCCTTTAGGACAATATTCCCCCCAAAATCTATGTCATGCAATCCCACAGGAACTTGAATGTCAATATAATGGCTTGCTCATTGGCATCCTGTTTGCAAACTTCTGATGTCAAAGAGAAGAGTGCTATGTCTACACTGCTGATTAATGTATCTCCTGTGTCCAGAACAATGCCTCTTACAGGATAGGGAGTCAAACATTTATTGATTGAACAAAGTTCATCATAAAGTAGCTAGAATCTGACTGTGCATTTTTCTGTATTCTTGGCCTGCCAATGATTATCCTTCTCCTCAATGTTTTTCCATGTTTTTATTGAATTGAATATTTTAATATAAAATCTAGATTATAAACAAAAGGATGAAGGCTTATATGATTATATTTATTCTAGTTTATTGTTGGGCATAATGAAATTGGCTAGATGAGGTCTGGAAACTGCTTCTTTCTGGAAAAGTGCTCTGAGTACAAAATGCCGAGAATTTAAAAGTAAAGGGAATAAACAGCTCCCAAGGAATAAACTTCACTTTTCAATGAGATGAATGAGCTCTTCCAGGCTAGCTGGAAGCCAGGCTGTGAAAAGAAATTAATATCCTACATAAGACGGACTATATAATCTTTTTTTTTTTTTTTTTTGCCCGGGGTGATTGGGCTTATAAGTGTGTCTCCACACACAGGAAACAGACAGTCAATAACTGATTGACCAATGAATGGATGGGAATGGAAACAGCTCTGCCTTCTGCACTCCCTGGTGCTCTTTGAAGTCACAAAACACAGACCCACATCATCCACCATTTGATGGATGAAGCTGCCCAGGGAGATAGGTAGTCTGGTGTTACTGTTTCCATTCTACAATTGAAGAAACCGAGGGCGAGATAATTTAAGTGATTTGTCCAAGGCCTCCTAGCTAGTAGGTGTTAGTGCCCAAAATAAAATCTAGGTCTATATATCTTTCTTTATTATGCCATAAATGTACAGAAGATAGTTTTAAAGGCTGAATCAGACCACAGGAATTTTTAAACAGTCACATCAATAACTATAGAAATTATTTTCATGCTTATCTTTTTTTAAAAAGTGTAACTTGTGATGGAAGTAGCTCAGCTCCCTGCAGTAGTTATGAAAAGCTTGGGATGAAACGCTCCATATAATGAGAATTACTAACTTCTGATAAGAAAGGGATTCAGGACTGCAGAGCTGCTTTGCTCAGGGGCAGCTGTTTTTATACAACGGTCACTGGACTCTCCTAGAAGTCCCATCTTCGCTCAGCCAGCTGTAACATGCAATCCCATGAAGAGTCTTGGCAGTGCTAAAAAGTAGATTGAAGCACAATGAGAATTTAAAGAGTGTATTTGACCAAACAGAGATTCATCAATCAGGCAGCTCCAAACCAGAAGTGGTTTCCTGGGCTCAGCCAAGGGAACACAAGGGGAAGGCTTTGATAGGGTGAAAATAGAAATGAAGATAAGAAAATATTTTATTAGTTACAGTTACACAACTGCCTGACTTGGTTTATCCTGCTGGAAAGTTCCTAGTTACAGAGCTGTAAGTTAGTCTGTGGCTTCTGATTGGTATGCCCTAAGTTTCTTTTTCTTTTTTTTTTTTTTTTGAAATAGAGTCTGGCTCTGTCACCCAGGCTGGAGTGCAGTGGCAGGATCTCGCCTCACCGCAATCTCCACCTCCTGGGTTCAAGCCATTCTCCTGTCTCAGCCTTCCGAGTAGCTGGGTCTACAGGTGCCCACCACCACGCCCAGCTAATTTTTGTATTTTTAGTAGAGGCGGGTTTCACCATATTGGTCAGGCTGGTCTCGACCTCAGGTGATCCACCCACCTCCTCCCAAAGTGCTGGAATTACAGGCGTGAGCCAAGGCGCCCGTAATCCCAGCTTATGTTTGCAAGTCGAGCAAGGTTCAGCACATTTATGAGGCCTAACTGGCTTTGTCTGCTCAGGAATTCTTTAGGCCTGGCCTCCATGTTAATTCACTTTAACAGCAAGTAAGTAAAAGCTGAAGATAAGATGACAGTAAGGGAAAGGTAGAGTTTTGGAGAATGAGTCATTGCTTTAAAATCCTACAAACCTAATATTATGGGTTGATTTGTTTTCCCAAAAATATATGTTGAGGTCCTAACCCCTAGAACCTATCAATGTGACCTTACTTGGAAGTATCATCTTTGCAGTTGTGACCAAGTTAAGATGCAGTTATTAGGGCCCCAATCCAATGACTGAAATACTTATAAGAAGAGGGAAATTTGGACACAGGCACACACAGAGAATAGCATGTGAAGACAGAGACACACAGAGGGGGCACCATGTAACAACAGAGGCAGAGAAGGGAGTGATTAGCAAACAGTGATTCACCCACTAAGGAATGCCAAGGGTTCATGGACACCACCAGAAGGCAGGAAGAGGCAAGGAAGTTTTCTATCCAGAGGAAGGTCTCAGAGGGAGCATGGCCCAGCTAACACCTTGATTCCAGACTTCTAGTCTGAAGAACTGTGAAAGAATAACTTTCTGTTGTTTCAAGCCACCTACTTTGTGGTACCTTGTTACGGCATCCTAGGAAACTAACCTGATGACACAGAATCAAGCCTTGCACATTACTGTTCAATGTAATACCAACTTCACCTGGGTCCCCTGGCTATATTTCTTTTCCAGGGCAGAGAAATGGAGAAATGAGCTATGTGAATGAGGTCAAAGACAATGCAAAGTTCTGTAGCTGACTGAGACCTAAAGAGAGGCAGTTAGTGCTTCTTCAGCACCACATCTTGAAATATAGTTTCCATTTGCATATGAGAGACAGAAAGAGAGAGAGACAGACAGACAGAGAGAGAGGGGGATCTGATCTATGAAATTAGAGTAAGTGTAGACCATGGCAAATGAGCCAGGAGAGCAATGAGAATATGTTTTGGGTTCTGCCACACCTGTGAGTAACAAGGAGCCTTTATAAAATGAGGGTTGTCACTCAGAACTGGGCAAACACAAAGGCCAGCACATCATGGCTTCTTTTTTATTATTACTAGGAAACATTCTAGACATTTAAACAAGTATAGAAAATAATGTAACAAGCATGTATGTGTCTCATACTCAGCTTAAGAAATAAAAGGATAATTTGTTTCCTGTTTTTTCTCACCCTGATCCTCTTCCTCCATCCCCAAAAGTGACCATTTTGGGGAGGCAGTCCTTCATAGGTTCTTTTGATTTCTGCACATCTTACAGGAAGGCACCAACTGAAGTTTTTTAAATGCTATCATTTCAAGGATATTTGCATAGCAAACAGCCTCAGAAAGCAAACAATGTCTCCTCGTGGAGTAAAGGAAAGACAGACTTACTGCCTGTTATGAAAGACTTGGGTTTTCTAAGCTCAGGGTTCCTCTCCTGTAGTGCAACACCCTGCATATAGGTAGGTATCCATCTGGACCCATCCATGTCACCTTCATAGTACTTGGGGACCAGAAGAAGTGAAGCTAATGCTGCTTACCCTAATAAGAGTCATTAAATTGTTTGTTTCCAACCCAGGAGACTTGTGTCTTCTCCCAGTATCGATGACGCTGTGGCAAAGGGGTAAAGTCTCAGATCCTTCCAAGTTCTTGAAATCCATTATTTTAAATTTGATGTTTATCATTTCTGAGTATATATATTTTACTGAAGATGTACAAATAAAAATACTGTATTGTTTTCCTTGTTTACAAAGTTAAATAAATGAGAAAATTAAGTATGTTTCCTTCAGCAACCTGCTCCTCTCAATTTATCTTCTTGAGATTTATCCATACTGATCCACATTTCAGTTCATTTACTTTTAACCACTGTGTAGCATTTCATTGCATGAATATAATTTATCTCTTCATACTTCTATTATTTAATTTGGTTGTCATTCAGGTTGTTTCCAAATTTTATTGTTGCAACCAATGCTTGCAGTGAACATTCTTGTTTATGACTCCTTGTACATATGCAAGAATTTTCTTGTGCCTAAACTTAGTCATGGAAATGCTTAAATGTAATGTGAACTCATCTTCAACTGTAGTAGATATTGGCAACTTGCTGACTGAAGTCATTGCACCAACTAACATTTTCATTAGCAATATGCAAATTTCTATTTCTCTACATGTTGCAAACATGGTATTGTCAATACCTGTGAGGCTTTACCTTTCTGATGAGTGTAAGTGCTGAATATCTTTTTACAGGTTCTTTGGTCATTCTTTTTATTTATTTTTTTTTTTTTTTATTTTTTGAGACAGGGTTTTCACTCCCATTGCCCAGGCTGCAGTGTAGTGGCCCAATCTGGGCTCACTGCAACCTCTGCATCCTGGGCTCAAACAATGCTCCTGCCTCAGCCTTCTGAGTGGCTGGGACTACAGGAGCACGCCACTACACCCAGCTAATTTTTGTATTTTTTAAATAGAGACAGAGGTTTTACCATGTTGCTTAGGCTGGTTTCGAACTCCTGAGCTCAAGGGTTCCACACAACTCAGCCTCCCAAAGTGCTGGGATTACAGGCGTGAGCTACCACACCTGGCCTGGTCATTCTGTTTATATCCTTAACCCACTTTTTCCATTGGTGGTGGTTTTTTTCTTATGCGTTTTAAGGGTCCTTATATATTCAAGATACTGATATTTTGTCTGTTTTACATGTACAAACATCCCTAGTCTGTGGCTTGTCTCTTCCCCTCCTGTATGGTGTTTATATAGCTTCTTCATTTCATAGTAGAATAATAGATGATCCAGAGTTGGGTACAGTGGAGCCAAAGATTCAAAATAGTGATGGCAGCATATTCTGACCAAGCATTGCATGGGGATTGGAGCACAGGCTTGGGTTCTAGTCATGATTGTTCCATCGCTGAGTATCCTTGGAGAGGTGCCATCATGTCTATCTCAGGCTCCTCCTCTGTACGTGGGATGGTTGGAGTAGATGGTCTCCCTAAGCGCCTTCCCAGATGTAAGGTTTTCTAACACTACGAGTGGAGGTCTTATGCATCAAGCAGGCAATGGCAGGACCTATGTGGAAGAGCCCAACTTGTAGGAAGCCTGTGCTGCTTCCCTGATTCCCCCTGGGGGTAATCACGTTGTCCTCTGTGTACCCACAGTACTTGCTCAAATTGCTACCATCATACTCATCACATTATGCAGTTATTGGTGCTTTTTCCATTTGTCTTTCTGACTAGATTGCGAGCCTCCTCGAGGGCACAGTTGCCTTTAGAATATCCCCAGCACCTCCCACAGCTCCTGACTCAGGGCAAATCCTCAGTAAATGTTTGATGGATGAGAGTGGGAGCATGGGAAAGATGGGAGGGAGGGAGCGAGGAGGAGCTGTAGAGGTACACCCAGCGAACACAACCAAACACAGCACAGTTACTCAAACAGTTAAACATTTGAAAAAAGGACCATCAGCAGATACTGTTGTAGCTGTTTTACAAGTGGAGTCAGTTTTCCAAGATCATACGGGAAAACAGTGGTGTATTGAATAATGGAAATCAATAATCTCTGATTCTTAATCTAATATTCCAAATAATAGAGGCTATAGTCTCATTATTTTAGCAAAAATAAACTAGATTTTTGAATTGAATTCATTTCCATTCTTTTATGGAACAGAAATATATTCCTTATAATTTTGAACCTTTCCCTACTGACATGCTGAAAGATTGAAAAGAGAGTCTCTAAGCTTTAAGACCTTTCATAACTGTGATCTATATAATATCAGAGATGGAAGTACTTAAATAAATCTCTCTTAGCTAGCTATAATTCAATTTCCTGCTTGTAGTAAACACAGGAAACAGACAAGATTTATGCAATAAAAGTGTTCTTGTTGTCATGACAACAGGAAAAAGCAACAAGAGGAAAAATCTTAGCTCTTAGGAATGGCCTTTCACAAGGTGTCAGGGCCCATTAAGCATGGTCAATACCCTGTCCTTCATTTAGTTTTGCCTTTACACAGCTTTCTTCGCTGCTGCAAATGTGATCCAATTTTCTCAGCTGCATATTAGCCTCAGGAAAGGCAAAGCAAATTTTGATCAGGGCTCTTTATCCTTTCCTGGGGGTAATCCACTATCTGTTCATCTTGAAAAACTGCCCAATGTCTTCTATCTCCTACTCTAATATATTTTTCGCAATTTATTATGCCAGTATCTCTGAGTTTGTTTTTATTATGACTAGTAAGAACATTATTAAATAATACAAAGGTAAGTGGATTGCGAAAGCCAGGCCAGGAATAAAATGAGGATGTGGAGATGAACAGTGAAGTGGGGTAATCATGGCAGTGATACATCTGTTCTGCCAGCCCAGTGTCAGCCTCAAGAAACACCAGCTTCCAGACCAACTCTAACATTAGTGATCTCATGGATGTACATCTCAGAATAATGGGCAGTTGGCGAGTTGCTGACAAATGGAGTTATCCATTAGATGGTTTCTTTGGAACTATCCTTCCCAAAGTCTAGTCCCCATCCATGTACATCAGAATCCCCCAGCAGCTTGCTAAAAATTTATATTTTTAAGTTCTATTCTTGATCTGCCAAGTCAGAAACGCTGGGGGTTGACTTGAGGGATTTGCTTTGCTAAAAAGCACACTAAAATTTGAAAATCTTTGCCTTAGATCAAAGTGTGAAAAAAAGATGGAAGGAAATCCCATCTGACATTAAGTACTTAAGAAGGGAGGAGGAGGTTGCATCTTAGGTGAAAAAAGGGAGGCAGACAAACTCCTTAGGTTTTATCTCAGTTCTGACTGCTATAGCTTTTAAGCCAGACCAAAGTGTGCTCTAAAAACACATGCTATATAATGCTGGTGAGTGTCTGTATTACAGCCTCAAAAGTGAGTCTGCTTCTAAGCTAATGCATTCTGCCAGGCACCAAGGATGCCAAAGATGAAGTCTGCAGCTTCCTAGAAGAGCCAGGCAGGTAAACTAGCAGTTTAAATATCATGTGGTCCACAATGAGATGCAACTTTACACCCACTAGGATGGCTATATTCAAAAAAAAAAGATAGTGACAAGTGTTGGCAAGGATGTAGAGAAACTGGAGCCCTTATATATTGCTTGCTAGGTAAATTACTGGAATGTAAAATGATGTAACTCTTTGGAAAACATTTTGGTAGTTCCACAAAAAGTGAAACATAGAGTTACCATGTCTCCCAGCAATTCTACTCATAGGCATATGCCCAAAAGAATTGAAAATATACATTCATACAAAAATTTGTATACAAATGTTCACAGCAACATTGTTTATAATAGCTAAAAAGTTAAAACAACCCAAATGTCCATCAACTGAAGAATGGATAAACAGGATGTGGTATGTGCATGCAATGTAATATTATTTAGTAATAAAAAGGAATGAAGTACTGATACATGCTACAACATGAATGAACCTTCAAAACATTATGCTAAGGAAATAAGCTGGATAGAGAAGGATACATTATTCCATTTATTTGAAATATAGGCAAATCCATAAAGACAGAAATAAGGTTAGTGGTTTCCAGGGACTGGGGGAAGGAAGGAATGAGGAGTGACTGCCAATGAGTACAGGTTTCTTTTCGGGGTGAGAAAAATATTAGAATTAGACATTGGTGATGGTCCCACAACTTGGTGAATATATTAAAAACTACTGAATTATGCACTTTAAAAGAATGAATTGTGTGATGTATGAATTATATTTCAATTTAAGTGATAAAAGAAATGGCCAAGAAAAAGTAATAAAGTTGACTACATTTTTAGGTTGCTATATGTGGTAGAGATACCATATAGAGGTAATCAGAGGCCACACAGCACACCCGCAAAAGGGAGGGACACCACTTATTTAGTGGGGTAGGAAAATGTTAGGGAAGACTTCCCAAAGGAAGACTTTAAGAATGAGCAAGATATCCAAGGCCAGTCAACACTGGGGACATAACCCTTTTGAGAAACAGTAATTGGACATGACAAGACAGTGGATCTGTTGGTAGGCAAAGAAACTAGAGACGAAGGCACAGAAGACATCAAGAAGAGGCTTGAGGGATTCAACTCCGTGGAGAAAAGGCGAACTTTTAAGTAAGTGATGTTGGGATAACTGGAGAGCCAAATGAAGCAAAGACAAAATTGCAATCACTCCTTATACCACATATGAGTATTGATTGCAAACGGATTAGAGGTTTAAATAATTTTTTTAGGATGAAACCATAAAATACTAAAAGAAAATAGGAGCAAATTCTTCAGTAACCAGGAATGGTGAAAACTTCCTTGACTATGACTCAAAATTCAGGAAAAAGATTGAGAAATTTGACGACTTGAATCTAATGAAGCCTCTAGATCTAACTACCAGTTTGCAGGCAATACAGGAGATCAACAAAACCTGTTCAATGACACTGCGGGGTGCAATCCGTAAAATCCGGAACGTGGGTTCTTCTACAGATTTGTATTGCTGTTTTGTGAGCTGCTTTCTTTAACAAACAAGTGTTCCCAAAAAGGAGAGAGAAGTACCCTTTACATTAAAAGAGACTCAAAAGACATATGAACCAAATACAATGTATGGGTCTTGTTTGTGCCCAATTTTTTTTAACTGGAAAAAAATTTTGAAACAATTGAAAAAATTCAAACACTATGTGGATGTTAGTAATTTTTAGGATTATTAATTTTATCAAGTGGCATAATGGTGTTGTATTTAAGTTCAAAAGAGAAGGCTTCGTGACTTAGAGATATAGACTGAACTGTGGTGCAGATAAATGATACGATCTTTGGTGTGTACTTCTTTTTCTTTTTTTTTTGTTTTGTTTTTTTGAGATGGAGTTTCACTCTTTGTTGCCCAGGCTGGAATGCAATGGCATGATCTCAGCTCACCGCAACCTCTGCCTCCTGGGTTCAAGCGATTCTCCTGCCTCAGCCTCCCGAGTAGCTGTGATTACGGGCATGCGCCACCACGCCCAGCTAATTTTGTACTTTTAATAAAGACTGGGTATCTCCATGTTGGTCAGGCTGGTCTCAAACTCAGGTGATCCACCCACCTCGGCCTCCGAAAGTGCTGGGATTACAGGCGTGAGCCGCCGTGCCTGGCCTGGTGTGTACTTTCAAATAATCCAGTGGTGGGGGTGTATGGGAAATAGGAGGTATAAATGAAATAAAATACATTTGTTAACAATTATTAAAACTGGATGATAAGTACATGAGCACTCATTATATTATTCTTGTTACTTTGGGGTAAATCTGAAAATTCTTCAGAGCCACTGAAGGCTTTTTCAACAGGGGAATGAGGAATGACAGATGAAACTGCCCTTCTAGCAAGTACAGCCCTGGAGTCGGAAGACTAGACAGCGGGCTGCCAAGGAGGGTCACTGTGATGCAGGACTGAGCTATGAGAGTGTCACTGGGGGCGGAGGGGAGGATCTGGGTGTGAACAGTATTAAGGAGATAGAAGCAAAGGAGCTAAAGAAGCAGGAATCAAGGATGAATCTCCAGTTTCAGGCTTACATGAATGGCTGCATGGTGGGGCCATTCAACATTCAAGGGAATTCAGAAGAAATTAAAGTTAGGAGTGAAGGGAGTGATCAATTCCATTTCAGACGCTTTGAGTGTGAGGTGCCTGTGGAAGACTCAGAGCTCGAGAAAGAGATCTCGCTAGAGATATGGTGGCAATTTTCAGCTGCAGCATAATTTCCATGGAAACATGTAGAGTGTAGGCACAAGAAAACTCTCCCTTCAGGGCAAGCACTTCCTATCAAATTAGTAAGTTACTCTTGGGCTATTTTAACATTTAAAAAGCAATGCAGTGGCTTAAGGAAAATGATATGAGAACCAAATGGCAATATATGACATCTATGCTATTCTGTTTCCTCCTAATTTCCATTTTGAATGTGCGATAGATCATTAGGGCTTAATTGCAGGATTTTCTTGTTTCATTTTCTTTCTCCTAATAAAGAAGTTTTCAAGAGAATACTAAGGCATTAGAAAAACAAAATCTCATGTGGAAGATTAAATTTTGTTGTTGTTGTTGTTGTTGCTTTTACCCTATCTCTCTTCTATTTTGTTCTCTTACATGTTGCCTATGGTATTATAAGAATTGAAAGAAGGCCAGGCGCAGTGGCTCACACCTGTAATCCCAGCACTTTGGGAGGCTGAGGCGGGCAGATCACTGGAGGTCAGCAGTTCGAGACCAGCCTGGCCAACATGGTGAAACCCCATCTCTACTAAAAATACAAAAATTAGCCAGGCATGGTGGTGCACACCTGTAATCCCAGCTACTTGGGAGGCTGAGGCACGAGGATTCCTTGAACCTGGGAGGTTGCAGTGAGCCAAGATCATGCCACTGCACTCCAGCCTAGGCAGCAGAGGGAGACTCTGTCTCAAGAAAGAAAAAAAAAGAGAGAGAGGAAGAAAACACCAACACTATCTAAATCCAAAGTTACATTCACTTTCCTGTCTTTAAAATAACCATAATAGGGTTAAATTATTGGGTTGATATGTGTGTATTCAGAAAGACCCATAGTGTTACTGATATAAAAAAGCATTTTGTGTCAAGGATTGATTTATACCTTAGAGCAAGGGAAAGAGAAGATTACTCAGCCCTGTGATGTCTGTTCTGGGGAAGCGTCATGATTTATTGTTGGTGGGAACATCAGGCCATCTGTTAGGCTTTAATAAAATGTGGTCATAACATTTTGATTTGAAACACAGAATGATTTACCAACCCAAAATTGAAGTTTTTCAGCAATTGAAGTTCTCATGGGATTTGTTTTTGAGGGAGGGTGGCTTTGTGTGTGTTGTTTTATTTTTAGATATTTGTATCTTTAGCATTTATATTCAAATAAGAAGAAAAGCACATCCGTATCCTTCTTTTTCTGTTCTGGGTTCATTCTCAAAATCTTGTGTTGCCTGCTCCGTTCAAACTCCTCAGCTTGCTGTTTGAAGACTTTATAATTTGGTCTCATCTAAAATTAACTGAATCAGAATTTTGGCAGGTTGGATTTAGGCATCATTTTAAAAAATTCTCCCCACGCAATTTCAATGTGCAATCAAGGTTGAGACCCACTCTGGTTACAATATGAATGAGGAGAAACAACTGGGGCATTTGGATTACCTATCATGAGAAGCAAATATCAGAAATTAAAGTGTTTCTGAGCCTCACATGGCAACTATGGTGTGTGTGTTTGTGTGTGTTTGTGTGTGTGTGTGTGTGTGTGTGTGTTTGCATGTGTGCATGTGCACGTTTTGCATTACCTCTTTCTACCCTGCCATGCAGGTGACAGCCGTGAGGGTGTATGTGAACAGTTCCTCTGAGAATCTCAACTACCCGGTCCTTGTTGTGGTTCGCCAGCAGAAAGAGGTGCTGTCCTGGCAGGTTCCTCTGCTCTTCCAAGGACTGTAAGTGGGTTTTCTTCCAGGCAACTTCACTATGTTTAGTTTTCTTCAATGTCCTAGAACTTAATTGGTCTTTTCCCTATTGAAAGGAAAAATCAGACATTTGGAATGTCAAGACATTCTGCATACGGGGTGCAAATAATGATCATGGTGCATGCCCTGACCTGTTCGCTCTGTTCAATTATTAGATGAGCACTCTACCTAGATTGGCCACACCTAGAAGAGCTTTTACCATTTTAAAAACATACCGTGATCCTCTGTAGCTTTGGGGTACTGGGTCAACCAATAGCCCTCCAATGGGCTATGTCTAGCAGTTAACATAAGTGAGTAACTCTTCCCTTGTTCTTCAAAATGCCCATCGTGTGTTTGCATTCTTCATTCAATAATATTTATTGAGCCCTATTAAGTGTTGGGTGCTGGAGACACAGCAGTGGAAAAACAACAAAGTGCCTGCCCTCCTCGAGTTTCTATTTTTTCAGGGGAGAAGTGTATAAGATACTACTGCACTAATAAAAAAAACTTGGAAGGCATGCAAAATGGACACATAACATTCTTTTTAAAGGTTGAAGAACTCGAGGACTGAAATACTAACTCTGTTAGCTTTGACTTGGACTCAGGGCTTTCTTTACTCTCTACTTTAGCAGTAGCTTGAAGAGATGAAAATGGAATCAGCTGGTTGTTTTATCATGACAGTTTCCCCATCAAATTGGATATTTATTCCTCATTGAATTAGGAGAATGGCTTAGCGTAATGTAGATACCGCTTAAGTGAACTAGTCAGCACAGAACAGTCCTCACATCCCTGTTATTATATCATACAACCCAATGCCAACAACACTAGTTCTAAAATTACTATTGATAGTTCCAGTCTAAAATTCAAAACATAAGGACCTGAAAATGAATTTGGAGAGAAGCAAAATGAGATAGGCTCCTTTCCCTGCTCATTCACTGAGTCCCTTTCTTGTCCTTGTTTATTTTTTTCCCCTATATTGGCTGCTTCAGATACCAGAGGAGCTACAACTATCAAGAAGTGAGCCGCACCTTATGTCCCTCAGAAGCAACCAATGAGACGGGACCCTTGCAGCAACTGATATTTGTAGATGTCGCATCCATGGCACCCCTGGGTGCTCAGTACAAACTGCTAGTTACCAAGCTGAAGCACTTCCAGCTCCGGTAAGCGGGACTTTCTCTGTTTACCTGTCTGTGTTTCCTGTGCTTGTGGATGCTCAATTCATCTTCCATCCTTACAGACTGGTACTCTGGAAGGAAATTATCCACTTAGCATATGATTTTAGCACTTCCTGAACTCTCCTGCCCATAACTGAGCAGCAGGGCCTTAATCTATACAAAAGAGTGGGAGTGCAGAAGGTAAGAGTGGTTGACCTCACAGGTGAATCTGTTTTCAGGGATCAGTGTGAGGAACCTGTCCAGCCTGAAGTATAGGCAAGAATGACTGGTGACTAAATACTTTTGTATTCCCAACCAGTGCCACACTCTTGAAGGAAGTTTTATTTTAGTTCTAGGGAAGACATTAAGCTATTTTTCTTGTCCTTATTATTACTCCTGTTTTCTCCTTCCAGGTTAGTAACATAGGTAGGAATGTGGCTTTGTCCTTTCTTGGTGTGACTAGTATTATTTTCCCCCTGTTTTTAAAAAACTAAAATAAACAGGCAAGCTCATCAAAAAAATAATCATGAGATTTGGACACTTCACTAAAGAAGCTACCCAAATAGTCAAAAAAACACAACCTCATTAGCTATAAGAAATGTAAATTAAGGCCGGGTGTGGTGGCTCACTCCTGTAATCCTAGCACTTTGGGAGGCCGAGGAGGTGGATCACGAGGTCAGGAGATCGAGACCATCCTGGCTAACACAGTGAAACCCCATCTCTACTAAAAATACAAAAAATTAGCCAGGCACGGTGGCGGGCACCTGTAATCCCAGCTACTCGGGAGGCTGAGGCAGGAGAATGGCATGAACCTGGGAGGCGGAGCTTGCAGTGAGCCGAGATCGCGCCACTGCACCCCAGCCTGGGCAACACAGCAAGACTCTGTCTCAAAAAAAAAAAAGAAAAGAAAAGAAAAGAAAAGAAAAAAAACAGAAATGTAAATTAAAACCATAATGTGATTCCATTACAACTACCAAATTGCTATAATTTGAAAGGCCTACATTCCACTCCTTTGATGTATACCCAACTCCTAGATATCTCATTGTGGTATTCATTCAGTGGGATACTACACAAAAATAACAATGAACAAACTATTGCTATACCCAACAACATGGATACATCTCACAATGTTGAGAAAAAGAAGCCAGGCCAGGTGCGGTGGCTCACGCCTGTGATCCCAGCACTTTGGGAGGCCACAGCAGGTGGATCACCTGAGGTCAGGAGAGCGAGACCAGCCTGACCAACATGGTGAAACCCCTCTGTGCTAGAAATACAAAAAAAAAAAATTAGCTGGGCATGGTGGCAGGCGCCTGTTGTCCCAGCTAATCCGGAGGCTGAGGCAGGAGAATGCTTGAGCCTGGGAGGTGGAGGTTGCAGTGAGCCGAGATCATGCCAATGCACTCCAGCCTGGGTGAAGGAGTGAGACTCCCTCTCAAAAAAAAAAAAAAAAAAAAAGGAAGCCAGACAAAAGAAATGTATGCTATTTTATTCCATTTATATAAAATTTAAAGGCAGGCAAAACTATTCTGTGATGCTGGAAGTCAGAATAGTGGTACCTTTGGGGAGGAGAGAAGTACATGGCTATGTTTGACGATAATTTATTCAAATATATGCTTATAACTGCACACTTTTCTATAATACATGTTTGTTATATTTCAATTAAAAAGTTAATTTTTTAAAAAATCGGAATATTTCAAAATCGTATATGTCACTGTTTTGCAGCTTATTTTTCTGATCAGAAAGTTTGGTTCTACAGTAAAGTTCTCCTTAAATTTAAGGCAGTTTATAAAAACATCTGTAGCCAGTAGAGTTGCTAATAGGACTCAAATATTTATCTTGGTCCTCTCTACCCTCCTTGACATAGTGTTATACCCATACGGAAACGTGGACAGATAAATGAATGAGTGGTCAGAAGGATGGAGAAGGAGTCACAGCATTTTTTCTCAAGTCCCTCCATTAATCCTGGTGTTGAAAAAGGTGACATGATAATTTTAAGAGCAAAGGACACTCTATCCTCCACAAGAACAAGGAGAAAAAGATTCTCTGGTGAATAAGATCCACCCAGAGCAATTAAATCAGAGGCTGTAGGGGAGAGGTTTGGGCACTGGTAAAGTGTTTAAAGTTCCCCAGGTGTTTCTAACATGCAGCCAGTGTTGCGAACCACTACCCTAAAATGATTTCTAAATATGGTGCTTCAGTTTAATTTAATATATATTTTTTGAGACCGAGTCTTGCTGTATCACCAGGCTGGAGTGCAATGGCATGATCTTGGTTCACTGCAACCTCCACCTCCTGGGTTCAAGCGATTCTTGTGCCTCAGCCTCCCAAGTAGCTGGGATTACAGGTGTGTGCCACCATGCCCGGCTAATTTTTGTATTTTTAGTAGAGACGGATTTGACCATGTTGCCCAGACTGGTCTCGAACCCCTGGGCTCAAGCGATCCACCCGCCTCGGCCTCCCAAAGTGCTGGTATTACAGGCATGAGCAACTGTGCCTGGCCTAATTTAATAATTTAAAAATCTACTTGTGATATTTATCCATATGGGAATACACATTTGATGGGAGTTACACATTTGATGGGAGTGATAACGTGTTACAGTACTTGCACAGAGTGCAGTTTGAACTGCAGAGAAGCCTTGCCTTTATCAACTGATCTCTGTCTTTAATCAATCAATCAAGTGTCACCTGGTAGCAGTGGCAGTGTCACTTGGTGGTAGCATATTTGAATTGTAGGAATGGTCTTCTGTAAGGTTATTAGAACCTTTTGAGAACTGAATTCTGTGAAAATAAAGTCATAAGGTCACAACTGTAGCGAGTGTTAATGAATTATTTGCACGCTGGTGAAACTGCAAATCTATTCCCTCATGTTGCTTTCTGTTTTTACCTCATAATATGACTTAGCCTCAGCAACCAGACTTTAAGAGCATTTCAAAATCACTATTTACACACCAGCCTTGCTGGTAACCTGGAACCAGAGGATGATGGTAATGAGGAAGAGCTGAGGATTGTGATGAGAACTGGGCTCAGGCATTGAGAGAAACACTGAAGAAGTAATTCGAAATCTCTAAGATTGAAGTTTCTATTGTATGTTTTTGAGTGGCAGCCTATAATGTATATGGAACACATTTTGGGAACTTTTTTCCCCTAGAATCATACATTTTAAGAACTGAAGGATCTTTGGGAATCTAATCCACCTGCCTCATTTTTACAGATGAGCAAACTGATGCCCAGAGAAGTTAAGTGACTTGTTCAAATTCACACAGCTAGGAAAGGGCAAAATCAAGACTAAATTGTACTTCTGACTCCCAGTTCTGCGCTCTTCTCGCCATAATGAACTATTTCTACTTTCTAGTTAAAACTGTCCTCCCAATTGTTTGTGTTTCTCTAAATATGTCTCTCAATTCCATGAAACATTTATTTAAATCCAACTTTACTAGCAGAGCACAGTGGCTCCCGCCTGTAATTCCAGCTACTCAGGAGGCTGAGGCAGGAGGATGACTTAAGGCCAGGAGTTCAAGACTGGCCTAGGCAACATAGTCTCTAAAAAAATAAAAACCAAAAAAATTAGCCAGACATGATGGTGTGTGCCTGTAGATCCAGTTACTCAGGAGGTTGAGGCAAGAGGACTGATTGAGCCCAGGAGTTTGTGCTGCTGTGAGCCATGATTGTGCCACTGCACTCTAGGCTGAGCAACAAAATGAGACCCCATCTCTGCAAAATTCCTTTAAAATTGAAACAACTCTACTTTAAAGCATTGCTTGGTGCCATCTACCTATCCTCTGCACACACACACACACACACACACATAAACTGTGCCACTACTCTTTTTCTACACTCCAGTGCCCAGGTGTTTAGTATTGCTAGAGTGTGAAATTGCAGGCAGGCAACAGCAGATGGCTACAGAAACAGGCAAGCCTGTGATCATGGCATAGGAGGATCTTAAGAAGGGGCATTAGGAAATTTAAACGTCTGTAATCCCAGCACTTTGGGAGACCAAGGCGGGCAGATCACCTGAGGTCAGGAGTTCAAGACAAACCTGGCCAATATGGTGAAACTCCGTCTCTACTAAAAAATTCAAAAACTAGCTGGGCATGGTGGTGCACACCTGTAATCCCAGCTACCTGGGGGGCTGAGGCAGGAGAATCACTTGAACCCAGGAGGCAGAGGTTTCAGTGAGCTGAGATTGCACCACTGTACTCCAGCCTGGGCCATAGAGCAAGACTCCGTCTCACACACACACAAAAAAAATTAAACAGTTGTCTATATTGTGATAGTTGTGTGGAGAATGGATTTGAAGAGGACAAAACAGGATGCAGAGAAGTTAGAAGGCTGATGCAGTAGTCAAGATAAATAATGAGGAGGTGAATTGAAATATTAGGAGAGGTGAAATTGCTGAAATTTTATTAGATATGAGGGGAAAAAGAAAAGAGAGAGTCAATAATGCCAGTGTAGCTTGTAGATGGTGGGGCCACTAAGAGAAAATGAGAATTTTGATAAGAAAAAGAACAGATGATAACTTCACTTTGGGACAGGTTGGGTTTGAAATACAGATATCTGGCAAAGTGATGGATGTATACTAACATGACACTTAGGGGAGAGCTCTGAGTTACAGTTAGGCAGACTAGTGCAGTCTTCAGGAACACATCAAGAAGCCTGGTCCACATGATGCCTGGGCAAGACAGGGTTACAGGAGATAGGGCTGGAGAAACAGGCAGTGCCCAACTTTGATCTTTAAGATGTTGGATGCTAGACTATGGAGTAGAACTTCGTCTTTCAGATTATGGGAGCCATTAAAGGATTGTGAGCAACAGGATAGCATTCAGAGATCTGATTTCTAGAGATGACATGAGTGGCAGTGTGGAAGAGGAATTACAGAGATGAAAGATGAGGGACAAACAGGCAAATGAAAAGTTATCTGAATGGAGAAGAAAGAAAAATGATTAGAACTTGAATGTGTATGGCAGCAACAAGGTTGTAAGGGAGAAAACGAGTCAAATAGTACACATGGAGATAATTCATAATTCAGCAAATATATGTGGCAGAATAAAATTTATAGTCCTCCATGAATACTTGCAGCCTTCAGCCCTCCTCTAGCCTTCTAAGTAGGGATCTTGAGTCTGTTTTAAGAGGAGAGAGTGTGTGAGTGAGATAGCTCAGCTACTATGCTGTGAAAAGTAATAGATTTTTTGAAGAAATGGGTGGATAAGAGAATTTTAGACCATTTTGCTATGTGTCATACTATATAATTACCTTTGGTATTTTGGAGGAGACTACAATAAAGATTTACATTCCTTTTTTTTTTTTTCTCTCTTAATGATGCTGTACTGAGCAAACATGGTGCTCCAGGTGGTGGCAGGTTACTTTTACACTAATAGAATGAGTAGGACCTGGTGATTAATCAAATGTGGAAAGCGATAGAAAGGGGGTAGTCCAACATGACTCCTACAGTGATGTCAGAAGTCTGGTGAGGTTTACTGACAAAGGGACATAGTAGGTCAGGATCAGGGAAGTGACAGCACATTCCCTTTTATCATGTGGAGTTTGAGGTGTTCAAGGGATGGTCAAGTGCAGAAGCCCAGCAGGGGATCACTATTCTGTGACTGGGGCTCAGGAGATGGCCCTGGGCTGGACACAGGGACTTGAGATTCACTGGCATTATTGTGGTATTTACAGCAGCTGGATACACATTGTAAAACGAGTTGATCAAGAACAAGGCTGTGGGTAACATTCTCATTTAAGGGATGATCTGAGAAACTGAAGCTATCATAAGGGGCTGAGTAGACACAGCCAGAGGTGTGGGAGAAATCCCTGGGGGTTAAGTCACTGGATTTAGCGATTAGATAGTGCTATGGTCTCAATGTTTACTTTCCCCAAAATTCATATTGAAATCTCCACAGTGATGGTACTTGGAGGTGGGGCCTTTGGGAGATGATTAGGTCGTGAGAGTGGAGCCCTTGTGAATGGGATTAATACCTTTATGAAAGAGTCCCCAGAAAGGCCCTCTGTCCTTTACACCACATGAGGATGCAGTGAGAAGGCACCATCTATGAGGAAGCAGGCTCTCATCAGACACCTTGATCTTGAACCTGCTAGCCTGTAAAACTGTAAGAAATAATAGATTTCCATTCTTTATAAGTCACCGAGTTGACAGTATTTTTGTTATAGCTGCCTGAATAGGCTAAGACAGGAGGTGACTCTTACCCTTAGCAAAGGAAATTTCAAGGGCGTGGTGGAGAAAGAATCCTGATAGCAGTGGGTGGAGGAAAGAATGAAAGAGAGATAAACATGGAATACTCCTAGAAGCAGCTGGTTTGTGAAGAGAGGAAGGACATAGGATGACATTAAAGGATGGCGATCCAGGGAAAAGGGAGGCATTTGGGTGGGGTGTTTGTTATTTGTTTTGAAAATGGTTGAGACTAGAATATATTTATAAACAAAGAGGTAGAAAGGCAGATTAAATTCATAGGAGAGTTGGATATTTGTAGATGCAAAGTGCCAGAGAATGATAGAAAGAATGAGAATTAAGTACATGAGTGCGGAGTTTATACTTAGACCAGAGGAATGAAGGGCAGACAGTTCCCAATGACAAGAAGGTCGGTGGGAAAGCTACAGTCCTGAAGGGAGTTCATAGCAGATGGCAGAAGGAGATAACAGGGAATGATATTCTGAAGTTCATAGTTCAAGTGAATAATAGGATATCATTTCCTTCAACAAACAAAGGAGGGGCTTTGAATGCACACTGTGCTCTGTGCTAGGGGCTTGTTAATCAAGATGAGTAAGGTGCTGTGAATCTCACAGTCCTCTCTGGTGCTCACCTCAAAAACTACTGAAAGTTTGTCCTGCCTCTCTTTCTATGTAGTCTTTTGTCCCATCCCTTTTCTTTTTCTTCTACTTGATTACTCTCCTCTCTGTATTTCTTCTCCCTCTCTCTACCCCCGACCCATGGGCCCCTTTCTGCCTCTTCTCCTGACTCCCCTATCTGCACCCCCATCTCTCAAGTCCATGGGTTTCTTCTCCCTTCTCCCTTTTCTTGAAATAGCCAGCACAAGGAAACAAAATTGTTTTTTAGCCTCTTATGTTTAACAAATAAACATAACATAAACATGTTAAAATGTGTTTAATTTTTAAAACAAATCAGTTGAAATTTTTATACTTCTTTCTCTAAAACTAACAATCCATGAGCTTCAGTTAGCTTTGTTCTGTTGTCAATGACCCCTAACAAAATAAACCCTCCCCACCTCTGTTAGGGTTCATGTGGAAGGAAGCAGAATATTTCATCTGCAACAGATACAATGTTTATTTTGCACATACTGCCGACTCCATGAGAAAGAGAGGACATAAATGGTAGTCTTAAACACAGTAACATGTTTTACAAGTTTGCATGCATTGTACTAGCAAATAAAACATAAAGAACAAGAAAAAACAGAAAGTGAATATCAAATCTTCATACATTTAGTATTATGACTGAAACTCAAATGATGGGGAAAATTAAAATCTCTGGCAAAAAAATATGGGTTTCTTCTGCAAATTTCATGCTGTCATGAGGAACCGATGGACTTGAAAGATCAGGGTGCAGACAAGAGAGTAAGGAGAAGTCATGTCGCCAGCCAAGAAAATCATGTCTTCTTTGTTCTCTGATCTGGCAACAAAGAATTGAAGGTCTCATGTTGCCCTGGTAACACCGGGAGACACTCCCAGACTGCTGAAAGGGCTCTACCCAGCCCACACAAAGTGTCACAGGTCCAAACTCTGGCCAAGGACTCTCTGGAGCAGAAACATAACTGGGTTTGACACTCACTTTAGCTTCTTTAGGCGACTTAAGGACAGAAGTTTTCAGTTCTGCTTCAGAAGAACCAATCCTCAACATTGATTATGATTTCTGTTGCAAGTAGATATATAAAAATTACATCTATTGTTGCGAGCTAAATTCTGAGCCCAGCCTGATGACAGCCTAAATTGTGGTCATTACCTTTATAAATAGTGCTCAAATTTTATGACTTCTAAATAACACCTCTATAATTATACACCTCTTGCTTAAATGTCTTGAAATGTCCTTTCTAAAGAAATCATTACTTTTAAAACAGGTATTTAATTTTTATGAAAGAAAAATTAGAGTGGAAAGAAAAAAATCTTCAGAGAGCCCCAGGGGGTGGAGCTGATGAGAAATCCCAGAAGTTCAAGTTCAGATGCCCAGAAATGCAGGGCACATTGGAGGGGCAGGGGCACGCACTCCCAGGTGCAGCGTTTCAGCAGCCTGGGGATCTGAGACTGCTGTGGACTTGTGTGCATGATCTTCATGGCTAATGATGAGGCAACAGCCAGAAAGAGAAAAAGCCCAAAGTAGTCCTTATAAAACTATAGAGAAGACCACATTTGTCTTTGTGACAAACACTTGAACTGTTTCACAGATGCTCACAGCAGACAGCCCTCTATACTACCAATTTATGCTTCCTAACTCTTCACACTCTCCTTTCTTCAGTGCCTAGATCATTGCTGTCTTACATGGAAGAATGAAAGTATCTAATAATGTAATTCACAGTAAATTACCAATTGAAGAGAAAAAAACCTCATTATATTCTTTTGGTGGTATTTATGTTTTAAAGGAGGGTCTTGGAAGGCAATGCCTAACCTAAACGGAACTAAATCTTGGGGAATTTCAGCCAACGTGGCAGGCAATCGGGGAGCTATTAGGGGATAGTAAGGGCCTGCTTCTGTCCCTAGGCACCATCCCATGTGGTTATCTATTCACTGTGTTTGGTAAAAGGTGACCCATTTTGCCATGGGTCTATCAAAATTATTTTGAAATGTATCTACATTATCCAAAAGGACCTTGAACCTGGGTTTCCCCTCTCTTTCAGCCCACTTCTGTTACCTAAACCCTGTGCTTGATTGTAAAATCAAGCACAAGAGAGTCCCAAGGCAAAAGTGGCTACAAAAGTAAATAAACTACCTTATATAGATATGGCTTCATGGATATTTAAAGATATAAAAATAATAATCCCCTTTCCCAGTTTGGTCATTCTTGAGAGTTGAAACCACCAAGTCCCCATGCAGTCTACTTTGTCAGTTTCACGGAACCGGAACTCCCCTCACCAAGGGTGAAGCTCTCCTTGAGTCTACTTTAAGATGGCTTTCTTTTAAATAAATAATTTTTGCTCACTAACTTATGCTTTTCTCTCACTTTTCCCCTTTCCCTTCTGCCACTTACGTTTCTCAGGACAAATGTTGCCTTTCACTTTACTGCCAGCCCCTCTCAACCTCAGGTAAGTGAAGGGGTTCCAAGAGTTATCAACATCCTACCTGTTGGTGTTGCCTGCCTGTTAGTGAAACCATGTTACCCTGGTAGAGTTAGCGTGTGGTGTTGCCCTTGACCTTTCACAACTTGAAGTATATTTGTATTCCACTTTATTCCTTGTGTTACTGGAATTTTGGACACAATATTTAATCATATCACCTTAATTGGTATAAAATGGGTGGCATGCTATTTGTTTTCAGGTGTTCATTGGTTCAATCCTCACTGAGAAAATCGTGTGCCCACTATGCACCAAGAACATTGTTAGACTGCACCTGGTGCTGGAGGCACAAAGGTTAAGAACGGAGAGACACAACTTCTGCCATTATGAACCTGATAGCTGGGAAGTGGTAGTGGGGATAGGTAGTAAAAGGCTGACACCAAACAGATACACAAATAATTAATTGACCTGGAAATACAACGAAAATAAGACATTTTAATGTTTACAATGTTATAAGTGTAGTAAATTAGTTTCTCCTCTCATAAAGAAAGAGCCAGAATTTTGACAAAAAACATCAGGAGAATTAGATATTTGTGTTGTGCTCTCCATTAAACCATAACCACAAATAGAATAAATACATGAAAACTTGGATTAAGTCAGGCTGTTTTTCTGGTGTCATTTCTAGCTACCTTCCTTTTTTCTTTCATAAGCTTCTGAAGACAAAACTCTATATAATAGCATGTTCGAAACAAGTTTATTTGTTGTACATTTTCTTTAGTCCATAATATAGCTTTGGTCATAAATAGCTACTTAGGTTTTGCTTTGGAGTAGTAAAACTGGGATTAACATGGACTTGTTGTAAATATACTACTGCGGTGCTGGTAAATAGTTAAGAACTGGTTCTCAGAGAGAAAGCCCTGATTTGTAGCATTTGCCCATTTCTGTGGTGTAAATACCTCCACTGTGGCTGATTTTAAGCTCCCATTGTGATGTCACTGAACAGCTGGGAAGTGACTAATGCACAATCAGCTCTCCCAAGCCTGAATGAACCAACTCCAATCCACTTTTAAACTTCCTGTCTGTGAAAGTCTCTGCAACGCATGTATACTGCCACCCAGTGGCAGGAGAGGGCCAAAGGCCCTTAATATACTGCCCTCAATATTTATTGACTATTTAATTTCAAGAAATATTTTAAAAGCACTAATTACTAGGTGCAAAGAGAGAAACCTAAAGTAGAAGGGGAATAGGCCGGGCGCGATGGCTCACGCCTATAATCCCAGCACTTTGGGAGGCTGAGGCGGGCAGATCACGAGGTCAGGAGATCGAGACCATCCTGGCTAACACGGTGAAACGTCGTCTCTACTAAAAAAATACAAAAAATTACCCGGGCATGGTGGCGGGCGCCTGTGGTCCCAGCTACTCGGGAGGCTGAGGCAGGAGAATGGCGTGAACCCGGGAGGCGGAGCTTGCAGTGAGCCAAGATTGAGCCACTGCACTCCAGCCTGGGCGACAGAGCGAGACTCTGTCTCAAAAAAAAAAAAAAAAAGAAGAGGAATAACTTTCACTCTAACTACAGGAACTGTATAGTCTAACAGTCCTGTACAGAGCTATAATAAATATGATATACTGATCAGGTGTGGTGGCTTGCACCTGTAATCCCAACACTTTGGGAGGCTGAGGCAGAAGTATTGCTTGAGGCCAAGAGTTCAAGACCAGCCTGGGCAACATAGCAAGACCCTGTCTCTACAAAAACCTAAAAAATAAAAAATTAGCCGGGTATGGTAGCTTGCATCTGTAGTTTTGACTTCTCAGGAGGCTGAGGCAGAAGGATCACTTGAGCCCAGGAGGTCAAGACTACAGTGATACATGATTGTGCCATTGCACCCTAGCCTGGGTGACAGCGTGAGACCCTATCTCTGAAAAAAAAATTTAAATAATTTGTATTTAAACCCCAAAATGGAGTAAAATATACTTAGAACAAACTAATAAAACAAAACAAGTTCCTTGATATCTACGAAAGGTTTACTTTACTCTTAACTAGTCTCATTTTCACCTATATTTTGTATCCTCTTTGATTACAGGAAATATTTTCTTTTTCTATAAACTCACCCAAACGGTTGCACATTCTCAGATAACCTGTGTCAATCACTGTTTGCCTCTATTCCAGGAGTTAGAAGCAGGTTGCAGAAACTGGGGAGGTAGCCAGGACCCAGATAGTGATTTTTCAGCCTAAATTCCAGCCACTGCTTTGGGTATTTGTCGTTCGCTTCTTTCTGGTAAAGGTAGATTGTCAGGCAGGGGTCAAAAACATTTATTTGGGGTTTATGGTAATTTGCAGATAAAGTTGTTAATACTTTCAGTGGGTGTTTACTGCTTGCACAAAACCAATTACTAGCATATATGGGAACATATATGAGGCTCATTATTGCCAACAGTAATCATAGTAATGCTCTTGAGTTACACAGTATGGGTTTCCTGGGAAACAAGAACACTCTTGGAAATTCCATGCTCCTCATCTTTTGAAGAGCCCTGTATTATATGTATTTGAGTCAAGCTCCAAAATTAAGTGGGTTCTTGGGGGTATTGCCATCTGTTATAAGATGTGAATAGACTTCCAACTGTATCATTAATGACACTCTTTAATTCTGAGATAATTTTTCCCCATCAGAAAGCTTTGGATTATTAAAAAGGATTCCATTTTTATTGTCCTGGTACTCAAAATAGGGTTAGGAGAAAAGATGTTGAAATACAAAGTTAAGTTTTAACTTGTTTTGCCTCTCTGTACATGATAGATTTATTAGAGTCTTCACTGGGAGCCTGTTTCGGTTGCTTTTCTCAAAATCTTAATCATAGGCTTAATATAACTTCTCAATCAGTTATCGTATTTTATAATTATTTGGCAGAATTCCCCTTTCTTCATCATTAAGGACAAGTTTACAACTTAGAGTTAATACATTTTTCCAGTGGATTCATAATCTACATGGGTAAATAGTACAACCTCTTTCAATTAAAAATGTTTCCTAATTCTGGTGTTACTTGAAAAACACTTTTAAAAGATACCTCAGCCTGCCCGCAATTGTGAATGTATTTCTGGGGACTCCACATGGGGCTTGGTCTTTGAATCTCTGTATGTTCTCACTATATTCCAGCCAGCAACAAGTTTCTTGATCAAAAGGGCAAGGGGGAGGATGAGTCTAGTGCTAATTCTTGCCTATGGGAAGGTGGTTAAAATTATTGAGGAACAGGCTTATCTGCTTTTCAATATGGAATTTTCGTATGTCACATTGACCACACAGAAAGAAGTGAATCTTATCACATGTTATATCTCACTTACCCTTAATTTAAAGGGGGCAGGATGCTTCTTAAACAGGAAACAAACTAAAGTATAGCAAAGTTTAGTTGAGAAATAAATGACTATTTCTTTTACCCTAGAAAAAGGAATAGCAACATTGCATAAAATGGCTGTTTTGTCTTATTTACTGCTATATTCTTAATGCCTGGCACAGAGCCCTGCGCAGATTTAGTTTCTCAATATGTATGAGATGAAGAGCTGACTGAATTCATTAATGGAGATTCACGGAGATTTACGTATAAATTTTGTGCCTAATAGTAGAGGAAACAATCCCATTCATGTAAATATAAATCATGTCTTTCTTTTTCTTATTCTCAGTATTTTCTATACAAGTTTCCCAAAGACGTGGACTCAGTTATCATTAAAGTGGTGTCTGAAATGGCTTATCCATGTTCTGTTGTCTCAGTCCAGAATATCATGGTGAGTGCTGATAACTTGCCAACCTTCTACTATAGAGCATTATATTATTCCAGAACAAATGAAAGAGAAGGGTGGAAGCATGCCATCCTCTTACTGTGTATCTCCCTTCCAAAACTACTAAACAATACGAACAGTATCTGTGAGCACGAGTGGGCAGACTGTGTTTGCAGACACTAATTTGGAGTGGTAAAGAATAGTTAACTCTTCACCAAAATCAACAAAGCAAAGAAGGAAAGGAGGGAGGAAGCAGGGAAGGATTGTAACAAGGAACCAGGAAGACCAAGTTGTGGGCTCCGCGAGAAAGCTAAAATTGAACCCTACCATTTGTTCTGCTTTTAAATTTTTATTGTAACATTCGGTTCTTTCTGTCTCCTGAGGTGTTAACGAAAATTGAAAAAAGTGTTATACACTTTAAGACAATATTTTTATAGTTCTCTTCAATATAACATGACTTTGACTTTAGAGGACGAGGCCCCAAGTCTTAGGAAGACTATGTCATGACTGTTCAAGGGGGGAAATTGCCTAGTTTCTGGTTAATAAGGATCCCCTGCTCTGTGATCCAAGCAGAAAGATGCTGACAGGACCTATGTGTGGCATGACATTGCATGACATTATGGATGCTTTCCATTTTATTCCTCATGCATGCTGCAGTGCCCGGTGTATGATCTCGACCACAATGTGGAATTTAATGGTGTCTATCAGTCCATGACCAAGAAAGCTGCCATCACGCTACAGGTGAGGCATTGCTTCTGTGGGCATTATTGCCAATGGTAATGCTCAATAGATAGTGTACTTACTGGGCCAGCATCCAAAAGGGATGGCCATCCATGATGTGCCTAGGATCTCCTTCCTTTCTGATTGGTTTAAAAACTAATATGTCTGGCCAGGCGCAGTGGCTCACACCTGTAATCCTAGCACTTTGGGAGGCCAAGGCGAGCGGATCACCTAAAGTCAGGAGTTTGAGACCAGCCTGGCCAATATGGCAAAACCCTGTCTCCACTAAAAATACAAAAATTAGCTGGGCTTGGTGGTGCACACCTGCAATCCCAGCTACTCAGGAGGCTGAGGCAGGAGAGTCTCTTGAACCCAAGAGGCAGAGGTTGAAGTGAGCCAAGAGCACAGCACTGCACTCCAGCCTGGGCGACAACAGCAAAACTCCATTGAAATCAAAGCCTAGGTGATGGTAGACAATGCTACTCTACCAGGTGCCTCTTTCCCCTTGACAATTATTAGGAGCCCATGGTGCGATGGGACGTGTATCTGACAGATTGCTCAGAGAGGTAGGGCCAGAAGATTTCAGTCTACTTATTGGGGGTGCCAATTTAGGGTGAAGTTTGTCAGATCCATTTAAAGCAATTAAACATATTCTAATAATCTATACCAGTAACAGTAAGCAAATGAGGTCTTCAATTCTGAACAGAATGGACAGATTCAAAAGAATATGGACCATATTTGTACAGCAGCTTATCTTATGATATTTGTAATTATTATTTCAATTGTAATTTTATAACAAAAATGTATACATGTCATGTAAGCATATTTTCAAGGAGATTCTGTCCCTGCTTTGGGGGAGGTACTTACTTAAAGTACCTGCAGCGTGATCTGTTCCCTAGGGTAAGGTGATACTGTTTACTGAATAATAAGGCAAGAATGAAGAGAAGTTAATTATAATTTAGGTATGAGACCTAAAATTTTCTGTCAGGCTTTAATTTTCAAAGGCTTCAGATTTGATATCCCAAATATCTGCTCTTGTTTTTCAGTATTTCTTTCTTTCTTGGCATCCCGCATTATGTGGTCCCAAATAAAAGAGGACAGAAAAATAACTATAGTAGGGAACTTCAAATTGTATTTCATCCGGGACACTAAATTCATAAAGGGCAAGCATATCAATAACTCTCTTCCCTGGATGTGTTTGGCAATAAATTGTTACTTCTCTTTTGGGGCCTAACCTTTTGGGCAGAGGTTGCAATGAGCCGAGATCACGCCACCACACTCCAGCCTGGGCGACATGAGCGAAACTCCTTCTCAAAAAACAAACAAACAAACAAAATGATTTACAGCTATGCCTGAAATAAAAAAAATAAATAAATAAGCCATTTTCTCAGTGGGCTGAACATAACACCAGAAGTTTGGGGATGATTTTTTTTTAAGTCTGGGTTATAGAACTCTAACGGACCTTAAAGTTCATCTTGTCAACCGCACTTCATTCATGGATGAGGAAATGGGCACATAGAGAAACATACTTAGAGTAACTCAAAGCCAAGATGATAACTGAGTCCTTTGCCTCCCTAACCTAAATTATTTATTTAACTGCTGAGTGTGTCCATTTTAGAAAAGTGATTTATCATTAGATTCTAAAATAAAAACTTAACATGTAAGCATTAGTTATTAAACATAGGCTATTCACATATTATTTATATGGTGCTTATTATAGTTCTAAGCTCTCAAATAGGCACAAAATTGATTGAAATCAGGAATGTATATCTATTTACCTTAATTTCTTGGATGTAACAATTATCTTAGAGTGGATAATCTGGAGTAAATCATGGGTATGTGAAAGTCCTTTCCAAGGAGTTAGAGGGCAGGGGTGAACTTTATTTTCCTTCTCTTTCCTCTTTCTTTCTGCCCCTACCCCCAGGGACTTTCTCCCTTCTACCTCTTTCTTACCGCCTATCATAAGGTTGTTATGTCTTATGCAGAAGAAGGATTTTCCAGGCGAGCAGTTCTTCGTGGTATTTGTGATAAAGCCTGAAGATTATGCCTGTGGAGGATCTTTCTTCATCCAGGGTAAGAGCTAGTGAGGAACACTTGGCTGCTTAGCAAAACCTGAAGGAAGGGAGTGAAAGGGAAGCTGAAACCTCCTTTCTAGTTCCCACTAAACAAGGGTTGGTTCCATCATCATGATGGGAAAGGCATCTGAGAGATACTTGAGAAAAAAAACGAAAGATAGAAAGTAACAGATCTAAAGGTATTATCGATACTACAAAATATCATTTAGTACATTTCATCTTTTTGAAGCATTGTATTCCCTCAGACCATGGAAGATAAGTTCACTCGGTTGGCCCTTTACTCAACAAATATTTGCTACCATGAAGTAATGATCTTACACAGCGATCAAAGTCCATTTCTTAAGATGGGGTGGTAACCAGTAGCCATGGAGCTACTTAATTTATCAGTAGTCATCATTTCCACAATGATGGACAAGAAAAATTCAGCATTCTGCATCTCAGTTGCCAAAATTATACCTTGAAAAATAGTAAGAAAGCCCAACTGCTACAACTTATCCCAATAATAAGGGGTTATGGGGGCTCTTAGGCATAGCACAAATAGTTATGGTTAACTACCCAGTAGCTACCTTAAGGGCAGAATAGGCTGATGATTGAAAACATAGACCACTAGCCAGTGATTAATCACATGTGACCAACACAAAGTGTGTTTACTGTTGAGTGTAACATCATTTCCTTGATATTAATGTTTAGGTGAAATTTCTCCTAGTGTGTTCTTTAACCTCTTAATTACATGGCTCCAAAATTTTGCCAATGTCAAATATTCCTTGGTAAACTACAAGCCCTTTCATGACTATATAAGAGGGAAAAATTTGCACTGGCTAGAAACATACAAACCAAAGGAAGAGGTAGCTTCTGTTTTCACAGCTGTTTTCTTCACATGGCTGTGGATATCAGGGGAAGGGTCCACCCCTCTTCATTGGAGAAGGGAGGCCGCAATCTTGTTTGCATCTGTTAGTGGTACCAAAATGCACACAAGCAAAGGCCAAATTGAGAGTCTAATGCTAGTCTCCTTAACCAAAAGGGATTTCTGATGGTTTGAAGGTTTGGGGGTTACATATTCCTCCAGTTCTTGCTAAAATAAGATTCAGTGATCAGAATTAATTCTGGACATTTTTTGAACAACAGTTCAGACAAGAGACCAAAAAAAATCATTATCTGATTCAATGTGCTTTGTTCTTTTTTTATTTTTTTTAAACCAGAAAAGGAAAACCAGACCTGGAATCTACAGCGAAAAAAGAACCTTGAAGTGACCATTGTCCCTTCCATTAAAGGTCAGTGTTGGCTCCAGAATGCATTGAAGAGATTCCTGTGTCAGAAAATCAGTCATATAATTTGATATTACTGTCATCCTTCCAGAGAGAATTGTCATAAGAAAACTAAAGTATATTTACCTTAGAAATAGAAAAGGGAGTCAGAGCATTTTGTTAAATCCCTCCTAAAAAGAAAGGGACCTCAATCGTGAAGTCCCTTCCCAGCTTCTACTGGGAAGTCATCATTGTGAAAGGTAGCTACTGTGGATAATGTCTGGGGACCTCCAGTAGCAGTTTTGCTGTGAACAAAAATTTATTAGGACCTAAGAATCAATATGATGGAGGGGGCCCTTTAAGCCGTCCTGTCTCAGATGGAGTCTTCTTTTCTGCAGAGGATGACCTGACCAAAGTTGTTTCTCTCCCTTCAGAATCTGTTTATGTGAAATCCAGTCTTTTCAGTGTCTTCATCTTCCTGTCCTTCTACTTGGGATGCCTTCTTGTTGGGTTTGTTCATTATCTGAGGTAGGTCAATCTTTTCTAGAAATGTTAATTCCCTGTGCCTGTCTCTGTGTAACGCTTGCAGCACAGACTTGACAGATATATTGACTGGCTTCAAATCTCCCTCAGCCACTAGCAATGTGACCTTGGATACCTTGTGACCTTGGAGATGTTGCTCAACTCTCTGTGCTTCAGTTTCCTCATCCATAAAGTGAGATAATAATTTACCCCACAAAAAGTACAACTGCAGCTTTTATATCAATAACACACACATAATAGGTGCTGGTAGAGTGTTATTTTCATAGTTAATTAAAACTCAACAAAAAGGCAACATGTATATTTTTTAAACCAGAAAATACTCACTGTAGATGGTCAGTTTATCCTAACATGGAGATTTAGAAACAGCTTTAAACATTCTAACAAAAAGTAAATGTAATGCCTAAAATAAATCTTGAGGTGCAACAAAGAGCAGGAGTAATGTTCTTTGATACAGCATTACCAAGTGTTTTCCTTCTGTTGTAGCATCAATTTTCCAGTAAAATGTCCCTTGGAGGGGGAAAGGAGGTAATTGTGCTGTAATTTGACCAAAGAAATTTCCCTTGCGAAGAGTTTGGAGCCCCTAATGACACAGGGCTTTCCTTCCCTCTCTCAGCGGGGTTGAACCTTGAGAATTCCATTCTTTGTGGCATTCTCTGTGAAACAACTACAAAAGAATGGCAGGAGATTTACAATAAACAAATGTTCTTTCTCTTCTTGAACATGTAAAGAAAACAAAGCCAGAATTGAGTTTTGAGACTGTTTGCAAAATGAACTCCATCCATGGAAAGACTTCATGGCTACCTCAGTGATACAACTACGTATTTTAAGAATATGGGTCTATCTCCTATTCAAAAAATAACTGCCTCGATGACCTGTATGAAATTTTTGAGTTCAGATATTGCCTTCAAAAACAGTAGATGACTGCTGGCCAAATCTGGGACAATTTGAACACCAAAATTATTAAGAATAATGAATTATAAACCATTGGAAAAAATAGAAGTGTATGAGTCCCTGTTGATAAAGGAAGGAAGGGCCTAAACACCTGTGGATACACATTCAGCAATTCAACAAATTTATGAAAACAGCTACCCATTCGGGAAAGGAGCCATTAGCAGATACTGATAGTAGAAGGGAGAAAGAACTCTTGACCACAGCAAAATGCCAAAAGCTGGCTGGTAAATATGGAGGAGTGCTGGAGTTGGAAAATCATCATTTTGCAAACATTATGTTAAAGACTAGATTTGCTTAAGAATCATCGATGAATGCCAAATCTAGGGTGCAGAAATCTGATGAGGATGAAGATGTGTGCATGGCCTTAAACTGTATCCTCACAAATTGCTTAGTAGTTAAAGTGGAAAAAATAGTAGATATACAGTAAGAAATCAAACATATTGACCGGGTGATCAAAATTAATATCACCAAGGAGAAGATGGACATTGTGTGCCTCCAGATGTGACACTCTGAGAAGGACACAATGTCACTTTTGTAGCATTCCAGAAATGCATATTTGGAATCTAATCATGTGGAAAAATTAGACAACCTCCAATGATAAACATTCTATTAAAATGTGTCATAAAAGACAAAGAAAAGTTACATAAGTATTCCAGATTGAAGGAGACTAAAGATATGTTACAACCAAAGACAATACCTGATCTCAATCAGGATCTTACATTACACTAGCAGAAAAATATTCAACAAAGGACATTATTGAGTCAATTGACAAAACTGGAATACAGATAGTAGATTAGATAAGAATATCACATCAATGTTAAATTTGCTGAATTCGATAACTGTATTGTGGTTATGTAAGAGAATTTTTTTTGAAATATTTAGGAATAAAAGTTTAGGTCTTGGTTGTATGCAAGTTACTTTCAAATGGTCCAGGAAAAAAAAGTGTATATGTATGTGTGTGTGTATCTTGATACATATATATCATATATATTACATCTTTATGGGGAGGTGAGAATGATAAAAGCAAATGAGGTAATAAGCTAACAATTGTTTGAATCTATTTAAAGGATATATTGGTATTCTATGTTCTTATTCTTGCAACTTCTCTGTAAATCTGAAATTATTTTCAAATACAAGTTAAAAACAAAAACCCCAGGCTACAGGTGAATATTATACCTGGAAAGTATACATTAACTGATTAGCAGCTCAATTAATTTATCGAATCAGAGTTACTAATATTTAACAGGTGCCTGCTGTGTGCCAGGCTCTGTGCTCTAATTAACTTCTTCTTGATGTTTGTTTACAAACTCCTTTTAGTGTCATACTCTTCCATTTACTAAAAGAAAACAGCATATGATACATTTGAAAGAAAGCATGGTTCCATTTGCCTTTCATGGCAGGCGCTCTAAGTAGATTATCTCATCTGATGCCCCTCAACAGTGGGTACTGTTATTATCACCAAGTGACAGTTAAGGAAATTGAGGCACAGAGGGATTAAGCAATTTTACGAAGAATTCACAGCCAGTAAATGAAGGAGCCAGGATTTGAACTCAGGCAGTCTGGATCCAGAGCCTTAGGCCTAAAGCAGGCTGATCAAAATGGGTCTAGAGTGGTCAGGCCCTATGAGAGATGACAGTGCTGACCAAGAATGCCAGACCAAAAGCCTGGCACCCCAGCAAGGATCTAAGTTGAAAAGGGGTCCAAAACACTTCCAGTTTTGCCTTGGATGAGTTCCAATATCATGGAAAGAAGTTCCTCTGTTATGCCTGTCATAGGAAGACTGTCTCTAATCCTGATGTTTTAGATTTTAGAAAACAGGAGTGTTCCTCATTAGTTAGCTAGTATAGTTAACATACAAACAGACAAGTTAAGCTAATAGCTGGTTATCAATCGCTCTAAAGTTGTTATTTAGCCAACTAAGCCAAGCACAGTTTTTCTAAGCTGTGGTATAAGGCTCTATGGAAACTTCTAGCCACAGATTATTTTGCTATGGTCAAATGCACAGCATAGATTTCTCCAAATATAGACAAAGTGGAAATAGAAATCTGGAGATGTAAGAACTATTTGGCATTCTAAATAGAAGAATAGACTGAGGAAAAAAATGCTAATAGGAGAACTTTTCCTTCATTAACTAAGCAAAATAAAAAGTTTTCTGTAAAAACCATATGAAGCTACTCATCTCAGCATAATGCCAGTTACTTGATGAGTCCCTTAAACCCTATTACGAATACCTATGGGGTTTGTAGTACGTGCTATGAGATCAGGATAAAAAACATTGATCAGAGACATGGCCCTTGCCATCAGGGAGGTAAGAATCCAAAGTGTCTTCATACTGTATTAGCCTGAAACTAAACACTATTCCCTTCCCATCCTCCAGCCTCAGTCCATTCAACATGCGTTTATGAAGCCCCCCACGATGAATGTGCAGGCCCTGGGTCAAGCACTGCATACCTGTTCTCTTATTTGTTCTTCACAATCACATTGCCAGACATTGAATCCAAACTGCCCAATCCAGAATACTCATCCTTCCCTTTGATTCTTGTATTCGTTATCTATTACCACAATAATGCTACATTAAAAAAAAAAAAAAAAACTTCAGTGGCACACAGCAATACATGTTTAAGTTTGCTCACAAATCTATGGGTCAGCTGGATGGTTCCGCTAATCTGGGCTGGGCTGAGAGATCCCAGGTGGGTGTGATGAGAGAGTGTGGTCCACTGACAGATCAACTAAGAGCTAGCTCTTCTGGGCTGGCCTCAGCTGCACTTGTCTGTCATCCTGAAGCAGGCTAGCTGGGGCTTATTTGTTTCCAAGACAGACAGCAGAAGAGTGCAAGGCCTCTTGAAGATGCAGATTCGGAATTAGCACAATGTTACTTCCCCCTCATTCAATTGGCCAAAATAAGTCATGAGGGTAGTCTAGATTCAGGAAATGAAGATGTAGACTCTACCTTTGGTTGAAAGAGCTGGATATAAGGTGAGGTGCAGCCATTTTGCAATCAATCTAGCACAGTCCTCATTTGCTATTTTTTCCTTTATTCACTAGATACCACCTGCCTTATCCTAGCTTTGTAAATCATTTAACTCATCTAATGAAAAATTTTGTCAGTTCCAGAATCTAGTGCAAACTTGGGTAAAGTCTGTGAATACAAACACATAATCAAAACATATCATCTTCTATGAGTACATACAATTGCTTTCCAGTCAATTGTTAACTAAAATTATTAAAAAGGAACTTCACCACAGCCTCTTTTGCCAGCTATGAGAGTCAGGCCAAATTATAACTTCTCTCCCTTTTTTTTTTTTTTTTTTTTTTGAGACAGTCTCTCGCCCTGTCATCCAGGCTGGAGTGCAGTGGCACGATCTCAGCTCACTGTAACCTCTGCCTCCTGGGTTCAAGCAATTCTCCTGTCGCAGCCTCCCCCGTAGCTGGGACTACAGGCACGTGCCACCATGACTGGCTAATTTTTGTATTTTTAGTAGAGACAGGGTTTCACCATATTGGTCAGACTGGTCTTGAATTCCTGACCTCAGGTGATCCACCCACCTTGGCCTCCAAAAGTGCTGGGATTACAGGCGTGAGCCACTGCGCCTGGCCAACTTTTCTCCTTAATGATATGCGTCATTCATTCAATAAAAATTTAGTGATCATCTTCTATGTGCCAGCTATATCCTAGAAGTTGGAGATATATTATAGTGAATGAAACAGTATAGATCCCTGCTGTGATAGAGCTTACATTTTACAGGGAAGAAATATACAAGCAAGTAAGCAATTAATAAAGAAAATCATTCCAGTTCCTGACAGAAAAAACACAGTGGTATGATAAAGAACGATTGCATTGGAGAAGCTGCTTTAGATTAGATTTGATTGGCAGGGAAGTCCTCTCATAACCAAGACCTGAATGGCAAGAAGGAGCCTGCCATGTAAGGATCTGGGGAGAGAATGACTCAGGTAGAGAACAAAAGCCAAAGCCCTCTGCCATTCAGGAGTTTGGTGTGTCTAGGAACAAAAGAGCTATGAAGAGAAGTTCTTCCACCAAACATACAAAATCAGGATATGCAACTTATAGAGTTCCCATCTGGAAGTAATAAGAGAATGTATCAAAACATGGGCACTTCTGGTCCCCAACTTTCCTCTCACACCCCTCCAACCTCATTTTGAGAGAATAATTCACATTTTAATTTTTGATGGCCATTCCCAAATGGTATAGTTTGTTTGTTAATAATGACTTTATTGAGATACAATTCATAGACCATAAAATTCGCCCCTTTAAAGTATACAATTCTGTGATTTTTTAGGATATTCACTGTTGCATAACCATCACTACGATCTAATTCAGAATATTTTCATCATTCCAAAAAGAAACTCCGAGTTTAACAAGATTTCTTGAGATCAATATGCAAAAAATCATTTGTATTTCTCTACACTAGCAATGAGCAATCCAAAAATAAAATTAAGAAAACAATTCCATTTACAAAAGCACAAAAAATAATAAAATATTTTGGAGTAAATTTAACAAATTAAATGTAAGACTTGTACATTGAAAACTGCAAAACATCATTGAAATAAATTAAAGGAGACTTAAATGAAAAGACATCCCATGTGCATGGATTGGAAGATTTAATATTGTTAAGATAATGCAGTAAATAGAATAATGGTCCCCAAAAGAATTCTATGTCTAATCTCCAGAACCTGTGAATATGTTACCTTACCTGGCAAAAGGAACTGGTAGATGTGATAAAGTTATGAAGATTATCTTGGGTTATCTACATGGACCTAATGTAATCACAAGAATCCTTATGAAGGAGACAAAAAGGTCAAAGGCAGAAGAAGGAAATGCGACAAAGAAAGCAGAGGTTGGAATGATATACTTTGCAGATGGAGGAAGGGGCTGTGAGTCAGGAAATACAGGCTGCCTCTAGAAGCTTCAAAGACAAGAAAATGAATACTCCCCTGCAGCCTCCAGAAGTACAGCCCTGCTGACACCTTTATTTTAGCCATATAAGGCACATTTTGGTATTCTGACTCCCAGAACTGTAAGATAATAAACTTGTATTGTTTTAAACACCCAGTCTGTGAGTTTGTTACAGCAGCAGTAGGAAACTAATATACATGACAATAGTTCCCAAATTAATCTACAAATTCAACACAATCCCTTGCAAAGTCCCAGCTGGCTTTTTTACAGAAATGGACAAACTGATCCTAAAATTCATATGAAAATGAAAGGGAGAAGCCAAAACAATCCTGAAAAAAAAAAAGAAGAACGTTAAAGGATTTGCACTTTCTGATATCAATCTTATTACAAAGTTGCAGTCATCAAGACTCTGGTACTGACATAAAGAAAGACATATGGGAGGCTGAGGCAGGAGAATGGGGTGAACCCGGGAGGCGGAGCTTGCAGTGAGCCAAGATCGCACCACTGCACTCCAGCCTGGGCGACAGAGCGAGACTCTGGGGATGAAAGACTCTTCTTGCTGTGCAGCCACTGTGGAAAACAGTTTGGAAAAAAAGTTAAACATGGAGTTATCTCATGCTCAACAATTCCACTCCTAGCTATATACCCAAGATAATTGAAAACATATGTCCACACAAAAATGTGTACACAAATGTTCATAACAGTATTACTCATGATAGCCAAAATGTGAAAACAACCAAAATATCCATTAAGTGCAAGCATGTCAATGAAATGTGGTCTATCCGTACAATGGAATATTATTCAGCCATAAAAAGACTGAAGTACTGACGCATACTACAGCATGGATGAACCTTGAAAACGTTACACTAAGTGAAAGAAACTAGACACAAAAGTTCGCATGTAATATAATTCATTTTTAATGAAATGTCTAAAATAGGCAAACTTATAGAGACAGAAAGTAGATTAGTGTTTTCTAGGGGATGGGGAGTGGGGAATGGGGAGTGACTGGTCATGGGTTTGAGATTTCTTCTGGGGATGATGAAAATATTCTAGAATTCGATAGTGGTGGGAGCTGTACAACTTTGTGAATGTATTTGATTGGTGTGAAAGTAATTGCGGTTTTGCCATTATTTTTGAAGGCAAAAATCACAATTATTTTCGCACCAATCTAATACTAAAACTCACTAAATTATGCACTTTAAAGGGTGAATTTTATGGTATGTGAATTACATCTGAAAACTGATGAATGAATAAATGATGTATATGCCTGAGAATGAAATTGCTGGGATATATGGTAACTCTTTAACTTTTTGAGAAACTGACAAACTTTTCCAAAGTGACTGCACCATTTTACATTCCCACCAACAATGTATGAGTTCCAATTTCTCCATATCCAAAGACATGTGTTTGTTTGTTGTTGTTGTTTGTTTTGTTTTTCTTTTTCTTTTTCTTTTTTTTTTTGAGATGGAGTCTCGCTCTGTCGCCCAATGCAGTGGCATGATCTCAGCTCACTGCAACCTCCACCTCCTGGGTTCAAGCAATTCTCCTGCCTCAGCCTCCCAAGTAGCTGGGACTACAGGCACCTGCCATCACGCCCAGCTAATTTTTGTATTTTTATTAGAGACGGGGTTTCACCATATTGGCCAGGCTGGTCTTGAACTCCTGACTTTGTGATCCGCCTGCCTTGGCCTCCCAAAGTGCTGGGATTACAGGTGTGTGCCACCGCACCTGGCCCCAAAGACATGTTTTGAAGAGATCCTAGTAGACAAATCCGCAACAAAATCTATAAGGAACAAATGTAAAATGCTGAGGTTTTCACTGTCTTAGGAGCATGTGTATGTGCTTGTTTGCAGGTTTCAGAGAAAATCCATTGATGGAAGCTTTGGGTCCAATGATGGTAAGAGCAATGCTTGGTTTCAATTCAAAATGGTGTCGCATAGTGTGGCAACATCCCATTTCATGCTTCTTTTACCTCTCTGCCTTTTGCAATTTACAAACCCTCCCTTGATTCCTATCCCGCAGAGTAGTCTAGCCTGCAGTTGGAAAGCAAAGCTAGTGAAAACCAATTCTATAGTTCAAGAGGTCCCAAGCCCTAGGCCGTGGACTGGTACTGATCCGTGGCCTGTTAGGAGCTGGGCTGCACAGCAGGAGATGAGTGGCAGGTGAGCAAGTATTACCACCTGAACTCCACCTCCGCTCAGATCAGTGGCAGCATTAGATTCTCATAGGACCGCAAACCCTATTGTGAACTGTGCATGCGAGGGATCTGGGTTGCGTGCTCCTTATGAGAATCTAATGCCATAACCCATCCCCACCCCCGTCTGTGGAAAAATTGTCTTTCATGAAACCAGTCCCTAAATATTGGTGCCAAAAATGTTGGAGACTGCTGCTGTAGTTGATAATTATTGAGACGTGGAGCTCACACTAAAAACCTTTACTAGGAGTGTCCCTTGTAATCACAGATCATTGGTCAGCCATTCATCTTTTTTAAAAGTTTCACCTTTTCTAGGACATAATTGTTCATACCTGTCCTATCCCAAAGCTGATTTGTGAACAACAGTAAGAATGTATTGTGCCAACTCTGATACATGGTTTACTTTTTCCCAAACTAAGATGGAGGCTTTCTTAAGTGTCTAGAAAACTGAAATACTTGACCCTAGCAAGTATAATAAAGAGTATAATAACTTGGGGGAATCCAGAGTAATTGACTATCCAGCAATTGTACTATGCCTTTTCCTCCACTCTGAGAGTTTGAACAAAAGAATTCAATGACCTGATCTTTTTAACAAAATTAAAAATTTAAATGTCCTCATTTTTGAAAAACCTAAACTCAGTGCTCATAGGTTATTTGGCATAGAGCAAGAATTTGGTTAAAGAGGAATATGAAGTGGAACTTGGTTTTTAAGTCATACATAGCAGATGTTTAGGTGTGTGTTTTCCACACTTAAATGAGGCCACAGAATCTTAGAAAGACTTTAACTCACCCCCTACCCCCCTCCAGCAGGATCATTGCTCCCTTTGCTGGAGAGTTTGCTTTTTTCTTTTTAATGTTTGTCTTCCTTAATGTCAGCATGCCTGTTTTTCCAGCCACCCAAGCACTTTGTTTTATAAACATTCAGCTGTCAATATAAAAGACTATAAAAGAACACCTGCTCTCGTGGCTTTAAAGTGCTAAATGCTCCTCTCCCTTTTAGTCGTCAGATGTTTAAATGAATTTGTCTGCTCTCTGGATGTCATCTTTTTTCCTACAGGAAAAAAGTTTTGTGCCTCCAAGTTTTGTGATTAGTTTAGGCCTAGTTGAACTTAGGCCTACATCCAATCGATTGAATCCCATTGGGTAGCCTCTGAATGGTTAGTCTGTTATTTTTTATAGTATGAGTGAAGTCTTTTTATTATAATAATATTTATTGAAGGAATTCTGCATTCAGAAGGGTCTGTTGAACATTGAAGCATAAGTGGACAAAGCTGGGACTTGAGCCAGATCATTGTCCAGGTTCAGGGAGGCTCTGAAAATTAGCTAAGAGCTGGAGGTACCCTTCTGATGGTAAGCGGAAACAAATGAGTGACCAAAAAGAGTAAAGATGCATCATTGAGATTCATGTGGCTGTAGGTAACCACAGCAACAAGAAAAAAAAAATCTCAAACCTGCTTAATCAAGAAAGAGACTCCTAGCTCTGGAAGTAGAGCCAAAAGATGTACTTCAGGATTGATGAGTCCAGTGGCTCTGGTCCATTTCCCTGCCATTCCCTTGGCTTCAATTTACTCCCAGGGCTGGCAGTGACATGGGTCAAGGCTCACACCTTCACCTGGCAGCACCAGAGGGAAGGACCTTTTAAGAAGCCCTCAGCAACTTCTTGTGTTTCATTGGCCTAGAGTGAATCATACACTTATTGTTAAACCAGTCACTGCAAAGAACAGATTTACCTACACATCAGATAAACCTACTTTCAGAATTAAGATTAGGTCCTCTTCTCTAAGACCAGAGTTTCTCAAACTCAATATTATTGACATCATAGGCCAGATAATTCTTTGTTGTTGGGGGCTATTCTGTATCTTATAGGATGTTTAATAGCATCCTTCACTTCCGTGCACTAGATTCTAGGAGTTGCCCCTCCTTGGGACAACTAAAAATGCCTCCAGGCTTGGTGCAGTTGCTCATGCCTGTAATCCCAGCATTTGGGGAGGCCGAGGTTGGAGGATTGTTTGGGCCTAGGAGTTCGAGACCAGCCTAGGCAACATAGTAAGACTTCGTCTTCATAAAAACAAAAAATAAACAAAATTAGGTGGGCGTGGTGGTGTGCACCTGTGCTCCAGCTACTTCGGAGGCTGCTATGGGAGGATCGCTTGAGCCCAGGATGTTGGGGCTGCAGTGAGCTGAGATCGCACCACTGCACTCCAACTTAGGTGACAGAGCAAGACCGTGTCTCAAAAAAAAAAAAAGCCTCCAGACATTGCCAAATGTCTTTTTGGGGGCAAAACTCTTTCCCCACATCCCCCTGTTTGAGAACCATGGACCTAAACACATGAAGACACCTAAATAACACACCAGCTTAGGTAAGAAGTAGGGAATAGGAATATTCACCACACAAAAGTCTTGAAATAGGAAGAAAATAAGGAACCTTTGTAAGGTAGAGAGGCCACAGGGAATGATGGCATCACCCCCAATGTCATGACCACTGGTGAGTCAAGACCTAGATGCTTAAACCAAGAGCAGAAGACAAGCACTGCCCAAGGGAAGAACCAGTGACTTTTTTAGGCATCTCAAACAGAGCATAGAGAAATCAACCAGGAGCAAGAGACAGAGGCAAGTAAGGACCATATCTGGAAGCTAGTGACAGACATTCAGGGAAGAAACAAGGATACAGAAATGTCTTTCTCTCCCAAGGCCAGGATCAGCATGACCATGGGGCACAGGAAGTTCGATGGAGCTCAGAGTTACAGGAAATGCCTTGGGTGCTTATATCCAGAGAAAATGCTAGAAGCAGCTTCTTAAAGGGGAAGAGGATCCCACTAGACTTAATACGGTCTCTGCCCACATCATTGTGGAGCTAGATATCTGTGGAACTTAGCCTAAGGCTTTCACCTTAGACGTGACTGAAGTGGAAGAAATGGAATCAGGTCCCTACAGGTTGCCAAATTGGTGGCAGCTCTGTTGGAGTTAGGAAGGATGCACTCAGAAAATCTGTGCGCTACTCTGCATTTGTTTTTCTTTGATATGCCTGAAGTGATTTAATTAAGCTGTATGTGAAAATCTCCATGTTAGCTCCAACTATAATAAAAAGCAAAAAAATGTATTTCATACTTCATGGGATGAAGAAGAAGATTAGACCCTGGAGCCTGGGTGAGATGGAAATACTGTTGGCAAAGAGCTGCTCCAGGGGACTTGAAGGGACTTTTTTACTGTACTATGAATGACTGGACCCTGTATTGTCTAATTATCCTTAATACCAAAGACAGGGCATCTGTGAGAATCTGAGAGGTACTAAGAAAGGCTCTGTGCTCTAAAACCATTTCCTCCACTGGCTTTATCAGAGAGAAACCCCACATTTCACATCATTGTTAAAGAGCCTCTACAGAAATTCAGTTACCAGCTGAGAAAAATAATGAAGCCTCCCCAACAGGCCTCTGGGACCCCTTGAGTTGCCACCAGGAACTGGGGTACAACAGAAGAGGAGGTTACTTTCTCAAATGCAAGAGCTTGGCAGGCCTAATCGGTTGTAGATTTAAGAACCAAATGGCCAACCCAATCCTTCCCTGGATACAGCCATTACTGAACCAGCCTCTTAGCCAAGAGCAAGATCTGGTGGAGATAAGACAAGGAGAGTGTTGAATTTGGAGGACTCAAGGAACGCAGGCCATTCAGTGACAAAGGGTCTCAAATTTTAGTCCTAGATCTCTACTCTTCTTTTTCTAGTTTTCTTGTCCAGCTTTTTCTTCTAGAGGAATTTTACTTTTACATCCATCTGCAAAGATGATGGTTTTCTTCATTTTTTCTTCAACTATTGAAACAAAACGTGACACTAAGTTGGGATAGGTAGGCAATTGGCATAAAAATAAAATTTTGGCTGGGCACGATGGCTCACACCTGTAATCCCAACACTTTGGGAGGCCGAGGCGGGTGGATTGCCTACAGTCAGCAGATTGAGACCATCCTGGCCAACATTGTGAAACCCTGTCTCCACTAAAATACAAAATATTAGCCGCACATGGTGGCATGTACCTGTAGTCCCAGCTACTCAGGAGGCTGAGGCAGGGGAATCACTTGAACCCGGGAGGCAGAGGTTGCAATGAGCCGAGATCATGCCACTGCACTCCAGCCTGGCGACAGAGCGAGACTCCATCTCAAAAAAAAAAAAAAAAAAAAAAAAATCATGCTAGCTAGTTCCCATCATTTCTGGCTCCCTCTTCAGCTTCCAACCTGCTGAGTCTTCAGAGACATAATGGGACAAGGCAACTATAAATATGAAGTCCCTGAAAGACGCAAACATGCTCAAAATGAAATGAAATTTTTCTCCTCACATAAGGCATTTACCATAAAAAGCAAGCGTGCAAGCATATCCTGTTCTATGTCAGTGAAGTAGACAGATGCAGGGGGCTCAAGCTCAGAGAAACACATATCAAAACAAGTTTCCTCATTAAGATGAGATCATTCACAATCGTAAGTGTCTGCTATTTCCAGCCAGAACATCTTGGTCTGTCTTATAAGCTGATATTTTGTGTTGAATTATGCTTTCTATGTACTATACAGTTAAATATAGATATGGCTTGCCTTCCCAGACCATACTTGACGTTTAGAAGGAAATGCCTTGGTTTTTGCATTCTTAAAAGGCTTTAGACATAAGCAAAATGAAAAGAATACTGTTATCCCATGTTGGCCAATCTCATATTTAATTGGTGCATATAAAAGTCCACAGAATGAAAACATTTTTGCATGCTGGCAATGGTATTGCACATGAAAATCTTGGTGCTCTTATCTGTCACAGAACCCATGATGTTGCAGCTGCCTCAAAATGAACAGGGCCAGCAACAACATCAAAACCAGATCATGCTCAGTGATGAGCCAGAGCAGAAAACAGAAATCAGTGATTCCTTAAAGTCTGAACAGACCTACACAGCTGGCTTTGTCTTTTTAGTGAAGTTGTCACCTAACAAAACACTGATTGTTTTTGTTTGTTCACTTGCTTTGATTTTAGTTTTTGGTTTTTGTTTTTCTTTTGATTACACACACAGACAGAGAACATTGGCTCCCACGAACAATTTCGACCTCCTGCTACAACTGACCTCCAGTATTTTCTTATACAAACTTCAACTTCCCATATCAGAGGACTTCCAGTGACACCAAAATGCACTATGTGCACGTAACATCAAAACATCATGTTGTACATCTTAATATATACAATTAAAAAATCTTTTTTTATAGAAACAAGTTTTCACTGAGACCAATTCAAGGAATCACTATCCATCCACTATCTGAGTGACTGGGCAAATTACTTGATCTCTCAGCATCTCCCTTTTATCATCTTTAAAACATATGGTAATATTATATGATAAAATATATGGTAAAATATATGATAATATTCTCAGCATTTTGTGATTTTAGTGTCATTCTTCATTTACTATTTGCACATTTAATAATTTTCAAAATTACATTTCAAATAAGGACATAGGTTAGTGACTTAAAATAAGGAGCTTAGACCAGGCATGGTGGCTCACACCTGTAATCCCAGCACTTTGGGAGGCCAAGACTGGAGGATTGCTTGAGTCAAGGAGTTGGAGGCCAGCCTCGTCAACCTAGGGAGATTCTGTCTCTACAAATAATTTTTGAAAAATTAGCCAGGTGTGGTGGCATGACCCTGTGGTCACAGCTACTCAAGAGGCTGAGGCAGGAGGATCGCCTGAACCCGGTGGTTGAGGCTACAGTGCGCCATGATTGTGCCACTGCACTCCAGTCTGGGCAACAGAGTGAGACCCAGTCTCAAGAAATAAATAAATAAAATAAAATAGGGAGCTTGAAAAGAGAAAAATGTGAAAGATACTGAGGGGAATGTAAAAGACCTACAACATCATCTAGGAATAAGAGCAACCCAGGGGTTCCATGAGACTCCCTGCAATAAACTAAACAGAAAGAAGATGCAGGATGACCCACGCCAGTGGGTAATCATTGGCAGGCAGCAGCTGCCAATCTAAAAAGCAAAAGCTGTGCTTTTTTAAAATGTGAGTTTATTACAGTGGAGATGCAAATGAGCCTCAACCTCTTTGTCTCTTTAGAAAGGTATTCTTGAGCACTATATGAAAGTAACATATTTACTACCAATTGTTCTTGTTTGAAGGAAAATTCCTGTCTTTTCAGTTAAAAAGATAAGTTTTGTCTAATACAACAGAAGGTTATTCAGCCTTTAAGCAGGATATGCTGCCATTTGCAACAATATGCCTTCCATGGATAAACATGGAGGATGTTATGCTAAGTGGAATACACCAGACACAGAAAGCAAAGTACTGCATGGTCTCTCTTATATGTGAAATCTTTTAAAAAGTAAAATACATAGAAATAAGGAGTAGAACAGTGAATATCAGGGACAGGGAGTGGGAGGAAATTAGGAGCTGTAAGTCAAAAGGTACAAATCTGCAGGCAGGTAGGATGAATAAGTCTAGTATACAGTAGGAAGAATATATATAGTTAATAATATTGCATTCTATGTTGAAAATTTGTGAAGAGAGTAGATTTTAGGTGCTCTTATAACAACAAAAAAGAGGGAACTATGGAAAGTGATGGATATGTTAATTTGCTTAGCTATAGCAATCATTTCACTATGTGCACGTAATATCAAAACATCATGTTGTACATCTTAATATATACAATTAAAAATCATTTTTTAGGCCAAGCATGGTGGCTCACGCCTGTAATCCCAGCACTTTGAGAGGCCAAGGCAAGCTGATCACTTGAGGTGGGGAGTTCAAGACCAGCCTGGCCAACATGGTGAAACCCTGTCTCTACTAAAAATACAAAAATTAGCCAGTTGTGGTGATGTGCACCTGTAGTCCCAGCTACTCAGGAGGCCGAGGCAGGAGAATCGCTTGAACCCGGGAGGTGGAGGTTGCAGTGAGCCGAGATCGTACTACTGCACTCCAGCCTGGGTGACAAAGTGAGACCCTGTCCCAAGAAATAATAATAATTTTTCATAAAAAAAAAATAAGTTCTCACCGAGACCAATACAATGAAACACTATCCATCCACTCTCAGAGTGACCAGGCAAATTACATGATCTCTCAGCATCTCCCTTTTATCATCTTTAAAATGGTGATAATAATATTATCAACCTCCTAGGGTTGTTGAAAATTTAAAAGACTAAATTCCTGGAAAGAATTTAAAAGACTGTCCTACACAGTAAGTCTGCAATAAACATCAGTCAGTAGTAATAGAGGTAGTACTGGTAGCAGCAGCAGTAGCAGCTGCAGCAGCAAAGCTCTATGCTGTAACTATGGCCAATTCTGTTCTAAGTCAAAAAGAGTCAGGCAAATTGCACACAACATCTTCACATGGCACTGTTACTGTGCTCGAAAGATTTGATCTCTCATACTTAACAGTCTGAAGGTAACCTGTTTCTTTGATTTGAAGTTGGTTGAAAAGCATAGATGGTATTGATGACATGTTACATACTTATGGGTCAGCCCAAGAAAGGCCAGGGAACACCTAATTTCCCTAAATAAGAAGAAATTTATGAGGGGATCTCCAAGCCTAGTAACAGTGCCAGGGAGCATGCATTCTGAGGGCCAAAGTCTGCATTTTGAAGGCCAAGATCTGTGTGCTAAGGGCCCTGGGAACAGCTTAGGCTGCCAAAAATGCTGCGTTAGCCAGAAGCCTTGCTGTCCAGCTGAGCCAGCTCTTGGCTAAACCACCAAAGAAGAAAAGAAATTGGATCTCCAAGGCCATTGCATTAGTCCTTATAATTAAAGTTTAAGTCCAAAACCTGGCTAAAGGTTTTGAGTTTACACTTTAATTATTTTTCTTTATGGGGGAAATTAATGGACACATAAAAAATTTAAAACATGCTAAAAACCTACAAAGCTGGCTTACAAAACTGAGTATTTTTATTGTCCACCAATGGAAATGATGGCTGTGTTTCAGTAGAACTTATACATAAATACTGAAATTTGAATTTCGTATCATTTTTACCTGTCATGAAACATTATTCTTCTTTGGATTTTTTCCCCAGTCATTTAAAGGTTTGAAAACTAATCTTAGTTGAAGAGCCATACAGAAACAGGTGGCAGGCTAGATTTGGCAGATGGGTCATAGTTTTGGTGACTCCTGTATTAGTGTAAAAAGAAAATCAAACCTAAAATAATGTGCCCTGATGATTCAAGCTACTTAGAATAGTGTTGTTTTGTTTTAGCAACTGGACATAAAGTGTTTGCCTCTTCACTTTTTTTAACAGGCTCTGGAAATATGGTGGCATCTCATCCCATTGCTGCCAGCACACCCGAAGGGAGCAATTATGGGACAATAGGTATGTCCTACCAGGTCTGTTCATGAAAGTGTTTCCTAATTCTGCAGAGAATATGATAGAAAGGCATTCCAGCCACTAATAACTGGGAATGTGGGCAAAGCAGCTATCCTATGAGATTGTCTTTTATTTGTAAGATGAGTTGCTTGGAGATTTGGAAGCTTCCTCCCAGCTCTAACTTTCTCCAGTTCTGTTGTTCTGTTTCTTGGATCTGCTAGCCCCACTTGGGCAGAATTCCTTCAATGTTTGCCATCTAATACTAAGGCCCCCTAGGGACTTTTTCATATCCAGCCCGGGTTTAGGGCATGAAAGATGTGTCCCAGGGAGCCTGACATCAATTGACCAGTTGTTTCATTCTCAGGTTTCAGTGGAGTAAGGGGCGATCAGAAGACTGAGGCAGTGCTGCAGGTGAACATGGCTGTAGCCTACCAATCCTTCATTTTGGCTGACTTCATAATTGAACCTGCTCACTGCCACCCAGTCGTTCACATGGCAAACCCCAGTGTTCCTTAAGTGGGCTGAAAAGAATGGAATCCTAGACCTGTCTTGTTAGAGTAGAAGCTCATTGAGCTGCCTGCCCTTCCATATTGCTTGTGGACCTATGAATGGTGCTCTTTAAAATGTCAGTGTAGAGGGACTGGGAATCCTGTATTCCTGCCCTATCATTCTGTAACTTTGAGAAGCATGTGGGCTCAGTGCAGACTACTTATTTTTAGTTCTGTTAGAACAGGATTTTTAAGAAACCATCTGAACAGAAGAAATAAAGCGGAAGGTAAGCTCAGCTCATGTGCCCATCAAGCTGCATAAATCTCCATCTGCTCTGGGAAACATTCATGGGAACAGAAGGATTCTTCTTCCTGAGAATGTTGTTTTCATTATATAATCATAGATACAGCATGTGGGTGATTTCTGTGTACAAATACTTTACCCATGAGAAATGTATAGCTGTTAGATATGTGTGGGCTCACACATATATGCAATAGATGCTATACATAGCGATGTGCATGTGTATTTGTATATATTTATGTTCATATTTTAACATATGAAACATGAAATAGAAGTATAATATTATTTTTGTATCCAAATAGTTAACAGAGCAGATGCCCTTAGATTCTAATATGTGTTCAGTCCTGAAGATAGCCAAGTTAAATATAAAAACAGGAGAAGAGGAAAAATAAAAGTCCATTGAGAAGGAATAGAGAGAAAGAACAGGTCTTGTGAATGAGAAGTTCATTTGGATCAACACAGCATTTCCTAGAATGAGTCTGCACTGTGCTTTTTGCAGAGACGAATGGGCTCCGTAGGCTCTCCACGGCTTTTGATGGCAGATGAGTTGTCTCTGTTTCAGATGAGTCAAGCTCCAGTCCTGGAAGGCAGATGTCCTCCTCCGATGGTGGGCCACCGGGCCAGTCAGACACAGACAGCTCCGTGGAGGAGAGCGACTTCGACACCATGCCAGACATTGAGAGTGATAAAAACATCATCCGGACCAAGGTACCCACTCTGCCTCGCCGTACTCTTTGAGAGGGCAGAAAGTTTGGCAGTAGAATAAACTTCAGCAATACCTCAGTTTCCTTTATTTTGTTTCCTTCAGGGAAACCCAAATTTCCCAGAAGACTTAAATCAAATGTACCTACAGACTAAAAGCAATACTCTGTTAATTCGCACTTTTTTTTCTCGCGGAAGAAAGTGAGCACATTAAAGAGCACAGGGCATTAAAACACTCTTAAGGTCTGAAGTGAATGACTGTAGGCAATAAAGAAGGAAGGGATCCAACCAGATTAAAGAAAAGATTCATTTGAGGGGTGTACTGGGGAAAGCTCCCCGGTTCTGTGCATATCATCTTTCAAAAGGAAAGCTAATTTGTTTCTGGCTTGTGATTATTATTTTCTGTCATATCCAGCAAAAGATATGAAGGGGAAACGTACAGTTTCAGCCCTATGTAGTTCAAGAACCACACAGTGGACAGCTCTGAAAGCTGGGAAATCAATTCTTGACATGTAAGAAGCACTCAAGACTCCCAATAAGTTGCCCACATCAGCCAATCCTTAATATTCCAAGGAAAATACTAGGGTTTTTATTAAGGTATCATGGGAAAAACAACATTAAAAGAAAAGTCTTAAATAATTTTAATCAAGTAAATTTGATTTACTTAATCAAATTTAGTAAATTTGAATAATTGTATCGCTTGAATAATTTTAACAATTTTAATTTAAATTGAGACATTTGTTATGTTTGCCTTTGTATCTCATGCATAAAGAGCTGAGTACAGTTTTGCATTCTCTTTTTATTTGGCATTCCAGATGTTCCTTTACCTGTCAGATTTGTCCAGGAAGGACCGGAGAATTGTCAGCAAAAAATATAAAATTTATTTTTGGTAAGTAGATGACCAGTAGGACCATGGTTCCCTTAAATAAACATAGTTTTCTTAGTCAGAGCCACAACCACTTAGGCACAAGGTTTTAGTGTTTAATGAGGCACAGGCATAGGGAATGATGTTACCAGCCAACTATCAGTAGACCTGCAATGGCCACACACATGGACACAGCCTCCCTCCCAGCCAAGAGGCTGAGCTGCCTTGCAAGAAATCTTCTCTCCCCTCAGAAACCCCCAAGCTGAGTATTCTACTCTTGTGACAGCTCCTCCCCTTATTTTCTCCTGGAGGATGCCCTTTTACTTGCATGCAGATCTTAGAAGGAAATAAGGGACAATGGGGCCACATGAAATTTCATAGTGGGACCATCAGTTTGGAAACCACACCCTTTCACGTGATCCGTCACTCATTACTTACACTCTGATGTTTAATCTAACAGCAGCCTAAAGAGATAGGCCCTCATAAATGATTTGGTTAAACCAGAAGCAGGTACTACTTACACTGTTTTACAAATGGTTGTAAGAAAAGAAAGAAAAAAGAAACCCTAATATTTGTTGGGTACCAATCATTAACCTTTTAAAAAAATACATTTCAGTTAGTATTTTCAGTTTTTGCCTCTGCACCCTAACTAAAAGTATCCAAGGGAAGCTTTTCTTTACTTCTTTAATTCCCCTTTAGACAAGATACTGTGTACCAAATGCCCCAATGCAAGAGAGGGGAGAGGACAACTGGAGAAACAAGAACCACATAATCAGCTTCTGGTTACTTTTGCAAGTTAATTATGGACTTATGGGGTGGAAGCATTCTTTTAAAAATATTAACCAAAGACTCCACTGTTCATTTGAAAATAAGCATTTCTGGTTCTTTCTGCCTGCATAGGAACATCATCACCATTGCTGTGTTTTACGCGCTGCCCGTGATCCAGCTGGTCATTACCTATCAGACAGTAAGTGCTGCCCCAGCCCCAGCCCCAGAGTCCCAGCTTTCTTTCTGCAGGGAGAGTCTCCACTGTGACTGACAGAGAGAGGTACAACTTAGGATCCATTCAGGAATTTCCCATTGGGGTTCCAATTGGAATTCACTATTGCTTCCTCTTTTTTTTTTTTTTTTTTGACGGAGTCTCGCTCTGTCACCCTGGCTGGAGTGCAATGGCACGATGTCGGCTCACTGCAACCTCTGCCTCCTGGATTAAAGCAATTCTCCTGCCTCAGCCTCCCGAGTAGCTGGGATTACAGGCATGTGCCACCATGCCCAGCTAATTTTTTGTGTATTTTTAGTAGAGGTGGGGTTTCACCATGTTGACCAGGCTGGTCTCAAACTCCTAACCTCAGGTGATCCGCCTGCTTCAGCCTCCCAAAGTACTGGGATTACAGGCATGAGCCACCACACCCAGCCCATTGCTTCATCTTTAACTGACCTTTCAATCTAGTTCCCAATTGTTTTATCACAAAGGGAGCTGCAATCTCTTGTATTATTTTGTCTACCAGTCTGAAAGTATTACCCTGTGCTTATTCAGTCATGATATCTATCCACTGCATCTGTTACTTAACACTCTGAGCTTTCTGATCATTATGGGACAATGAGTAGAGTAAATAAAGTTCCAGACTAAAACAAAGGAACCTGATAGCTAATCTAGCCTGTGCCTTCCCATTGAAGGTAAATTTTTTTTGTAAAATTAAAAACAGCTTTGTGGCTGGGCACGGTGGCTCACATCTGTAATCCCAGAACTTTGGGAGGCCTAGGCAGGTGGATTGCCTGAGCTCAGGAGTTTGAGACCAGCCTGGGCAACATGGCGAAACCCTGACTCTACCAAAAATACAAAAAAATTAGCTGAGTGGTGGCACACACCTGTGGTCCCAGCTACTCGGGAGGCTGAAGTGGGAGGATTGCTTGAGCCTGTGGAGGTGTAGATTGCAGTAAGCTGACACTGAGCCACTGCACTCCAGCCTGAGTGACAGAGTGAGACCGTGTCTCAAGAACAAAAAAAGGAAAAAAAAGAAAAAAAAAAAGCTTCATGAAACTAACAAAATATTACAGTAAAAGGAAAATGTAAAATAAAAACAAGCATTTTTTAAGCAAAAATAATATGAAAGTAGTTTGAGAATCCTCATTCCTCCATAGAATCCTAGGCCAAGGTCACTTATATGGCCTTCTATAGAATTTATTACACAGTAGAAAGCCCATTTACAATAGCAAAAAGCTGAAGTTGCTTCTAATGCAGTGGCCCTCAGACTTTGCTCTGCATTAAGGTCACCTGGGAAGCTTTTACAAATCCCAGTGTCCAGGCTGTACCCCGTCCCAATTAGATCAGAGTCCCTGAGGGTGGGGCCAGGCATCTGTAGTGTTTAAACCCCCAGTGATTCCAACATACAGCCAAGTTTGTGTGTTAATGATCTAATAATATTTAGTCAATTGCATACTTATTATGCAGTGAGAAAAAGGACTTCATGAGGTTTGAGCACCACTGTTTATAATCTAAATCTTCTCTGCATACTTTGGGGGACTGTCAGAAGATACACCTGGACTGTGGTTTGGGAAAGTTCTTGACAGAGATGGTGATAAATAGGGAAAGCTGAACACACATCTCCTCGTGTCTACCTGCCTCATGTTTACCATTTCTACCCAGAGGATGGGACAGCTCTATATCCCCTCTGCAGTAACCTAGAAAATAAGACATAGTGTGACAGTCCTGAAAGGCCCCAATGTTCGCATTCTTTCGTAGTCCTTTTATCATAACAAAGGAAATGCAATTGGATGAATTCCACCTTGGGGCTGCATAAGAGGGTACACAGAATATTCCCATTCAAAGCAAGATGGTAACTTTTTTGTAAAAAAAGTGCCTGTGCTGTGTAAGGTGGCAGATAATGGCCCATCTGTGCAGAGGAGCACTGGTTACATTGTAAACTAGTGACAGTGCATCTCCGTGAGCCCTGTCTGCTCTTTGTGTTCCTGCTGGGGCTCAGAGGACGGAGGAAAACCACATTTCCTCTTCTCACTCTTGATTTTACAGGTGGTAAATGTCACTGGCAACCAGGACATCTGTTACTACAACTTCCTCTGTGCTCACCCCTTGGGCGTCCTGAGGTAAACCCAGTCCTCTGGTTGCCCATGAGGCATTTAGAGATGCCTTTCTGTCTAATGTTGTGATTTCGGTTTTTAAAAATACTAAAAACAACTGTGGAAAACGACCCTATTCAAGGGTAAAAAGGAACTAAACCAAGAAGTTGAGACCAGGTATGCTCCTCCCGTTCCTGTATGTGGTTCTCAGGAAACATTCCTTAGCATACTGCCTGCTGAGATGAGGGCAGTGACATTTTTTAAAATGTCAGATCTCTAGCTCTGGTGGCATTTGTTCACAGGCATGAGCTGGCAACCTATTGTCTCATTCGATCCATTAAACAACCTCGTGAGATAGACATTACTATGATCCCTATTTTTAGATGAAGGCAGGTGAGGATTTGCTGAAGGTCCCTCAGCTGCTAAGTAGTGCAGGACGCAAACCCAGCCCTGTGGCCTCCCAGGCCATGCTCTAGCCACCAGAACTTGGTGACGTGGAAGAAGCATTGCCTGGGAGTTGGGAGTCTAGCCTCTTGCTCCAGAGCTGAACCAGCGTTCGTTTCCTCAAATAAAGCTGCTGGCTATGATTGGCTGACACTTACCTGAAATTCACAATTAGAGAGCTGAACATTGACACACACGGGTCCACCTGTGAGAACTCACTCTCACGGTGTAGCTGAAACACTTGCCTGTCTTTGAAGCAGCTGTCTTTCCCAGGATTCATACTATACAAACGCCACTGGGATAAGAGAGGATGGGAGGGTGTTAGGAAGCCAAGCAGGCACCCTTGAGAGGAAACAGTCACGTTGTCACAGGCTAAGTAAGCATCATAAAATGAAGGAGTTAGGTTAAAGAGGATTTCTAATACTTTTCTGATCTTGAAACCTTATGGAAAGGTTAATGGAAAACATTCATGCTGAATTCATTCATTCCTTCATGCATCATGTATTCTCTGGGTCCCTTTGATGGTCTTGACTCTCTCATGGTCTCTCACTCATCCCTGTAGTGCCTTCAACAACATTCTCAGCAATCTGGGCCACGTGCTTCTGGGCTTCCTCTTCCTGCTGATAGTCTTGCGCCGCGACATCCTCCATCGGAGAGCCCTGGAAGCCAAGGACATCTTTGCTGTGGTGAGGAAAGAGTGGGTAGGAGCTAGGAAGGGTTATGGATCCAAACAGGATCTGCAAAGGGGTGGGACATCTGGCTTAATGGTGTGATGATTTATTATGTGTAATAAACTACATGAGGCCAGAAGCATGTGCTTCCAGATTAGTGACTTGGTGGATATGGCACTATTTAGTATCTATTGACCACCCTTTCTCCTTTTTCAGGAGTACGGGATTCCCAAACACTTTGGTCTCTTCTACGCTATGGGCATTGCATTGATGATGGAAGGGGTGCTCAGTGCTTGCTACCATGTCTGCCCTAATTATTCCAACTTCCAATTCGGTAATTAGAACTTATATCTACTATACAGATTTGAATCGTCAGTCTTATCCTGGAACCCTCCCCAAAAATGCCAAAGTCATGCTTGCAAAGATCAAATGGCATTTTATGTGAGCTGAAGAGATCAGAGAGGACCTCCACACAGAGCATGACCTAATTGAGCAGTTAGACTGCTTTGGGATGAAAGTTATGGAGAACCCAATTTATGCTGGATTGAATAATAAGGACATCCAGATGTAGAAAGGGCTTGTGGTTGATTTATCTGGTGACTCTGCCTTCATTTCTCTGTGATCCCTTTGATTGTACCCAGCCTGTATGTTGGTTTTATCATCAGGCTATCTTCCCTGCTGGTGGCAAAAGTAACTATAGCAGCCCCTGGCTTCGTAGTTCCACCCAACAATTCCAGAGGAGGCGGCAAGCTGGGTTCCAGAAGCCTTCAATTAAGAGCAAGGAAGTTGTTTTTTGAGAAAGCCACAGATAATATCCTTTCACATCTCAGTAGCTTATACAGTCATGAGCCCATTCTTTTTTTTTTTTTTTTTTTTTTTTGACAGAATCTGGCTCTGTCGCCCAGGCTGGAGTGCAGTGGCATGATCTGAGCTCACTGCAATCTCTGCCTCAGGGGTTCAAGTGATCCTCATCCCTCAGCCTCCCCAGTAGCTGGGACTACTGGTGCGCACCACCACGCCCAGCTAATTTTTGTATTTTTTTTGGTAGAGATGGGGTTTCACCATGTTGGCCGGGCTGGTCTCAAACTCCTAACCTCAGGCGATCCTCCTGCCTCTGCCTCCCAAAGTGCTGGGATTACAGGCGTGAGCCACCACACCCGGCCCCATGAGCCCATTTTTGAATCATTCTCTAAGCGCTGGTTAGCTCAGACCCAGGTTGCTTCACCAATCAGCAAAAAAGGTGGGACTATCTTTAGACCAATCAGCCCTGTCCCTGGAGCCAAAGGTGGGATTAGCTTTCCTGAAGCAAAGGGGCTGAGACAGTGTGCATTTCTGAATTGAAAGCGGGTAGACATTGAGTTAATATTGAGATGTTATTAAGAAGGAAGAAAGGAAAAGCTGATGCTGTCTAGCAAGTAACGATGTCCTCCACTCTCAAGGATGAGGATTTTTTAAACGGTCGTTTAATGTTTGTGCTCTGGCTTCTGGTGTTAACTCTGAGCACCACAGAACTCTGTCGCATTTAATTTTTTTAATTAGGAAACATTTTCAATAGAGAAAACTGCAGAGAATGATATCATTCACCACTCAGAATGAACAAATGTCAACATTTTTAAATATTTGCCTAGATCTACTTTTTAAAGAATAAAGCACTGTGATAAAGTTGAGGTCCTGTTTTGACGCACTTTCAAACTTAATCTCCTCCTTCCTCCCCTAAAGGCAATAACCATGATTAATTTTATATTTACCTTCCCGGTTTGTTTTTATAATTTTTCTACATTTGTAGCAAATTAATAGTAGTTTATCATTCTGTGTTCTGCAGCCTTTTTTCATTCAAGAATATGTTTTCAAGATTTATCAATATTATATCAAGGACATGTAGTGCATTCATTTTTAAGGGTTGTCATATTATATAACAAAAAGTATCACATTTATCAATTCCTCTATTGAACAGCATTTAAATGTTGCCTGTATTTTGCTATTATAGATAACACTGCAGTGATCATCCTTCTATATGTCTCTTTGTATGTATGTGAGAGAGGTTCCTTGGGATACCTAGAAGTAGAATTTTTCAGTTACTTGGTTTGTGCACCTTCTATTTTACCAAAAACTGACAAATTTCTCTCCAGAGCATTAATTCCCATTCCCAATAGCTGTGTGAGACTTCCCATTCCCCAGATCATCACTAACGTTTATTACTGTCAGACACTTAAAGTTTTTATCAAGTTTTTGAGTAAAATGGAGGCATTGCATTGTTATCTTAATTTGCATGTCCACAATTGTAATGCAGTAAGCTCCATTTTATTTCTAGCTATTTTCCATCACTAGGCTATAAAGCTATAAATGTGCAGTAATCAATGTGATTATATTTTAGGGTGCTGAGAACGACCTCCCACACCCATCTGGGGCTCATTTTATGGTCACACTGCCTACATTATCACCATTAGGAATTCTTTTGTTATAATTGTTGAACACCAGCATCTAAAACGCAAGTGGGGGTAGTTGTTTGTTTATCATATCAGACACTCCTTCTGTGAAAGAGGAGTTATTTATTTATTATATCAGATGTTTTTCTTCTGTGAACTAAAGGGCAGCCTTAGAGAGGTTTAGAAGTGGAGTACGTGCGGTCTCCTAGAGAATGTGCCAAGAGGCTGACATGTTAGAGGTCTCCACACAGCCTGCGGGTAGAAAATAGTCCATGGATTGAAGTGAGGGGTACTCAGAGTCTGAAGAAAAATCTAGAAAATATCATCTGTCTGTCACCTACTGAATCCTGATCATCTGGCTCCTCCTTTGGGTCCTCAGACACCTCCTTCATGTACATGATCGCTGGCCTGTGCATGCTGAAGCTCTATCAGACCCGCCACCCAGACATCAATGCCAGCGCCTACTCTGCCTATGCCTCCTTTGCTGTGGTCATCATGGTCACCGTCCTTGGAGTGGTGCGTCCCCCACCTTCTTCCACCTGGCTCTCGAAAAGTGCCCCCCTAGGTCCAATAAACAAACAACAATCAAGTGAACGGGTTTGGATTAACCAAAATCCTCAGTTCATGACACAATTTCATCTCATGACACAATTTCATCTCATGACACACTTTCATCATTGGCCCACTCATGGCACACTTTTACTTAGTTATTTAGTTTTTTTGTTTGTTTGTGAGACTCTGTCACCAGGCTGGAGTGCAGTGGCATGATCTCAGCTCACCGCAACCTCCACCTCCCGGGTTCAAGCGATTCTCCTGCCTCAGCCTCCTGAGTAGCTGGGACTACAGGCGCCCACCACCACGCCTGGCTAATTTTTGTAGAGACAGAGTTTCACCATGTTGGCCAGACTGGTCTCAAACTCCTGACCTCATGATCTGCCCACCTCGGCCTCCCAAAGTGTTGGGATTACAGGCGTGAGCCACCGTGCCCGGCCTAGTTGGTTATTTTAATAATGTATTAGGCACCTGTAAAAAGACCACTGGATAATTTTAATATAAAGCTAGACCCGACTCATGTGAAAGTGGAATAGGGGTATATAAGCTGACTGGAGAGACTGAGGGGAAAAAACAGAAACCACCTTCTAAATACGCATGGGAAACACGTGTTGCCTGTTTTGGTTATTTGAAGTTCATTCGCCCCCACTTTAGACCCGTTGCCCCTTCACCATTGCTATTTGGCTGCCTCTCCTATTTCCTTTTTCCATTTTCATTTGGCCCAGTAGCCTTTTTTTTTTTTCCTGTCCCTTGGGAGTAAGATCCATGGGAGTTTCCAGAGGGGGAGAAAAATAGAATGTGCACACAGCTGTTTTTGACTCCTTACACATACAGGAGAGAGGATGATTTTGATGAGTTTTCTAGGGAAAACCTCAGATGAAGGTAACTTCCATCTTTACTCCTAGGTGTTTGGAAAAAATGACGTATGGTTCTGGGTCATCTTCTCTGCAATCCACGTTCTGGCCTCGCTAGCCCTCAGCACCCAGATATATTATATGGGTCGTTTCAAGATAGGTGAGTCACCTGTTAATTCTATACTAATCACACGAATCAACTTTAATGAAAAAGCAGACACTGCCTTTACTTATGCTGAATGAAAGTGTCACTGGTCACCGTGAACACATGCTCTGAATTCTATGCCATGTTTAATAGCACATATTCGCTCCAAGAGCTTCCTCTCCCTTATAGGATAGTGATAAGCTATTACCCCTAGTTCTATTTTCAGCTGAGAAACTAAGGTTTGCCACACCTCAGAGATGAGTTGTACCTCCAACCCCTGGTTGCAAACACTTTACAGTCTGCCAAACTTTGACTTGTATTAGAGAATGGTATGATCATACCACTAGTTCCACCTAGAGGAACATTTTTCAGTTTGCAGCATTCAAAGGGAGCATTTCTCTAACCATGCTAAATGGTTGTCAAGAATGAATTATATATTTTCAGATTCTAGGGCTGGAACTTTTGAGACCAACTTGCCAATCTTAGAGGCAGGACACCTGCTGAGCTCCCTCCAACTTATCAGAGAGCATTGAATGTTCTACAGAAATCAGCTTGTGATCTGCTGTTGATCAGTCATCATATATGGGAACAGATTCAAGTGGTTTTAGAGCATTTAAATTTTAAAAAATCATTTTAAGTTCCAGGAAGTCAGACTTAAATATCCTTTTGTCTATTTCAAGGCAAATTATTATATATAAACATAGGCAAACTTCTGATATTAACAAAGCCCAGAGCAAAAGTCCAAATAAAAGCCTGCATAGCTTATGTGTAAGAACATCAAAGTCATAAAGCAGACTAAAAAGCTATTAAATACATGAAAGGAGGGAAGAAGGGAGGGAGGGAAAAATATACCTCCATTGCAACTAAATTAGAAGGCCTAGGTTCAAATTTAAAATTCTTGGTTTCTCAAAGAACACTTTTTTCTACCTCTGGTTGTGTCTTAAGGAGTCTCACAAGTGTGCATGTGGCACCTTTGCCCTACATCCAATGTTCATCCACTTCCCCCACAAATAGCCACCACTTGGCCATTCCCTGCCCCTAGAGGTATGCCCTAGTGGTACCATCTGCCCTCAGGAGGATACACAAGGGAAGGGGGCTATGCAGGCCTTAGAGCAGGCTCGGAGCCTTCTGGGCAGGTAGACACTTCTGGCTCCCTGGAATTCAGAATTTCTAGAAGGAAAGGAGGAGTCCTTTGGCCCTGCAGACTCCTCACTCATGAGGGAATAAGGCCTCTAAAATATGGGACCCTCTTGTCCAGGTCTAAGAGCAATTCTACATAAACAAATGGCTTTAAGACTAGAAGACCAAATAGAGCAATTGCTCGTTTTCAAAGGTTAATTCTTTTGCCATGGTCAGTAGATTTACCTTTGGCATGAACATAGCCAGCATACCTCCAAATCCCCCAGTTACTTGAGCCAGTTGTGTAGAACATTTGGCAGGGCACGCTGGTCATGATCCTCCACCAGACAGAAGGTAAGTGAAGTCATACAAACTAAACTTTCAAAAGGAAAATAATTGGGAGCATTGTTGTTCTGGTTTCTTCCAGAGTTGGAAAAATAAACTTGAGTGCAGATATATGCAATGGTAGTAACCACTAATACATAGAGGAGCTTTAATATATTTATACCACCTTTGCCTTATGCAATTTTGCAATGCCAAATTATCTTATCTTTTAAAAGAAGTGAAATTTAGCATATCATATTATGACCATGGAATAATTTGTTAGGGTCCCAACAGGAAAAAGATGTCACACACAAAGATAGAGAAGGATTTATTAACAGAAGTACTATTCACAAGATGTGGATGGGGTAGAGGGGAATGAAAGGGATACCGTGGAAACTTGGGGTTAGCAGCAGTGAAGCTTTTACATCTATAAGCCCAAAAGGACAGGGAAGACATGGTTCCCAAAATCTAGAAGGAGAGAGTTACAGGGAAAAGTCACTCTGAAAGGAACAGTGACCTTTCATGGACGTTCTGACCAGCCTGCGGTAACCTCACAGGGAGGACGCCGGCAAAATAAGTCCTCTGAGCTCACTCTCCTTCCTTTGTCCCTGCAGTCTCCTGCCGGAATTCCCCATTGTCCAAGGAAAGTCAGGGAATCCACTGATATCATCCACACAGGCCCGCCTCCCCAGTGTGGTGGGTCCCCAGGAGAGAGATTCATGGCAAGTGGGCCTAGTAGGGCAAATGGGAACTAGCCAGCCTGTAGTTTAACTGAATATTTTCCATTTCCGTACCCATGGAGTCTTCCCCAGGTGGTTACAGATGTACCAGAGTCAAAAGAAAACTTTCTATTTCGTCGTTGACAATGATTGTGTCTAAATTTAGTCCAAAGCCAGGAAGTTGGATTCATGGACAGTGTTCAGCTGACTCCAGCCTTTCTACCCATGTCATAAGTTGCCTTTGCTTTCTAATCACATGTCCTTTCTCTGTGGCCCCTCGGGCTACACAAGCAAATAAATGTGGACACAGGAAAGGCAGCAGCAATGAGGAAAAACATTTCATCATTAGCTCTCATAAACCGCAGAGCTGCTTCCCCAAATCACTACTGTGTCCCCCAGTCCCAGAGCTCTGGAAAAGGACCTCAGGGATTTCTCATGAGAGAGGCTGGATTATAAATTGCAAGCAGTGCACAAAAGTAGACAGAGAGAGAGAAAAGTCTCAATTCACTCTTTGAGGATTTGAAGACTTCTGAATGTTTGAGACAAGCAGAAAGATCCTATGTTCTCTTTGACAAGTAAGCATTACTTTTATAATCAGAAAGCAAAATTAAAGTCATCCATCTTGAGAAAAAATAAAATGACCAGTAGTTTACATGTTTGGCTACTTTCTTACACGTCTCTCTTTTTTTTCTCCTTTCTTCTCTGCTTCCTACTGATTCAGATGTGTCTGACACAGGTAATGTTCAGCCACCCTTTCCAGGGGTCTAGATTGTTTTTGTATCAAAGTGATCCACCTGGCTGTCCTGGCAGCCCTGCTCCCTGAACAGCCTCTTTCAGGCCGGGCAGACTCCGTGGGAGTGGGGAGCCAGAGAGAGGCTCAGAGGGGAGGCTGCACTCCACCCTAGCCTGCTCCATGCCTTTTCTGGGATGCCACAGAGACAGGTTTCTCCCTCCTGGTTAAACTGACCACGGGGGTAACCTTGAGGAGGAGAAGGATTCATAACAGAGCTGAGATCCACATTCTGGAAAATGTTTGCTTTGGGCAGACCCAGACTGGCATTCGATATCTGTGGTGTGGACAGCTCACAGAAACACAGCCCGTCTTTGACCCTGACTGTTCATGTAACATTATAACACACACACTCGCTGCATTTCATATCATCCTTTTCAACTGTGCTTAAAAAAACTTTCCTGTCTTTTTCTCCCCATCTTAACTTACCTTCACTTGATGATTGTTTCAGTTCAGATAGATTTTCTGAACATGCTCAGTAGAGCCTAGGGTCCTTTAGTTCAATTGTTACTAACTTATAACCGCATTGAGAAATAACAGATCTGAATCTTTACAAGCTAAGATTTCCCATCCTCTAGAGAGAGCATGTGTTTTAAAGTAGATTGAGGGGACCCATAACATCTCTACTATAAAGAAAACACCACTAGAGTAAACTGTAAACAAAAAGAAGCTTAGCTGCAGGAGACAGAATAAGGGTCCACCAGCCACCCATGTTATTTGTGAGTGCTTGTTGTTCATGTCCATCTTCCTTGCCTTTCTGCTGTGTAATGCACAGATATGGCATCCCTCTATGACGATACCATTTTTCAAAGCAAATACTTATTGCGCACCTATTAGGTGCAAAGCATTCTAATGCATTTTAATGAAGTGAGGATGACATCATTCTGGCTCCAAAACCTTGGGCCACTTCAGAGTATTTGTATTTTTGTTGACTAAGCCTTCTCACCATGCATTTGTATTATCAGCAGATTTGGGAATTTTCCGGCGGGCTGCCATGGTGTTCTACACAGACTGTATCCAGCAGTGTAGCCGACCTCTATATATGGTATGTGCATGTTCCTGTGTTCTTTGGCCCTGTCCCAGAAAGCAGGGGAATAGTAGGAGGAACAGGCTTGGGGCAGTCACTCACGGCTCCTAAAATCAAGAAGGCCAGATGGCCCAGGGTGGCTAAAGGCCCATTAGTGGGAGAAGGAGCATGGTGCTTATTCTTTTTCATACAAGTCAAGCTAACATGGTCCCATTTTTATAAACAAAATATTTGCTAGTATATTAAAAAAGGAGAAAATACATCTACCCAACTGTTAAACAGTGATGATTACGGACACATGGTGGGGAATAACACACACTGGGGCCTGTTAGAGGGTGGGGCGAGGGGATAGCATGGGAGGAGGGAGAAGATCAGGAAGAATAGCTAATGAATGCTGGGCTTCATACCTGGGTGATGGGATGATCTGTGTAGCAAAACCACCATGGCACACGTTTACCCATGGAACAAACCTGCACATCCTGCCCATGTAACCCTGAGCTTAAAATAAAATTTGGAAATAAAAAATAATAAAGAATTTTTTTTTTTTTTGAGACGGAGTTTTGCTCTTGGCCCAGGCTGGAGTGCAGTGGCGCGATCTTGGCTCACCGCAACCTCCACCTCCTGGGTTCAAGCAATTCTCCTGCCTCAGCCTCCTGAGTAGCTGGGATTACGGGCATGTGCCACCACACCTGGCTAATTTTGTATTTTTAGTAGAGACGGGGCTTCTCCATGTTGGTCAGGCTGGTCTTGAACTCCCAACCTCAGGTGATCCGCCCACCTTGGCCTCCCAAAGTGCTGGGATTACAGACGTGAGCCACCGTGCCCTGCCCAATAATGAAATTTTTTAAAAATAAAATAAAAATAAATGAACAGTGATCATAGCTATGGGGAGGATCAAGACAGTGTACCCTTATAAATAATCATCCAAAGAGGTACCCTTGTGGAAGTGAAAGGGCACACTGCTAATAATTCCACCAGGACAGCAGGTGTAAACCAGGACTATCTCGAGAAAACTGGGACCCGTGTTCACTCCAGTCATGTCCATTACGAACTTACACTTCCACATTATGCATTTCTGTATTGCTTGATTTTCACAATGAGCAAGAATTTTTTATAACTTGTGCTTATTGCTTGATGGTTAAAACATACTTCAGTGTATTATATATTTCTATAGTGAGCCCAGAGCTCAGGGCCCTGGTCCCAGCTCTCTCTTGGCTCTCTGGTCAGTGATCTTGAGAAGGCTACCTTCCTCCTCTGAGCCCACTGCCCCAGGCTTTACAAAGTGCTGCAGTCAGAACTAGTGATGCTAGTATTGCCTGTCACACAGGGATTTAGCAAGTACCTGCTAATCCTTTATCATCAGAATATTTTTGCTAAAGGAATATGGAAATCCGTGAGCACTCTAGAGCTTGGGCAGGAGCTATAAGCACTAAAAACAAGGGAATTGAGTCTGGAGGGTTTATTCAGGTAAGAATGAAAAAGTCCATCAGGACTTGTGAGTATTTTGAGAGGCAAGTTCTCCTGCTTACCTGTGAAACAGGAGAGGCAAGTAATGTTTTCGTTTTTTACATTAATTGATAGAGGCTTCCTTTTTTAATAGACTTTATATTTTTTTAGAGCAGCTTTACATCCACAGAAAAATTGAGCAGAAGTACAGAAATTTCCCATATACCCTCTGCCCCCAACTCCCCACATGCACAGCCTCCCCCACTATTGACATTTCCAAACCACAGTGGTACATTGGTTACAGTTGATGAGCCTACACTGACACATCATTACTACCCATGTAAAGTTTACGTTACATTAATGCTCATTCTTGATGTACACTCATGGGTTTTAACAAGCATGTTGACATGTACCTACCATTATAGTATCATACAAGACAGTTCCACTGCCCTAAAAATCCTCTGGGCTCGGCCTATTCATCCCTCCCTCCCTCTTAAGTCCTCACAACCACTAATCTTTTTTCTATTGGCAGAGTTTTTCTTTTTCCAAAATGTAATTGGAATCATACAGTATATAGCCATTTCATACTGCCTTCTTCCACTTAGTAATAAGCATTTAAGTTTCCTCCATGTCTTTTCATGGCTTGATAGCTCATTTGTATTTAGCACTGAATAATATTCCATTGCCCGGATGTGGGATGTGCCACGTTTATTTATTCACCCACTAAAGGGCATTTTGATTGCTTCCAAGTGTGGGTAATTATGAATAAGCTGCTATAACACTCATGTGTAAGTTTTTGTGTGGACGTAAGTTTTCAACTCCTTTTGTTAAATATCAAAGGGAGCTATTGCTGGATTACATGGCAATCATAAGTTTAGTTTTGTAAGAAACGCGAAACTGTCTTCCAAGTGGCTGTACCGTTTTGCATTCCCACCAGCAATGAGTGTTACTGTTGCTCCACATCCTCGCCAGCATTTGGTGTTGTCACTGTTTGAGGATTTTAGCCATTCTAATAGGTGAATTAATTTTTTTAATGAAGTTATTTCCTCCAAATTGGATGGATCACCTAAAAGACAAAGAATTACTACTTTTAAATAGTAGATAAGTGGTTATGCAAATTAAAGTATGATCAAATCTCTCCTAGAAGTTTTAAGTAGTATGCAAAGAACAGGGACAGATTGTGAATAAATCTCTGTCAGAGTAATTGTCATTTATTTGTTTGTTTGTTTATTTATTTTGGGACAGAGTCTTGCTCTATCACCCAGGCTGGAGTGCAGTGGCAAAATCTCGGCTCACTGCAACCTCTGCCTCCCAGGTTCAAAATCTTCTCGGGCCTCAGCCTCTCAAGAAGCTAGGACTACAGTTGTGTGCCACCACACCTGGCCAATTTTTGTATTTTTAGTAGAGACAGGCTTTCACCATGTCAGCCAGGCTGGTTTCAAACTCCTGACCTCAGGTAATCTGCCCGCCTTAGCCTCCCAAATTGCTGGGATTATAGGCGTGAGCCACCACACCCGGCCTATTGTCCTTTAAAATTGACCTTTTCTCCCTATTTTCTCCCCTACAAGAGTCTATATTGTAGACACAGGAACCTGTGAGTTTCAGGACCACCTTGAAACCAGAGTAATGGGTACAAAATTAACTCCCTACAGCTGGGGCCTGAGAGTTGCAATAGTGGCTACCAAGTAGTACACCCCAGAAAAACAGTGCTCAATTACATAGTACCAGTGACAGAATTCTCTCAATTCTGTAATCAACACATACCACCAGCCTCTCCACTGAGAAATGGGCCCATGGGCCCAGCTCCACTAAACACTGGGAAGAAATAGAGTCCTGCTTTGCTCACCACATTTTCTTTCTCAGGGATGAAGTCAGGTCTATTTGCAGTTAAAAGCCTTGCCATTTAGTCTTTGTATACGATTAGTGTCAGATCATAGGCAAGGCACTCTTAGAACCACAGAAAATTATTTTCACCAATGCAATTGTTTTCCCATAGTTGATACTTCTACACAGTAGGTTAAAAGAAAAGTAGGCTGTGCAGCCTCTCATTTGATGTTTTCTTTCCTCTTTTCCAGGATAGAATGGTGTTGCTGGTTGTGGGGAATCTGGTTAACTGGTCCTTGTAAGTAGTCTTATGAAAACATGTTTTTGCCTTTATTAATGTCAGTAACACTGTGGTTTAGCTTTCCTTGACTGTCATTTTTACAAAGAAATCTGAAATTAAGGAGAAGGTAGGACTGCTTGTTCTAGAGACTCAAAAAAAGGTAGTAGGACATTCTCGTGTAGCAATTGTAGCCTCTCTTAAAACACTGATGCATTGAGTTCATTTGTTCAACAAGACAAACATCAAAACTTGTTAAGTCTATGTGGATACATTGGATAGAAAGATGGGATGGACAGATGGATGGATAGTTGAATGGTTAGATAGATAGATAGATAGATGATAGATAAATAGATAGATAGATAGATAGATAGATAATTATACCACTGATTGCAAACATCCAACATAGCTTTAAACTCTTTCACAGAATTTTCATAAAGACTACCCAGTAGGCCTTCTTTTCTGTAGAAATTTTTCTTTTACTAAATGTGTGTGTGTGTGTGTGTGTGTGTGTGTGTGCAAGTCCCTCTTTTATTTCTTTCCCTCCAGTCTCTTTCTTTCTACCTACATCATTCTTCTTCCTCTTTCCCCATGGCCTTTGTTCCTCAAATGGCTCAAAATAGAACAGTACAACAGATGTGTATTTTTGCTAGCCACCATTATTTTATGCAATCTATCCTCTTATACAGTTGAATGAGTAAAATATTTTATTGATCACTCAAACCATAAGTAAGTTTAACTGCTTTTATTTGTAGCTCCTAGATGATGAGCTCCTCAGGGTCAGTGGCCTGTGATTAAAAAAAAAAAAATGATTCTGTAATCCCAGTGAACAGTAAGGAATGAAGAGGCATGCCTTCAGAGGAGGCCAGAATCAAGTCATGAGAATCTGAGTCCTATCTGGGGGGCATGTGCTTCTGGAAGAAGCTTCCCATGTTGTCACCCCAGGGATTGCCTCAGGATAAGATGTATACCATTTAACGATTCCTCCTTTACTTGGGGGCAGGTCAAGATGAGAGGATTCTTGGGCAGTGGTCTCTTCTTGACCACCCTTCTAGCAGACTCCACAGTCCTGGTGGTCCTGAAAGAGAGGGCAATGGGAGGAGAAAAGGGACCAACCTCTTGATAATGACCAACCTTTGACTATGATTCCAGGGGCTCAGAATCACTTGGCTTGTCTCCGTCTCTCACATAAGCAAAACCACATCCACGATCTGCTCACAAGACAAGGCAAATGGCCTCTCTTCACAGACAGCTCTGTGGAACAAAAGGGCCTCTAGGGATGGAGGTGCAATGACAGACTTACACCGTGATTATCTGATAGTGGGCTACCTCCTTCCCAGTTGCTTCATAAAGACATGGAATGATTTCCCATGAATGATATTTTAAAAAGAATTACTTTCGTATGGTCCTGAGTTATATATAGGCATAGAGATGTATGTACATACATATGCATATAGAGAGAGAGACAGAGAGAAAATGACAAAGCAAATGTAACAAAACGCTAATAACTAGAGAATCTGAAGGAAGGATGTACAAGAGTTGCCTGGTATACTAAAGATTTCAAAATCTGGGAGAAGAAAATTTTCTGCATTATACAGAACAAAGTCACTTGAGGGAGGCCAGGTGCAGTGGCTCACACTTAGAATCACAACACTTTGGGAGGCCGAGGCAGGAGGATTGCTTGAGCCCAGGAGTTTGAGACCAGTCTGGGCAACATGGTGAGACCCTCTCTCAAAAAAAAAGAAAAAAAAAAAGAACGAAGTCAGTTGGAATTCAAAATGAACAAAGAGAGTCCATTAATAGTACTTTACACTTTAAATACTTAGGAATAAATTTTGAGAGATGTACACAATCTTTCTGTAGAAAATGTAATTATCTTATTAGAAGCCATAAGGAAAATTTAGCTAAATGAAGAGAGACGTCAGGTCCTGGATGGAAAGATTAACTACTGCAAAGGTATCCTTTCTCAAGGTAATGTAAACATTTAGAGTTAGAATAGTAATTAAGTTAATAAGGTTTTATTCTAAAATTTATTTGCTAGTTAGGCAAAAATTTCAAAGATCTTTGAAAAAGAGATTAACAGAAGCAAGGAGGAGCAGAGGTGACTAGCCCAGCATTGTCCATTAGAACTCTCTGGAGTGATGTAATTGTTTCACACGTACGGTCCAATACAGTAACTATTAGCACATAGATATTGCAGACTTGAAATGTGGCTAGTGTGACTGAGGAAGTAGATTTTCAATTTTATTTAATTTTAATAGCCATATGTGGCTACCAAATGGAACAGTGCAGGCTAGCCTAATCAGATAATCTAGCATATTATAAAATAATAATAAAATAGTGAGGCACCGATCTAAAATTAGAAATTAGAAATATGAATCAGTGAATCCGAATGGAGGACAGAAACCCAACTAGATAGAGATATTGAGATTTTAAAAAATATATATGTGGATGTGTATTCATCAAAAACTATTTCAGGCCGGGCGCGGTGGCTCACGCCTGTAATCCCAGCACTTTGGGAGGCCGAGGCAGGTGGATCACGAGATCAGGAGTTCAAGACCAGCCTGGCCAAGATGGTGAAACCCCGTCTCTACTAAAAATACAAAAAATTAGCTGGGCGTGGTGGCATGCGTCTGTAATCCCAGCTACTCCAGAGGCTGTGGCAGAGAATTGCTTAAACTTGGAGGGGTGGAGGTTGCAGTGAGCCGAGATGGTGCCACTGCACTCCAGCCTGGGCAACACAGTGAGACTCCATCTCAAAAAAAAAAAAAAAAAAAAAAAAAACTATTTCAAAACAAAGAGATAAGAAAGAATTATGTAATAAAGGACATATTATAACTGAATAGAAATTTGGAACAAAATTAAAGCTGAGTCCAACCAAAATTAACTTTAGCATTAATTTTAAAACCATGGACAGCTAGCAAAAATTTGGTAATGTGTGTCAAGCCAATCATGGAGATGATTTTGCTTCTATTCTAAGGAACTAATCTTAAATGAAAAACATAAGCTCAATGTCTGAAAGTATTTATTTATTCATTGCAGTGTTTCTTATAATAGTGAAAAACCGAAGAATGTGGGAAGACACTTCAACAAAAGGGGAAAGATGATTGTTTACATTGCATTCAGTTATGGGAACTTTACATGGTTGTTAGAAATGAATGCTTGGAAGAAAGTGTATTAAATTAAAAGTTACTTATATAGGCAAGGCACCATGGCTCACGGCTGTAATCCCAGGGCTTTGGGAGGCTCAGGCAAAAGGATGGCTTGAGGCCATGAATCCAACATCAGGCTGGGCAACATAGCAAGACCCTGCCTCTACAAAAAAAATTTTAAAAGTTAGCTGGAAGTGGTGGCATGCATCTGTAGTCCCGGATACCAGAGAGGTTGAAGTGGAAGGATCGCTTGAGTCCAGGATGTGGAGGTTGCAGTGAGCCGTGATGGTGCCATTGCACTCTAGCCTGAGTGAGGGAATGAGACCCCAACTCTTAAAAAAAAAAAAAAAAAAAAAAAAAAAAAGATACTTATATGTTAAAGTATTTTTTTAAAAATCTACTGTTCCATCAGAGGTAAGAGTTTAAAAAAAAATAAAATGAACTAAAAATAAAAGTTAAAAAAAAAAAAAGAACCTGCCCCTTCCCCCTCAAGGGACTGGGGGATTGGAAAAGCCAATAGTGTTACAAATCCACCTTCACGGCTGCCCACATTTCTCCCACGCCTGCAGCGCCCTCTTTGGATTGATATACCGCCCCAGGGACTTTGCTTCCTACATGCTGGGCATCTTCATCTGTAACCTTTTGCTGTACCTGGCCTTTTACATCATCATGAAGGTAAGAGCGGGTGCCGGGAGCGGCTACCTCGGGCCCTCGGGCAGGCGAAGGCGGGGTCGCGTGAGGCCGCATCTGCTTCTCCTCCCACAGCTCCGCAGCTCTGAAAAGGTCCTCCCAGTCCCGCTCTTCTGCATCGTGGCCACCGCTGTGATGTGGGCTGCCGCCCTATATTTTTTCTTCCAGAATCTCAGCAGCTGGGAGGTAAGAGGCCAGTTTTCTTATCCAAAAACAACCTCTCTCTCCAACTTGCCATTTTGGCCTTTCTACCTCCCTCTCTTAATGTGTTTTCACAGTGTCTAAAATGAAAGTTTTCTCTACCAGGGATGGTTTTTAATAGCCGCACACAAATGCACAATAACTGCATGCGTTATCATTCTCAGGGTGGCACTTTATAAATCTGTAAGTACTACAGACATTGCAAACTTGGTCTTCATTGCATGTTGTATTACGACGCTGGTCCCAGTGGATGCTTAACGCGGTCAAAAGCCTTGAGTAGTTCATCTTCTCATCTTTCTCATAATCTCCATCCATCAACAAATACCCAAGCTGAGTGTCATTACATCCAGTCCATAGATAACAGAGCCGAAGCCTAGGAAATTAGTGGTATATCTGAGGCACAGAACAGGAAGAAGTCTTAGCATTCCATCAGAACAGTTACCACAATAGATTTTAGAACATTTCTGTCACTCCGGAAAGAAACCTCATATGCATCAGCATTCACTCCTCATTTCTCGCTAACCCCTTACCCCTAAGCAACTACTAAATCTACCTTTTGTCTCTGTATATTTGCTTATTCTGGACATTTCATGTAAATGGAATCACACAATACACGGCCTTTGTGTCTGGCTTCTTTCACTTAATGTGTCCTAGGTTCAAGCATGCTGTAACATACATAGTACTTCATGTCTATTCATTGCTGAAAAATATTCCGTTGTACTGATATATCACATTTTATCTACCTGCTCATCAGTTGATGGACAGTTGGATTGTTTCTATTTTTGTGTCATTATGAGTGATGCTGCTGTGAATATTTGTGTACAAGTTTTTTCCTTGAGGTAAAATATACATATAAAATTTACCATCGTTACCATTTTAAAATGTGCAGTTCAGTGGTCATAAATACATGTATATTCTTTGGTTTTTCCCCTCATCTCCCTCTCCCCCCACCCTTCCTGGACTCTGGTAACCACCAAACTATTCTCTGTCTTCACGGGATCCACTTTTCTAGCTGCCTCATATGAGTGAGAACATGCAATATTTGTCATTTTGTGCTTCACTTATTTCACTTAACATAATGGCCTCGAGTTCCATACGTGTTGCTGCAAATGGCAGGATTTTATTCTTTTTTATGGCTGAATAGTATTTTATTGTGTTTGTAGGTGTATGTACATTGTCTATGTAGATATGTGTATCATATTGTCTTTGTCCATACCTCTGTTGATGGGCACTTAGATCGATTCCATATTTTGCCTATTGTGAACAGTGCTGTAATAAACATGGGAGTGCAGATAACTCTTTGACATACTGATTTCTTTTCTTTTGGATATATATCAAGTAGTAGAATTGCTGGATCATATGGTAGCTCTATTTTTTTCTTTCTTTCTTTTTTTTGGGGGGGCGGGGGGACGGGGTCTCCCTCTGTCTCCCAGGCTGGAGTGCAATGGCGCAATCTCGGCTCACTGCAACCTCCACCTCCCAGGTTCAAGTGATTCTCCTGCCTCACCCTCCTGAGTAGCTGGGACTACAGGCGCCCACCACCGTGCCCAGCTAATTTTTTTGTATTTTTAGTAGAGACGGGGTTTCACCATGTTGGCCAGGCTGGTCTCAAACTCCTGACCTTAGGCGATCCACCTGCCTCTGCCTCCCATGGTCCTGGGATTACAGGTGTGAGCCACCACACCCGGCCATAGCTCTATTTTTAGTTTTTTGAGGAACTTCCAAACTGTTCTCCACAGTGGCTGTACTAATTTACATTCCCACCAACAGTGTGTGAGAGTTCCCTTTCCTCCACATCCTCGCCAGCATCTGTTATTGCCTGTCTTTTTGATACGAGCCTTTTTAACAGGGGTAAGATGATATCTCATTGTAGTTTTGATTTGCATTCTCTGATGATCAATGATGTTGAGCACCTTTTCATATGCCTGTTTGCCATTTGTATGTCTTCTTTTGAGAAATGTCTATTCAGATCTTTTGCCCATTTTTAAATTGGATTTTTTTTCCCTTACAGTTCTTTCAGCTCCTTATATATTCTGGTTATTAATTTCTTGTCAGATGGATAGTTTGCAAATATTTTCTCCCATTCTGTGGGTTGTCTCTTCACTTTGTTCGTCATTTCCTTTGCTGTGCAGAAGCTTCGTAGCTTGATGTAATCTCGCTTCTCTATTTTTGCTTTGGTTGCCTGTGCTTTTGAGGTCTTTGTGTACAGGTTTTTGTGTGGATGGATGTTTTCTTGGAAGCTAACTTTTCGAACCAGACATCTAGTAGCGTTTTTGTGGCTTTCTGGACGTTCAACTCTTTGAACAGTTGAACTGTGGGAATCTTGCCCATGTCCTGCCTCACCTTCCTCCAGGGAACTCCGGCCGAATCCCGGGAGAAGAACCGCGAGTGCATTCTGCTGGATTTCTTCGATGACCATGACATCTGGCACTTCCTCTCTGCTACTGCTCTGTTTTTCTCATTCTTGGTGAGTTCATATCTATCTTTTTGTGACTTTCTTCTCTCTTTACATCTTGTACTCTCTTTTTCTTCTGCTCTTCCTTACTTTTTTTTATATTCCTCTCTAATTTTACTTTCCATTTCCTCCTTGTAATTCAATGTACAGACCATCTTATTTCTTTCATAAATTTTATATCCTTTGGTTAGATCTTTAGTTTTTCTTTTACTCTTCAATATCTTTAGACACAGAGGGACAAAATTACTTTCCCTAAGTTGCACAGCACGTTTGTTCTGAATTGGTTATTAGACCCACATGCCCAGAATTCCCCCAGGAACCACTTTTAGCAATTCCGATAACATTGGGTTATTCCTTCTTATGCCATACTCACATTCCTCCTCCTCCTCCTCCTCCTCCAGTCTCCCTGAATATTTCACAAATATTTTACATATTCCTTAAGTGGCTTGGGGTAGCAGCCACGTGTCTGTTGCCTTCTGACCAGTCTGTCCCAAATCTCTCCTGTAGTTTCTCTATTTTTTTGCCCCAACCCTTTCTCAGAAGCCATGAGTATTTATATCAACCCTGGATTATAGTTCCATCCTTTAATCCTAACTTTGATTTTTCCCAATTAAAAGTCCATGGTGCCTGTAGGCAGGTTCAATTGACAATTAACAACCCTACTAGACTCCCGGGCTCCAGACCTACTAGATGCCCGGGCTCCACGCAAAGCGGGCTCAGGCAGGCCATATGACTTCAAGAGTGGAGCAGGGCTATCCTCTAGTGGCCAGTTTGGGAAGCTTGGCCAATCTGTATAAACAGTCCTTACGTCTTTTACTTTTGATCGTCACCTTCATGAGAGAGACAGAGACAGCAAAAGTGGAACTAAAGATTCCACGTGGGGCAGTAGTAGTCAAATGAACTAGAAATGGAGGAGGAGGGTACATTTCTTATATAGCAATACTCTATCCAACAGGACTTTATTCCTTTGACTCTTGACCTAAATGTCCCCTAAGTAATGACTTCCCAGGCCACCCTATCAAAATTTTTTACCTCCCCACACCTGATACTTCCTGTATTTCCTCCCTTATTTAACTTCTATCCTTAGCACTTATTACTATCTAACATGCTATATTTTACTCATGTATTTGTTTCACGTCTAAAGCCCTCTTTAGAATGTAAGCTACATGGAGAATAGGGATTTTTGTCTCTTTCATTACCAACTATATCTCCATAGCATCTGGAATAGCACATCATAAACCTTCATGAATATTTAATTGACAAATGAATTGTATAATTATAATAAGTGCCTATTAAGAGCAAAGGATTGCAGAGAGCTGCAGAAGGCATGAGAATGAGAGGGAACTAACAGTTTCCAGTCTGTGTGCATCTCAGAGAGAAAACAGGACTTAGTGTGACAGTGACTGTCCATTCCTTTCATTTCTCTGTCCCTCTCACTTCAGGTTTTGTTAACTTTGGATGATGACCTTGATGTGGTTCGGAGAGACCAGATCCCTGTCTTCTGAACCTCCAACATTAAGAGAGGGGAGGGAGCGATCAATCTTGGTGCTGTTTCACAAAAATTACAGTGACCACAGCAAAGTAACCACTGCCAGATGCTCCACTCACCCTCTGTAGAGCCAACTCTGCATTCACACAGGAAGGAGAGGGGCTGCGGGAGATTTAAACCTGCAAGAAAGGAGGCAGAAGGGGAGCCATGTTTTGAGGACAGACGCAAACCTGAGGAGCTGAGAAACACTTGCTCCTTCCATCTGCAGCTTTGGGAGTGCAACAGGGATAGGCACTGCATCCAAGTCAACTCACCATCTTGGGGTCCCTCCCACCCTCACGGAGACTTGCCAGCAATGGCAGAATGCTGCTGCACACTTCCCTCCAGTTGTCACCCTGCCCAGAAAGGCCAGCAGCTTGGACTTCCTGCCCAGAAACTGTGTTGGCCCCCTTCACACCTCTGCAACACCTGCTGCTCCAGCAAGAGGATGTGATTCTTTAGAATATGGCGGGGAGGTGACCCCAGGCCCTGCCCTACTGGGATAGATGTTTTAATGGCACCAGCTAGTCACCTCCCAGAAGAAACTCTGTATATTTCCCCCAGGTTTCTGATGCCATCAGAAGGGCTCAGGAGTGGGGTTTGTCACACATTCCTCTTAACAAGTAACTGTCACTGGGACCGAGTCCTGGGTGCTTACATATTCCTTCGTGTCTTCATCTCACTGACCTGTGTGGACCTCATCACTCTGACTCTGCCTTCTTGGAAAGGCCCTGTCACTCCACAGATGTCTGGCCAGCTTCAAGGCAGAAGGAAAAACAGGAAAAGCTCTTTTAACAGCAGCAGGAACAAGAGAAATGACTAACCATACTAAAAGACTGGTAACAGCAGCAGCAGCCAGACAGGCCTCACCTTAAGGACTTGGGCTGCCAGAGCAAATTCAGCAGAGCTTATTTGGCCTCCCATTCACACAGCTCAGTTCTGTGCCCACATCACCTTTGGGGAAGAAATCAGCATTCTAATCAGGGACACTACTTCAGGAGTCCTCCACAGCGAGTCCGTCATCTGTCACTTTATGTAGATCAGGGTTCTAGACTTCTTCCCTGAGGTTCTCAGAAGCAGCTCTCAGGATGAACGTATTGTCCTCTTCCCCTCTTCTTGCAAAGTGCACAGCTAATCTAATGTTGTCTCTCGGTTGCACCTGACATTCTCTCCCCAGTAAGGTGTTGGCAAGCTCAGCATCTGGGTTCCACTCTCACACTGTCTGGCAGCTCTGTGTCTGAGAAGTTCTACATTGACCAGGCCCCCTTGTTGCCTGGAGTATGACGTAATCAGAAAATAGACGTATAAATGTGCACATGCGTATGTATTTGCTTGTGAAATTAAAGTCACCTCTTGCCTCTGCTTTCCTGATCATTCGTTAGAGAAATGGATCAGGCATTTTTTTAAATTATTATTCTTTCTCTAAACTATTTGCATTGTGTTCAAAAACCCATTTTAGAAGTTTGAACAGCAAGCTTTTCCTGATTTTAAAAACACAAAGTTGCTTTCAATGAAATATTTTGTGATTTTTTTAAAGTCCCCAAATGTGTACTTAGCCTTCTGTTATTCCTTATTCTTTAAGCAGTGTTGGCTTCCATTGACCATATGAAGGCCACCAATTAAATGGTTGTGTTAATCCAACATGTAAAAAACTTTTTGGCAGGGCACAGTGGCTCACGCCTGTAATCCCAACACTTTGGGAGGCTGAGGCAGGAGGATCACTTGAGCCCAGGAGATTGACGCCGCAGTGAACTATGATTGTGCCCCTGCACTCCAGCCTGGATGACAGAGTGAGACCCCATCTCTTAAAAAATAAAAAAAAATAAAAATTTGAACCTGTTTCACTATGGCTAGTTTGACCTAATTTCTTTATCTTAACGCACTATGGTTTCTAATCCACAGAAGACCAAGGGAGGAAATGTGAACAACAAAGTCCATTCAAGTCGCCCTGTGGCTGAAGCGAATAAATTTTCAGATGCATAACCTGTTTGGTAGCTTGTTTGGGAAGATGTGAGCGGAAATGGGGAAAGGGCCCTGGAGGAAAGGGTGGACTGTGCTGCTGAAGCCTTCACTGTTTTCTGATCACGTCTGTCTTGTGCTACAAACGCACACACTGTGGTCAGTTTTGTTCCTGCAACAGTACCGAAAATCCAGACCAAGCTTGTTTTTACAAATATCAGTTCTAAATGTACATGTTGCTAATTCTTTCCACAGCGCCAGTCTCACGGTTGGAGGACATAAAGTCATTCAGCTGCATCTGTAGGATTTACACAAGGGCTGGGGCAGAGGGGAGCACAGAGAGCTTAAAGAGCTTAACGAGCCATTTCTGTAGGACAGTGTCTATGCTAACTCTTGCCTGGGTTCATGGACTTCACTCTTTAAAAGGGAAAGGAAGAGTGACTGAGAAAGCCGGGTTCAACAGGAGCGTAACCGGAGAAAAGCAGTCACTGTGAAGAGGCTCTTGGCAAAGTAAGCACAGAAGTAATAAGAGCAGTTCAGCTGGAGCAGGACAGAGGTGTAGCAGCCAGAGAAGCAAAGCTGTGCACATAAAAAATGACCTCTTCACACCCCTGACAAATGCTGGAGAAGCAGCCCCACCTCTTTATGCTCCACGGTTTACTGAGGGATTCGCCCGGTTTTATTTTAGCAGCAGGAGAAGCCAGTGGAATGCTGGACTCTATCTGGGGAAGGGACTTTCCATGACTGAAGGAGGTCACCGAGCCAGCTCCTCGGGGCAAAGAAAATGGCAGCTCCTCTCTTCGTAACTCCAGGCACCCACCAGAAGGTTCTGTGGGGTCACAACATGCATGTGTCGGTAAATCAAATACCCAAATCCTCCTCAATATGGGTGATAGTCTCTATCCAAAACTCATGGGAAAGGGAGGAACAAAGATAAACACTATTCACAGAAGGAACAGTACAATCTGCGGAAGATTCTGGAGTCCACCTACTCGCTATGTGCCCTTGGGGAAGTGACTGAAACTCTCAGATCCTCAGCTGGCACACCTCCATGATTCTACGTGAGAATGGCAAAGGTGGAGGTGTGCAGGGTACCAGGAGCAGTGCTCACGCAGACAGGATCCTCAGCTCACCCTCCTGAATCCCACAGGGAGGCAGGGCAAGAGTGGATCCATCAGCCAGTCTGGGATCTCTCTCCTCCAGGGGCTCTTCATTGAAACCAACTGTTTCGTTTCCTGTCCTCAGCTCCAGGCCCTGAACAGGTTGGGAGGCCTCTTCATCTTCAGAGACACTGCCCACAGCTGTTCAGCCTCTTCTCATCCCTACCCCCATCCTTGTCCTTTGTAGCTGCATTTCTCTGACTCTGGCCCTGAATATCCTTATTCCAACTGAGATGAAAAAAAAATGCTTCCAAAGCTAGGGCCAAGTGGGAAAGCCTGGCTGTTTATAATGTGACACCTCATCACTGCTGTCTCTGCCCTGGGAATCTCAAGAAAAACCTAGGTTTTCTCCTCTCAAGTAGCTATTACAACCCTATTTCAGGGAATGCCACGTGCAAATGTTTCCCTCCCTTCCCACCCTGATTACCAAACATTCTGTAGGGCAAGCTTGCATCTTCAGCTAAGGAGAACGCTTCAGCCTGCAGGTGACAAAACAGTCTCTGAAAGAGGAAGCATGGTTTTGAAATGAACCACTATGAATCTAATGTCCCTGGTGAAACTAAGGAGAAGCACTATCGGTAGAGATTCTATTTGCTGTGCTTGAAGCAATGGAAAATGCTTTGTTTACCATGATTCCACCCAGCTTATAGTAGTTTTGTTTTTTGTTTTTTTAACACTGGAGGAGACAAGATATATTTATGTGGCTAAGTTTTAATGTCTCCTCAATACGAAGGCACCTTTGTTAACAAGGTTAAGAGCATGTTAAATCTTAGGCCTTAACCCCCATGAATTCGAGGAATCTGGGGAAGAATCACAGATCAGCCTTCACCACTGAGTTTCTAGAACACCAGAGCAAGAGAGTTTCACTTGGGTCTCCTCTGTAGAAAGAGACCTGTCCTCAATGAACTCCAAGGCGGGGCCTGTTTACACTGGACAGCTTTCCTGAAGCACGGTCTTGCTATTCTTATTGTAGTACAAAAAAGACTAGATGGATACCGTTGTTCACGAAGAAGTACCCTTTGCTCCCCCAATTTTAGAGAAAAGATCCCTGCCTTCTTCTTAAATATCTCTAGATTAAGAGATTTTATCATTTTCCCTGAACTCTGAAAATTGTTTAAATTCCTTGGCTCTGTCCTACATCTTTTTGTCTACCTTTAAGTCCCTGTCATCTAAGTTTTATTCATTTCACTGGAGATGAACAATAGCTGACTTTTTTTTTAATATAAAAGAATCTTGAAGTCATGTTACATTTCAGTCAAGTGCTAAATAAAAACTAGGGGTCCCATCTCCTGTCCCGGCATTATAGTTACAATTTAGAAATCAACAGATTTAAACAGTGAAAGATTTTCAAATCAGGGCAAGAGAAAACTGATATACAATCTCAACATGGCTCACTCTTGAGCCCCTGTTTTATATTTAAATCTTGACTTTTTTGTGTGAGTTATGACTCTAGGTCCTTGAAGCAGAATATTCTCCAAAATAATTCAAACGCTCTCTCTTTTAGGGTGCTACAACATTACCATCCCAGAAAGAAGTGGGTTTGCATTTTATGATTTGCATTAAATTGCTTATCTGAACCTTTCACAAGGCACCCTGGTACTAGGCAGGCCTCTTTGAGGAAACAGGACATATTTAGGCATGAGGTTTACTCTGCGTTTATCTCAACATGGGATACCTTGTGAAGTAATAAGCTTTTTGAGGGGGTGCATTTCCCCTTTATCCTCTCATCACATCTCTGTTCACTTACATAGAATCAGAAATACACCTTTAGTAAACAGTCATGAAATATTTGGGCTAGGCACTGTGAGAAAATGGGCACAGCAGTGAACAAAATGCACGTCAGTGAACAAAATGCCGGGCGCGGTGGCACGTGCCTGTAGTCCCAGCTACTTGGGAGGCTGAGGCTGGAGGATCGCTGGAGTCCAGGAGTTCTGGGCTGTAGTGCGCTATGCCGATCGGGTGTCCACACTAAGTTCGGCATCAATATGGTGACCTCCCGGGAGCAGGGGACCACCAGGTTGTCTAAGGAGGGGTGAACTGGCCCAGGTCATCTACAGTCCGTTGGGGAAGATGGACATGAAAAAAACACATGATTATAATCTGTTAATGATAATCAGGCAAAAAGCTACAAGAAGAGAACATCCTTATAAGACTCTTATCATTATGTGCAGAACAGAAAAAAAATCCAAGTAATTGTCAGCAATGTTTATGCTTAGATGTAAAGCCCTAATTGCTGATAGCATCTCTCTCACAGCTGAATTCCTCGAGAGCATATTTGGTTCTGGAGGCCTCCCTAAGAGACCTCTTTAGGGAGGTTCAGGCTTTCTCTGTCTATGGTTCCCAGTTCTACCACAAAACCAAACACAGAAATAAAGTAATTAGGGTGACTCTGCTTGGGCTCTGGTATCAGAGAAGGATGCTGGTTCTCAGGGAAGGGTGACTTTGAAGAAATAGGCTTCTTGCTGAGATTCCTCCAAATGTGTCTGAGAATTTCAAGTTGACTTTCAAAGGCTAGAACCTTATAATAATTATGTGGATGGAACATTCAGGAAAAGGAAAACTGAGATGCGGCAAGAATAATGTAAACGTGGAAGACCTTGAATGGAGACCAATTCGAAGGTCACGCTCAAGCAGTTAGTGATTTCTGAAAGTCTAAGGGGGAAGGGAACAGGTATGATTTTAGCCTGAACCATCCCTAAAAGCTATGAATGTGGAAGGTGTCTTTAAACAAGAAGGTAAATGAGACTGGATTGGGACAAACAGGGAAAGATAGCTGCTTTGAGTAATGGAAGTTAAGAAGTAAGCTAGAAGGAAAAGAAAACTACTTAACTTCATGAAAAGCATTGGGTAGTAGTGTTGATGACACAGATGATGCGTGGAGCCTGCAGAAGGCCGTTTCAGTGTCTATAAAATGGATTGGGGACGGGGGACTAAAGGAGGAGGAAAAACTTTTGGTGTGATAGGTTTGATCTTGTTTTCAAGTAAACTGAAAGCAAAAAGAAAGCAAGCCTTGGGGTCCACTGAGCTGAGACTACAGAGACTACTTACTACAGGCAGAATTTTAAAATATCATGTTGGGACTAACAGGGAAGCTTACAGCCTGTCGGACGCCTACAGCCTGGCCTGTCCTGCCCAGAGGAGGTGAATAACTGTCATTCCTAGGTAAAAGGGGAGAAGTCAGAAAAATAAGGTGATATAACTGATGACCTCAAATTTTTCATAAGAAAAATGAAAGTCCCAGTTTTAATCTCAGCAGAAAACAGAGATCTAGAGAGAAGGATAATTGGAGTGGGGATGATTTTATTCCATCCCTGAAGAAATAAAAACAGCTCCTCTGCCTAACTCTTCCTAAGAGGTTGCAACAACCTCACTCTGCTAGAGGACAAGTATGGGACTGAAGCTTTCAGTCTGCCCTCTTAGTGAGATCTTACTATTGGAAACTTATGTCCTCAATTCCTACCTTCCAATTTCTATTTATAGAACATTAAGTTTGGCATAACTGGTCATTAAAACAGCCAACATTCAGCTGGATGCAGTGGCTCACATCTGTAATCCCAGCACTTTGGGAGGTCAAGGCGGGTGGATCACTTGAGGGCAGGAGTTCAAGACCAGCCTGGCCAACATGACAAAACCCCATCTCTACTAAAAATATAAAAAAGGTATGGCCCGGCACAGTGGCCCACACCTATAATCCCAGTACTTTGGGAGGTCGAGGCAAGTGGATCACCTGAGGTCAGTAGTTCAAGCCCAGCTTGGCCAACATGGCGAAACCTTGTCTTTACCAAAAATACAAAAAAAATAAAAATAGCCAGGTGTGGTGGCGTGCATCTGTAATTCCAGCTACTAGGGAGGCTGAGGCAGGAGAATCTCTTGAACCCAGGAGGCGTAGGTTGCAATCAGCTGAGATAGCACCACTGCACTCCAGCCTAGGGGACAGAGCGAGGCTCCATCTCGAAAAAAATACAAAAATTTAACAAAAAGAAAAGCATTTTCCAAAATACGGAAGACATATGCCTGATATATAAACCTGAGTAACAATGAAACACATTGTGCCTTAGGAAAGCCAATCAATAAAACCACGGCTGTGAAGCATTTTGGCTCTCTAAACTGGAACAGCTGGATTTATATAAGGACTATTGCTTCAGGTTCTAAGCTTGTAAACGTAAGAACCAAAGTCCTTTTTATAAATTCAATGATTGCACTTGGCAAAGCACTGTAGACCCAAAGATTCATTTTAAATTAAAACGTGCAGCATAAAGCATCAGGTTACTACTGGGAGCCTGTTGTTTCAAAAACGAAACTTAAAATGGAGAGAAAGCACAGGAATGTAGTGTGGTTATTTATTTTCTAAAAAACTTTCAGTAGCCCAGTGCATTGGCTCATGCCTATAATTCCAGCATTTGCGGAGGCCAAGGCAGGAGGACCACCAGAGGCCAGGAGTTTGAAACCAGCCTGGACAACATAGCAAGATCCTGTCTCTACAAAAAAAGAAAATTAGAGGTTAAAAAACATTCAAAAACTCAAAAAGTTGTCAAGAGTCTAAAAGTTCTCCAAAGCTGCCTCCAAAACCAATCTGTGCTGGCCTCATGGATCAGGCAGAATCTCCAGCTCCCTCAGTGGTCAAACCATCTTTGTTCTTGGTCTCTGGGCCCAGCTGTCTTCTCCTATAAGGTAGTAGTTTCATCCCAGCTACTTTAAATTTTCTTCCCCAAAACATTTTAAAGAAAAATTTTAGGCTGGGCACAGTGGCTCACGCCTGTAATCCCAACACTTTGGGAGGCTGAGGCAAGCGGATCACAAGATCAGGAGATCAAGACCATCCTGGATAATATGGTGAAACCCTGTCTCTACTAAAAATACAAAAAAATTAGCCAGGCGTGGTGGCAGGTGCCTGTAATCCCAGCTTCTCGGGAGGCTGAGGCAGGGGAATTGCTTGAACCTAGGAGACGGAGGAGGCAGTGAGCCGAGATCGTACTACTGTGCCACTGCACCCCAGCCTGGCAACAGAGGGAGACTCTGTCTCAAAAAAAAAAAAAGAAAAGAAAAGAAAAAGAAAAATTTTAGACAAAGGAACTACCTGCACTGAACTGGAAAATCATATTTCCTCATTTAGGGTATAATGATAATGGTGATAAATGTTTCTAAGTTTGTCCAGAAATAAGACAAAAAAAGCAATAGGACTTGGTTTGGAACTCTGACATGCTAACGTACTCCTGTTTCACCTCCTGTACTAAGCTGTCAGTTGGGCTTTTTAAAAAATATATTTAAAGTGGGCCAGGCACAGTGGCTTAAAGCTGTAATCCCAGCACTTTGGGAGGCCGAGGGGGCCAGATCACTTGAGGTCAGGAGTTTGAGCCCAGCCTGGCCAACATGATGAAACCCTGTCCCTACTAAAAATATATAATTAGCTCGTGTGATGGTGCGTGCCTGTAATACCAGCTACTCAGGAGGCTGAGGCAGGAGAATCGCTTGAACCCAGGAGGTGGAGGTTGCAGAGAGCTGAGATCGCACCACTGCACTACAGCCTGGACAATAGAGCGAGACTCTGTCCCAAAAAAATAAAAAATAAAAATATTTAAAGTGAATTTGCACATCGCTTCATGGCAGCATTTAAAAAAAAGGTGGGGGGGATATAACCTAATTAAACCATGAATTCCCAGAAACTTCCCAAACCAGTAAGTTCTACACAACTACAGTCAGGCTGAAGCCTTTTTCCAAACCACAGATCTGAATGTGATTAAGCAGTGTAAGAAAACACCACCAACCAGACCCACACAGCAGAAACTTAGTTAAAAGCTGGATGTTAGTATCTTCCCCAAAATCTGTAGCTTATTTGATCATGTGAAAAATTAAGTACTGATACTAGTTAACCAACCTACCTGACTTCTGAACTTATCTAGGAAGCAAATAAGCATCATCTCCTTAATTTCTCACAGGAGGAAACGGGCAAAGGAGCTGTTGACCCTGATCAACTAAATATATTCTAGTGGAGACTGCATTTCAGTCTCACATGCAGGAGAGGCGGAAATGAGGACGGTTATGGAAAATACATTTAAAACCTCATTTGTCCTTAACAACAGCCCTGTGAAGTATGCAGGACAGGTAATAACAACAATAAACAGGTAAGAATGAGAAGCAAAAAGACACAAAGAAGTTATGCCACTTTCCCAAAGTCACAGCCAGGTAACAGGGGAACAACACACAAAATAGTGCCATGCCTTTTCCTCTTCTAAAGAATGACAGTGGGCCGGGCGCGGTGGCTCACGCCTGTAATCCCAGCACTTTGGGAGGCCGAGGCAGGCGGATCAGGAGGTTAGGAGATCTAGACCATCCTGACTAACACGGTGAAACCCCATCTCTACTAAAAATACAAAAAAATTAGCCGGGCGTGGTGGCGGGCGCCTATAGTCCCAGCTACTCAGGAGGCTGAGGCAGGAGAATGGCGTGAACCTGGGAGGCGGAGCTTGCAGTGAGCCGAGATCGCGCCGCTGCACTCCAGGCTGGGTGACAGAGCGAGACGCTGTCTTAAAAAAAAAAAGAAAAAAAAAAAAAATGACAGTGCATTGGTTCACACCTGTAATTCCAGCACTTTGGGAGGCTAAGGAGAGAGGATCTTTTGAGCCAGGAGTTCAAGATCGGCCTGAGCAACATAGTGAGACCCTGTCTCTACAAAAAATTTTTTTGATTAACTGGGCAAAGTGGTGCACACCTGTAGTTCCAGCTACACGAATAGCTGAAGCAGGAATATCCCTTGAGCCCAGGAGATTGTGGTTGCAGTAAGTTATGATCACACCACTGCACTCCAGCGACAGAAAGATCTCTCTTTGAGACCTCTTTTTAGAACTTGTCTCAAAAAAAAAAGGAATGACAGTAAAATGACTTTTAGATATTGCCTACTCAGGGGAAATTTATTAAGAGAAAACCAACGTCTATTCAAACTTCCGGCTGGGTGCAGTGGCTCAAGCCTGTAATCCCAGCACCTTGGGAGGCCGAGGTGAGTGGATCACTTGAGGTCAGGAGTTTGAGACTGAGAGGTGACAACGTGCTAGCAGCCCTCGCTCACTCTCGGCACCTCCTCGGCCTCTGCGTCCACTCTGGCTGCACTCGAGGAGCCCTTCAGCCCGCTGCTGTGCTATCAGGGCCCCTCTCTGGGGCTGGCCGAGGCCGGAGATGGCTCCCTCTGCTCACCAGGAATTCTGCCTCAGCCTCCCAGAATAACTGGGATTACAGGCGCCGGCCACCACACCCAGCTAATTTTTTGTATTTTTCATAGAGACAGGTTTTCATCATGTTGGCCAGGCTGGTCTCAAACTCCTGGCCTCAGGTGATCCATCTGCCTCAGGCTCCCAAAGTGCTGGGATTACAGGCATGCGCCACCATGCCTGGGCAACCATGAACATTCTTATACGTGTCTTTTGGTGAACTTTTTTCCACAGTATATACTTACTATACTATAGAATTGCTAAGTTATGGAGTAGGTATGTCTATATCATTAAAGGATAATGCTAACAGTTTTCCAAAGTGGTTGTACCTATGTACACTTTCATCAGCGTTGTGTGAGAGTTCCCATTGTTCCACATCTTTGCCAACATTTGGCATTTGTCAGTTCTTTCCAGTTTAGCCTCTCTGGATGAGAATGAAGTGGTATCTCATTGTATTTTGTTTTGCATTTCTATGATGATTAATGATGTTGAGCCCCTTTTCATAGACTTCTTAGCCATTTGTGTGAAAGATTTGTTCAGGTCCTTTGCCCATTCTGAAAATCAGCTTATGAGTCATTTTCTTTTTTGATATATATAATCTTTGACAATCTGTGACTTGATGAAAAAAATTCTGCATTTTAATGAAGTCCAATCTAACAATTTTTTTCTTATATGGTTATGGTTGGATATTTCCTGTGGTGTCTTCTAAAATACTAGTTCTCAACTTTAGTCTAAGGATCCATTTATATTCCTAAACATTTTTGAGGAACCCAAAGAGTTTTTGTTTATGTGGGTTATATCTGTCAATATTTAGCATATTAGAAATAAAAATAGAAAATTTACAAACATTTATTAATACATTTAAAGATAATAAACTTATTACATAATACAAATAACATTTTATGGAAATAACTACATTTTCCCAAACAAAAATTCTGAGAAGATTGATGCTGTTTTACATTTTTGTAATCAGTTTAATGTCTGACTTGATAGACAATAGCTGAATTCCCATATGGGTTTCTGCATTCACTTTGCTGCAGTGTGTGTTTTGCTTGAAGTACCGTCAAGTGTCACTTAACAATAGTGAGACATTCTGAAAAATGTGTCATTAGGGGTTTTTGCTGTTATGCCAACATCACGGAGTGTACTTACACCTACATGGTATAGCCTACTACACACCTGGGCTACAAACCTGTACAGGACGCTACTGTACTGAATACTATAGACAATTGTAACACAATGGTAAGTATTTGGGTATCTAAACATATGTAAACATAGAAAAGGTACAGTAAAAATATGGTATAAAAGATTAAAAAATGGTACACCTATATATAGGGCACTTACCATGAACACAGTTGCAGGACTGGAAGTTGTTCTGGGTGAGTCAATGAGTGAGTGGTCAGTGAATGGGAAGGCATAGGACATTACTCTGCATTAGACTTTATAAACACTGCACACTGAGGCTACACTAAATTTATTTTCTAAAAAAAAATTTTTCTTCAATAAATGAAACAGCTTACTATTACATTTTTACTTTTAAACTTTAATTTTTTAACTTTTTTACTCTTTGGTAATAACAGCTTCAAACACAAACACATTGTAAAGTTGTACAAAAATATTTTTCTTTGTATCTTTATTCTATACTTTTTTCTATTTTTAAACTTTTTTATTTTTTATTTTCTTTTTTGAATTTGAATAAGTGTCATTTTTTATTTTCTTACTTTTTAAACATTTTGTAAAAAACTAAGACACAAACATACACATTAGCCTAGGGTCAGGATGGTCAATATCACTGTCTTCTGCCTCTCCATCTTGTCCCACTGGAGGTCTCCACGGGCAATAACACACAGGGAGCTGTCATCTCCTATGACAACAATGCCTTCTGGAAAAACTCCTGAAGGACCTGCCTGAGGCTGTTTCACAGTTAACTTTTTTTAAAAAATAAGTAGAAGGGGTACACTCTAAAATAACAATAAAAAACTATGGTATAGTAAATACATAAACCTGTAATATAGTCATTTATTATCATTATCAAGTATTGAGTACTGTATATAATTGTATTGCTGTACTTGTATGTGACTAGCAGCACAGTAAGTTTGTTCACACCAACATCACCACAAACAGATGAATAATGCCTTGTGCTAGGGCGTTGTGATGGCTATCATGTCACTAGGCGATAAGAACTTTTCAGCTCCATTATACCCTCATGGAACCAACATCATGTATATTCAGTCATTGAGCAAAATGTCCTCATACAGCACATGACTGTGTATGAAGAAAATCTAAACTCAAACTAAAATATGTAGTTGAAAAGGGAAGAACATTTTAGTAGCCTTTTTAGATAATTGTGGATATTTTTCTCCAATACTATACCAAAACTCAACAAATGGTAGCTCCCCAAAATTAGTTGCAATGGCATTTGAAACCATATCAGTAAACTTTTCATGTTGTGTTACATTGAAATCCATTGGTCTATTTTGCACTTGAATGGATTTTTTTTACTCATGCATGATTTTGTAACAGCATGCCTTGGCCATTTGGAAAATATTGGTTCACTGAATTATAAAAACCTTCCAAACACTGACACATTTCATTATATAATTATTAATAAATACATACACTATTCATTAATGTCACCACTCATCTCATTGGAGAAGTCTTAGTGGGAACCTGTCAAGCTCACAGTGGTAAATACTGTGATGGGCTCGTTTCATTCATTTTTGAGAAAATGCCTGCCAAATATTCAAGTCTAAATAATCATAGATTTTAGCCACCCTTTTTTTTTTTTTTTTTTTTTTGGAGACGGAGTCTGTCTCTGTCACCCAGGCTGGAGTGCAGTGGTGCAATCTCTGCTCACTGCAGCTTCTGCCTCCTGGGTTCAGGTGATTTGTGTGCCTCAGCCTCCTGAGTAGCTGGGACTGCAGGTACATGCCACCCCCCAGCTAATTTTTGTATTTTTAGTAGAGACAGGTTTTGCCATGTTGGCCAGGCTGGTCTTGAACTCCTGGCCACACTTGATCCACCCACATCGGTCTTCCAAAGTGCTGGGATTACAGGTGTGAGCCACCATGCCCAGCCAGCCATTCTTTCCACTAAAAATAGCAATCTATGAAACAGTATTCTATGAAAAAAAGCCACTATTTTCTCCCACAATTCAAACAATTGCCCTAGTGCTTTCCCTTGAGCTAACCGTTATACTTTGGTTTGCAACAGAAGTATTTTATGTTTGCTTTCCATGTGGTCCCAGAATACAAAACATTAATGTAATGTTTAAAGGTAATATTAAAAGGAAATGTACTTAAGAGTCAAGTTTTAATAAAATTAATACATTTTATTGCTCCACCAAGGACATTCTAAGCTGAACTATTTTTTACTATGAGTTTATGATGATCATTAGGACAGTCATGATGCCGCTGCCTTGATTCATGCTAAAGGACCAGCAGTTTTACCCACCATTGCTTTTACACTGTAAGCGCAAATATCAACACAACGTATAGGCATGCCACATCTTAGTACTAGCATAAAAAATACTTTTGACCTTATGGACTCCTGAAAAAGATTTCAGAAAACCCCGGAGATTCTGGGGGCCACATTTAAAAACCACTATTCTAGGATCTTGAGTCTTTTACCTTTCACAATTAGGTCTAGAATCCATCTCAAATTAATTTTTATGTGTACTTTGAGGTAAGGGGTCTAGTTTTCCCCCTCCCCCTACAGATATCCATTGGCATCAGCACAATTTATTGAAAAGACAATCTTTTACTCACTGAAATGCAATTGGCAGCTTTGTCATCAATCAATTGACTATGTGTAGTCTATTTATGAAATTTCTTTTTCCTTCCATCAGTTTACCATCTATCATTGTGCCATTATCACACTGTTTTAATTACCAAGTTTTACACTAATTTTTTGGCAGTTTAAGTGTTCCAACTTTGTTCTTTAAGATGGTCTGGGCTATTCTAGGATCTTTACATTTATGTAATTATTATATTAAATACTATATAAATTTTAGAATCAGTTTGTCAATTGCCAACTCTCCTCAAAAAATATCTGCAGTGATTTAAGTTGCAATTGCATATCTCTATAGATACATCTGAATGGCATTGCATCCTTTCTGCTTTTTTTTTTTTTTTTTTTTTTTTTTTTTTTTTTTTTGAGACAGAGTCTCGCTCTGTCACCCAGGTTGGAGTGCAGTGGCACAATCTCGGCTCACTGCAAGCTCCGCCTCTGGGGTTCACGCCATTCTCCTGCCTCAGCCTCCCGAGTAGCTGGGACTACAGGCGCCCACCACCACGCCTGGCTAATTTTTTTTTTTTTTTGTATTTTTAGTAGAGACGGGGTTTCACCGTGTTAGCCAGGATGGCCTCGATCTCCTGACCTCGTGATCTGCCCGCCTCAGCCTCCCAAAGTGCTGAGATTACAGGCATGAGCCACTGCGTCCAGCCCTTTCTGCTTCTTTTGAGCTCCTTTAATTTATCCCAGCAACATTTTATAGTTTTTGGTGGGTAGCTTTATTGCTTAGTAATACACTGGCAGGGAATACCACTAAAATGTTGAATAATTATCATTCTTGTCTTGTTTCTAACTTCAGGGGGATATCATTAAGTGTGACAGCTGTGGGGTTTTGGTTTTGGTTTTTTTGTAGATGTGCCTTATCATATTGAGAATGTTTCTCTTTCAATTTTGTTTAGCATTTTTGCCATAAATGGATGCTGAATTTTATTAACTGTTTGAGTTACTATATGCTTTGTTCCTTTATTCTACTAATACAATGAGTTGAAAAATTGATTTTAAAGTGCTAAAACAACTTAGCTTTCCTGAAATAAACACCATATGATGATGATGTACTATTCTTTTCCTATATCACTAGATTCAATTTGCTGACATTTTGTTTAGCATTTTCATACTTATGTTTATTCAGGATATGGGCCTATAATTTTCTTTTACTGTAATGTAAATTTTGATATTGAGGTCATGTTAACTTCCTAAAGCAAGTTTAGAAGTGTTCCCTCTTTCTCTAGTTTATGAATTTGAGTAGATTGGTGTACTTCTTCCTTTGATAGTTAGAGGAATTTACCCCTGAAATCACTTGAGCTTGAAATTTTCATTGTAGGAAGATTTTTTTAAAAACCAACTTTACTGAGATATAATTCACCATAAAATTCGCCCATTTAAAGCATAGAGTTCAACAGCTTTTAGTCAATTCACAGAGTTGTGCAACATTACCATGATTAATTTTAAAACGTTTTCACCACCCCCAAAAGAAATTCCACACCCATTAACAGTCATTCCTCATTTTCCTCCAAAGCCCCCAGGTATCTAGATACCTACTAATCTGCTTTCTGTCTCTATAGATTTGCCTATTCTAGACTTTCATAGAAATGGAATCCTACAATATGTAGTAGGAAGATTTTAAATAATAGATTCCATTTCATCAGTAGGTATAAGACTATAAAGATTTTCTATTCTTCTTGTATCTATTTTGATAAGTTGCATTTTTCAATAATTTTGTCAATTTCCTCTAAGTTGTCAATATTATTGGCATAAAGTTGTAAATAATATTTTATGTTTTTAATTTCTGTATAATGTTTTGTGATGTCCTCTTTTACATTCATGATATTGATCATTCATATTTATCTTCTTTTTTCCTGGTCTTTTTTTTTCTTTTTTTGAGACAGGGTACCATTCTGTCACCCAGGCTGGAGTGCAGTTGCGCAATCTCAGCTCACTGCAATCTCCACCGCTCAGGGTCAAATGATTCTCCCACCTCAACCTCCTGGGTAGCTGCAACTACAGGAGTGCACCGCCACACCGAACTAATTTTTGTATTTTTTGTAGAGACAGGGTTTTGCCATGCTAGAATTATAGACGTGAGCCATCGCGTTTGACCTCTTTTTTCTTTTTTAGCCTTTTCTAAGTATTAACTTTTTGTCTGTTGATTTTCTCTGTCAGCTATCTGCTTTGTATTTTATTGATTTCTGCTCTATTATACTTTTCCTTTGACTTACATTGGACTTAAGTTACTATTTTTCCAGCTTCTGGAGATGGAAACTGAAATCACTGATTTTTTCAAATTCTCTTTTTTTACGTAGGCATTTAAAGCTATACATTTCCCTCAGATTAATGCTTTAGCTACATCACACAGGTCTCTCTCTCTCTCTCTCTCTCTCTCTTTCTCTCTCTCTATCTCTCTCTCTTCCCTCTTATCTCCCCCACACTCTACCCAAACATTAGAGAGACTTCTTTCAGGTGGTGGGCTACCTCACCCAGGGACTCTTCACACTTCATAAGTTTGTGTAGTCCTGAATGAGGAATAAACGTTTGAATTACTTGTGGCCTCTGGTTCTTATGTAGCATGTTTGACATCCAACAGCTTTAAAGGGGTGGGAACAGCAGACCCAGCAGCAAAGTCAGGCCATAATAATCTGATTTTACTATAGCCATATTAGCTTTCTTTTTATTAGAATTTACATATCTTACATATCTTTTTCCATCCTTTTACTTTTAATCTGTTTCCTTATAATTAAGGTGGGTTTTTTGTGCATTTTGTAAACAACATATAGTTGATTCTAATTTTTGTAATTCAGTCTACTTTTAAAATTTTAAATGGCTATTTCAATCTATAATATACTGATCTAGATGGTTGTAAGTCCATCATTTTTCTGTTATTTTTCTATTTGTTCTTTTAATTCATTTTTTCTGACTTATTTAAAAGTGTGTCCTTAAATATTTAATTATTTGATTAAATACATTGAATAATCCAGTATTTTGTTATTCCCTTTTACCTTCTCTATTTTATCTTATCTATTAGCATTTCAGTTTTGCCCTACTTTATTATTCTTTTGAAATTATAATACAGAACCTTGATTTATTACCATCTACCTTTAATTATCATTTTCTACAACTTCTCAGCAATAAAATATCCACACCAGTTTTACTTCATTTATCCTCTCACTTTGTCTTATTATTGTAATATATTTTACTTCTGCATTTGCATAAGCCTTACAAGACATTGTTATTGTTTTAAATCTCAATATTCTTTTATATTTGCCAATAATTTACCCTTTCAAGCCCTCTTCACTTCTTTCATCTGGGATCATTTTCCAGCAAACCAAATAACTTCCTTTAAAATTTCTTGTAGTGCTGGTCTACTGGTAAAACAAAATATTGCTCAATTTTTGTTTGTATGAATATGTGTTTCTCTTTTAGTTTTTAGGGAATTTTAATAATTTATAGAATTCCATGTCAGTAGGTTTTTTTTTTTTTTTTTTGTCCTTTACTTTTAAGATGCCATTCCACTGTCTCCTGGCTTCCATCATTTTTGTTATAAAGTCAGCAGTCCTATTGTTGCTTCTTTGTAGGCAATGTATCTTTATCACCCAGGTGCTTTCAAATTTTCTTTTTTTTTTTTTCTTTTTTGGACATGGAATCATACTCTGTCACCCAAGCTGGGCCAAGTAGCTGGGATTACAGGTGCCCACGACCATGCCTGGCTAATTTCTGTATTTTTAGTAGAGACAGGGTTTCACCATGTTGGCCAGGCTGGTCTCGAACTCCTGACCTCAAGTGATCTGCCTGCCTTGACCTCCCAAAGTCCTTTATCTTTAGAGTTCAGATGTCTGCTTATGATGTATAGGTGTAACTTTCTTTACATTTATCCTACTTGTGGGTTCACCAAACATCTAGAATCTATAGTTAATATATTTATCAGTTTTGAACATTTTCACCCATCAAATATTACTTCTGTCCAATTCTCTCTCCTCTCTGTTTGAAGCTCTAGTGATACATAAGTTGGATATTTTGACAGTGCCCCACACATATCTTGCATTTTGATCACTCTTTTCTATTCCTTTTTTTTTCTCTGTGCTTTGGTTTGATTTCCTATTGACTGATATGTGTACTTTACTACAAATTTATTTAAGAATTTCCTGGCTGGGTGTGGTGGCTCATGTCTGTAACCCCAGCACTTTGGGAGGCTGAGGCAGGTGGATTACGAGGTCAGGAGATCGAGACCATCCTGGCTAACATGGTGAAACCCTGTCTCTACTAAAAATACAAAAAAAATTAGCCAGGCGTGGTGGCGGGTGCCTGTAGTCCCAGCTACTCGGAAGGCTGAGGCAGGAGAATGGCATGAACCCCAGAGGCAGAGCTTGCAGTGAGCCAAGATTGCACCACTGCACTCCAGCCAGGGTGACAGAGCGAGACTCCATCTCAAAAAAAAAAAAAAAAAAAAGAATTTCCTAATTTCACTTTTCCAGCTCTAGATGTTCATTCTATTCTTTTTTTCCATTATTTGTCAGGTTTATTGAAGTATAACTTACATCCAAAATCCATCTGACAGAGTACAATTCTGTGACTTTTAACCACACAAGATATAAAACATCTCCCCCCAAAATTTGTTCCTCTTTGTAGTCAACCCTTCCACCTTCCCCCAGCAACTACTGTTTTCTGTTCCATTTCGTTTTTTATAAATTATAATTCTCTATTTTTAACGTATTTTAAAATTTTTCCATTTTAACATATTTTTATAGTTATTTTAAAGCCCTTGTCTGTGCATCTTGATTGTCTGTGGGTCTACTTATACAATCCGCTTTTCTTTCTGCTTTTTGGCCACATTTCCTAGACATTGTATGTATTTTCTGGGGATTGTATATAAAAGAACGTTAGAAATTAAGGTGGATGGTATTTTCCACCAGAGAGGGTTCATGTTTCCTTTGTTAGGCAGAGAGTATTGAGCTGTATGAGAGCTGGGATGTAGCTTTAGTTAGATTCAGTTTGCCTCTGGTTTTAAATGTCTTGAGAATGACACCTGCTCCCTCTAGCAGGACGTTGTCTCCTAAGCTTCATGAAACTATGGGTGCTTTCACTCTGCCTTTTCAGCCCAGACTCATCCAACATCCCCAGGGGAAAAAAGACCAGAGATCTCAGCTTACCTAGAAATGGAATTTCTCTGGAATTTTGTTCAGATAGTTCTCTTATATTTGTAATTGCTGTTAATTCCAAAAACTACACTATAACTTTTAGGGAGATTAAATTTAAGCATAGTGTTTGCATCTTTATGATTTATATGTCTTTCATGGCATATTAGGGCTTCTTGTATAATCAAAATGTATCTTCCATCTATAACATCTGAATGGGAGGTGGTATGCAATAGTAGGAAGTTAGCCCTTCACAGTCAGAATACCGACTTTTAATCTGAAGTCCCAAGAAGACGGGTCAAGGAAAATATTGTGAGCTTTAATTTCCTGGAGTATATGTGAGAATAAGTGGTGTCTAAGGTCCTCATTTTACCTTTTATTTTTATTTATTTGTTTTGAGACAGAGTCTTGCTCTGTCGCCCAGGCTGGAGTGCAGTGGTACAATCTTGGCTCACTGCAACTTCTGCCTCCCAAGTTCAAGCAATTCTCCTGCCTCAGTCTCCCCAGTAGCTGGGATTACAGGCATATGCCACCACACCCAATTGTATTGTAAAAATACAATAATTTTTGTATTTTTAGTAGAGATGGGGTTTCACCATGTTGGACAGGCTGATCTCGAACCCCTGACCTCAAGTGACCCACCCGCCTTAGCCTCCCGAAGTGCTGGGATTACAGGTGTGAGCTACCGTGCCTGGCCATTTTACCTTTTAAAACATTAGGATATATTTTAGACATTCATAGAACAAAGACTTCAGGCATAAATGAGATCAACATCTGAGCATCTGCTACCCAGTGCAATAGAATATAACAATACTTTTGAAGTACTCCTCCCTCCTTGATATCATCCCTTTATCCTTTTCTAAGAAGTAGCCATTATCCTGAATTTTGAGTTTATCATTTCCTTATCATTTTTACCACACCTGTAGGCTAGCCCAAACAATAAATTGTCTGATGTATGGGCATTTAAACTTTACATCACTTTATACTGTACAAGTTCCCGTGCAATTGTTTTGTCTCCAGGCTTCATGCTTGTGAGTTTTGCTAAGTGATGTGGGCAGCTATCGGGAAAGACCTAACTTGTCTCAAAGTTCTGTGCTTCAGTTTCCTCCACTATAAAATCAGCAGAGTTTAAAGTGGATCATCTTGAAATACTCTTCCAGATCTGAAATTCTAATTTTACTTTTTATGAGTATAGAGGTATACAGTTTGTTCTAACAAGATAGTTCTGGTCATAATTATGATTTGAGGTCTGCTGGTTGATCAGGAACACAATCCCTATAGCAAATATGTCATGGCATTATTTTCAGATGTTATAGCAAAATTTAAAGATTACTTGAATAGAATACTTCAGTGCAAGACAAGCCACTTTAATGCAGGTTTGAAGTGGCACATGCAATGATCAGGGAAGACAGAATTTACAATGCAAAAATGCAAAGTTTATTTTCTTAAATAAAATACTATATTCATATCTATACAAATAATTATTACAACCATTAAAATGTTACATTTAACAATAAAAATTTCCAAACTTTAAACAAGAGGATGGTTCAGAATATTCACACCCTAATACAATGCATTTGTAAAAAGATGTCAAAATAAACAGGACCTATTCTTATTTACAACTGTAGGACAATCCTGATCATATTATACATATCTGCTCTGGATTCCATTACAAAACAAATTAGTTTCCATAAGAATTATAAACCAGGAGATTTACAGTAATAGGACACAGTGTGCAGCAGACACTGCTGCCATGGTAATAGATACAAATATTACACTATTGAAAGCACTAAAATTAGTTTTTTTTGGGTGACTGCCCTACAGTAAGCTTCTCACCCAGTGTATCTATAAATAATTTGTGAAGGTAATTATGTTCTCCTCAGATTTTTCAACTTTTTTTTACCAAAGTGAAAATATATATATATATGTATATATATTTATATAGCCTGCTGAAAGTGGAAGCGAATCTTTTCTTCACAGTAACACAACTGCAGCATCTTAACACTATCTGGTCCCTTTCTTCTTGGAAGATCAATAGTTCAACTCCCCTTAACTGTTACCACTATAGTCAAGCCCAGTACCTCAGTGACTTCACAGATGAAAAATGATTTGAAGACTTCAGGGGTGGGAGCACAGAGAAGTCTTAGAAAAGTGAAGGGATTTAGATACATCTAACTTTAAGTTCCTATGACATAGTACGGTGTTAGTATGGTGTATAGCTGTATACACAACTGAGGGAAAGAAATTAAAGATCATCTTTTCTAAAAATGTGTTAAATTACAAATAAACAGTTATCTTCTGTCTTATGAAATCTCTAATGACAGGATTATGCAGTCATCCAAAATTCCCCAATTTGTATATTATGTCCAATGTTTACAACCCAAGTTGGCTCACGTTTATGAAGCATCTGACCACATACGCGTGCCAGAAAAAGATTACAGTTGGTACAGTTTGTGTAAATCTAGAAATAAGGATGTTGAATGACCACCACATACAAGCTCTGAGTTTAACAGGAGTTTTGCTACTAGGTTTTTTTTTTGTTTTTTGTTTTTTTTTACAAATCAACATCAAAGATGGCTCAGAGAATGGTAAGGCAACAGTGAGAAACATCAGCTGTACTTGTCGAGAAGGTGTCTGATTACACAGCGTGTACCATCCCAGCTGGCCCTTTGCTATAACAGAGGAGTGGGTGAGTGATATGTTCCAACAGCTGGTCTAAAGACCAGAGGCACAGTTTCAGGTAAAGTGCAGGAACAGGGTAGAGGCTACAGGTGGAAAGATCTAGAAGCTCTGTGTCCAACAAGGTCCTCACGCTTCTTATCAGCATGGACTGACTCAATCTAAATTTGGTGTCCCCCCTCCACAGGTTCTAGTAGAAACCTACGCATGAAGAATAGAATGCAGACAGAATATAGTTAAATCCAAAAAAGGCCCTTTTCTTTCAAACCCTGGGGAAAGAAAAATGGTAATGTTCAGCCAAAAAGGCATCTTGAGAAGAAACTAACTTCTGCCTTTAATTTGCATATAAGTATCATAAAATCATCACTCACAGATTAACTTCACTAGTTTGTCTGGTTGTTGGCTATTACTGTTGCCCTCTGGATGTACACAGCCACAGGCGCACTACCTCCAGGCAAAGGTAGCATTTATATAGACAACAAAATTACAAAAATGGCTTCCAGGCTCCTAAAGATATCACTCCAAAGCTGTTTCATTTTGGTATCACCTTTGCCCTTTCATTCTTCACAGGAAAAAACAAGGCCAACCAAACCAAGGGACAGAGCTATATGGCACACTGAAATATTTTAAATCAATTCTGAACTAATTTTGTTTCAAGAAATTATTGTTGCTTTTTAAGAGAATACAAGGCATACTGGTTCCCAAAGCCAAGACTTGGGAATCACTGATTTGGGAGTATGACTCACTACCACACACTGATCCATACATGGTGGGCCCAATAAATGTTTCAAGGCAAAGGAGTAATCATCTCGCTAAGGAAATGACTGGCTTCCCTGAGCCCTATTTGACATGGAGCAGATGGAAGAGCATAAGTGCCTACCTATCAAAGGGAAGATAAAGCTAAGAAGATGCATATTCATAAGATTTTACCCTTTCTCAAAATTTTTTAATTTTACTCCCATTAAAATGTGCTTCCACATTTTTTGGAGTATAAGTTTTAGCCTCTCCATGAAATGGCTAATGTTAGAAGGCAAGAGCAAGGCAAATAAATTATCTTTAAAATACTTAAATCATTTTGTATTTTAAGAAGGCTAATTTTTAAAAGTTGATCTTTGTTGCAGTTCAGTATAACCCTGATATGTGACTGGAAAATGCTGCAAAAAAATAACCCCCTCCTTTCTCTTTCCCCAGTTCTGATATGTTAAATTTTACGAAGCAAGACCATTGAGGAATTCCTACACCTTACCTAGAAAAAAGGTGCCATCTCTGGTACCGCAAAAGGTCTTACAATAAAAACAAAAATAAATTTCCTGAACCGGTATAAAACAACATATAAGCCATCCCAGAGCAACTTGTGTTTTCCAAAAAAAAGAAAGAAAGAAACAACATCAAACTAGATTCCTTTCATCTATGATTGACACATTAAATGTTTACGCATGAAGAGAATCTGGAATTTTACCCTTCATTAGAAGTTATTGTTAAATGTTGAAAGGAATCAACCACTTTTTATAACGGACTCTGTGATCAATAATGCTAAAAAAGAGACAGAGAAATGATTTAATCAATGACTGTCACTCATGACTCAGACATAACTTCGTGTATTTCCAGAAGTTAAAAAATTTAAATCAATTCTGAACTAATTTTGTTTCAAGAAATTCTTGTTGCTCTTTAAGAGAATACGAGGCATACTGGTTCCCAAAGCCAAGACTTGGGAATCACTGATTTGGGAGTATGACTTACCACCACATGCTGATCCATACATGGTGGGCCCAATAAATGTTTCAAGGCAAAGGAGTAATCATCCCGCTAAGGAAAAGACCAGCTTCCCTGAGCCCTATTTCACATGGAGCAGGCCAAGAATAAGGTTACGTTTATTATAACCAAAATTGACTATGTTTTCTGCCATCCCTTTACCAAAAATTATATCCAAATTAACACTACATACCATATAACAAATTTCTTCCCAAAAATCACGTAGCTCTATCAAATACTTAATACTGCTAGTAAATCTCATATATTCATGCTTTTAAATCAAATAAGGGTACTATGGTCTGAACACTTTCAGAATTAAGCCATGTATGAACTGAAGTCTTACATACACATGCATACATCTGTAAAGTAATGAGAGCTACACGTAAGCAGGAGCCAATTATTCACAGATGGTCACATTTTTCCTCAGATGGTCAAATAAGGCTTATTGAGACTCTTTCAAGATCAAAATGTTAGACTGTTGGAATGAAAGCTCCAAGAAATGCAAATACTATGTCTGAACACAGCTAAGCAGGAAAATACAATTAATGCAACAGAAATACTTGAAAGTCACAGGCTTTGAGGACTTTACATTGCAATGTTCAAACTGAGCTTCTCCTTAGCCTGTTACCTTACTTTCAATTATGTCTAGCAGTCCCCAGTCCTTCAGAACTTAACAGCCACTGGAGAGAGAGAGAGAGAGAGAGAGAGTGTGTGTGTGTGTGTGTGTGTGTGTGTGTGTATATGTGTATGAGAGACAGAGACAGAGGCAGTGAGAGACAGACAGATGAGAGAGGGAGAGAGGGAAATGAATAGCCAAACACATGGAAAACTGTCCTTCTTGAAATTGGCACACTGGACCTTTCAAGTACAAAGAAAAATTTGAACGTTGCAGCTTAAAATTCAGTTAAGAGAATTAAAAAGCAAGTCATAAATGCCACATTTTTCCTCAATAAAAAGTTTTGACTACTGTGTTTATCTGTTGTCTTGAGTAACTTATTCATGAAGCTCTCCTATTCTTCCCCAAGACCATTTTGAAGAAAGAAAATACAGGTTGTTCTTGCTTTGTAAGCAAGAAAAAAAAAAATATTGTATATTTTTTTGTCCCTAGGAAGCTGCTTAGTTGGCAGCAGAAAAGAGACAGGACAGTTTGGTAAGAACAGTTAAAGAGGCACAAATGACCCTTTTGCTGAGTCTTTAGAAGAGGTATTCACTGGAGTTAACTGCTCTGACCAACCCTTAGGAAGCTTTTTAGGATTAAAAAAAAAGGGGGGGGCCTGGGAGGGGTGACTCATGCCTGTAATTCCAGTACTTTGGGAGGCCGAGGTGGGTGGATCACCTGACATCAGGAGTTCAAGACCAGCCTGGCCAAGATGGTGAAACCCCGTCTCTACTAAAAATATAAAAATTAGCCAGGTGTAGTGGCACAGACCTGTAATCTCAGCTACTCGGGAGGCTGAGGCTCAAGAATTTGCTTGAACCCAGGAGGCAGAGGCTGCAGTGAGCCAAGATCCTGCCATTGTAGACTCCAGCCTGGGTGACAAAGTGACCTTGAATATCTCCTGAGGAAGAGGAACTTGAAAAAGGAATATTCAAGGTGCTGTTCCTGGTGTTAGTTGCACCTAACGACACTCCAGCCTGGGTGACAGAGTCTCAAAAAAAAAAGAAAAGAAGAAAGAAAAGAAAAGCTGGTCCTTGAGTTCACTTTGTTAACAAGGCAGATAAAACAATTTCTATGCATCTCTCCCACCCCATCCCATTTTTGGCAGAATATAACAAGAACAAAAAGTAATGGACTTCACAGGTTTAAGAAAAGGAATATATGCCATTGTTTTCTTAGTTTTTTTTTTAAGTTTTCAAATTTTAATATGGGTTTTTAAACGTATTATAAACTTCTGTGGGGCTTTTAAAAACCTGTACCTAGGCCAAGCACGGTGGCTCATGCCTGTAATCCTGGCACTTTGGGAGGCCGAGGCAGGTGGATCACGAGGTCAGGAGATCAAGACCATCCTGGCTAACACGGTGAAACCCCGTCTCTACTAAAAGTACCAAAAATTAGCCAGGTGTGGTGGCACGTGCCTGTAGTCCCAGCTACACAGGAGGCTGAGGCAGGAGAATCACTTGAACCCGGGAGGTGGAGCTTGCAGTGAGCTGAGATCACGCCACTGCACTCCAGCCTGGGCAACAGAGCCAGACTCCATCTATTAAAAAAAAAAAAAAAAAAAAAACCCTACCTATATCAAGTTCTTCTATGCTTTAGCAGGTCTCAGGTCTCAATTTCCCATTTTCAGATGGCAGGCCTGTTTTTAAAGGACCAATTCATACTTTAAAATATGTGTACACACACACACACATACTTACACACACAGAGACATACAGAAAGACTATATATTTTTTGAAGCACCATTTCACATCTACCAACAAGAAAAATAACAAATTCATATTCTCATTATAATTCTGTTATGAAGGATAATAATGAAATATACAATGCCATATTTAAAATATAAATGCTATCAGTAAATGAAAATACTGACAGAGCTTAAATCTCTGTTCAGAAATATTTTTAAAGTAAGGCTCAAATAAACGTGTAGATTACAAACACTATTTCCTGATCAATCCTAATATTTAAATGAATGCAAAAGAATTTATTTCAAGACCAAATAAATAGAATGAAGAGAGAATACTAAATTAAACTCAGCTGATGAAACATCCATTGTTAACTGCACCCATGCAAAACTCCACAATACAACTAACTGCTTTTACCCTTATGACCCGATGCAAAATGCAAGCACAAAACGGAGAATATGTATGTACTTAACTTTTTAGCTTTCTATATTTACGGCTAAATAATTGTCTAAGGAAGACCTTTGCTTTAAATAATCTTGGCACATTAAAGGGTAACACAGCTCCCTAATTTGAAGAACAAGACATAAAATTCAGATAATTTATGCATTGTTATAATTTAGAAAGAAGCCTGTATCTAAACCAAACTTTGAGAATAAAGGCTGATTGCTTTTATTTATTTGCTAACTGCTTGACTTTAACTACGGACATTAAACTCAACATCAGTTCAACATCTGTCATAGGTAAGAAGCTGTTCTAGATGCTGACATTAGCCAGCACTTGATTATGAGCCACTGTGTTTTATCAAGCTGCCTATATTTTTCAGTAGCAACTTACCTACATATTCCATAAGTTATCAACAATCAAGTTTAAAGTCTAGGCTCCCTCCTACTACCCAGTACATGACAAGATGATCTCCCCCAATTTCCAGCTAATTAGTATTTAGGAAATATCAACTTGGAAATGTAAATCTACTTGGAAAATAAAAAAGTACACCATGCAGTTGAAAACGAAAGATAACTTGTTTTCTGACAACCCAGTATCTGCATCTGACATGGCTTCCCTACATTCAGAAGATAACTGAAAACTGATTATACAGACACACACACACAATCCTTCTCTTCATGTACATGTCTGTGCACATGCACGCACAAATACATTTGTAATCTCACTCATTACCTTTACATTTTGTTTATCAGTATTTAAACAGCTGAACTGCAATCATGACCTAGAATATGGCTTATGTTATGGGCAGGTCTGTTTGAGGACTGCTTGGAAGAGTCAGAGGCAGAGGAATTTGCTATTGTAAGCAAAGGTGACATTGCTGAGCCATCAGGAAGCGCTGTGGCTATTTCTGGAAACAAAGATGTCATATTAAAATTGGATAAGTGAGAGTTGGTCATGTGCATTGGTGGCATATCTGGGAGAAGAGGAAAACTTGGTTGAGCAAACCCAACAGGTCTGGGAGGAGATAAAATTGATCCAAATCGGTTATTTAAACTTCCACTGTTTACCTTCTCTGTGCTAGGATTTGAGAACATCTGATTAGGAAAATAGGGGATTGAAATATCATTGGACAGTGTAGGATGAGCAGGAGAGTATGGAGGATAGAAGGAGGGCAGAGTATTTTGCGGATCTACCGGGATGAGGGCTGGAGTTCGAGTGGCACTAGGCTGAGTAACCTGTGGAATGAAAGAAGCATTAGCATTTATTGGTGGATTCATGCCACCCTCAGGAATAAAAGAAAAACCAAAATTTTGTGATAGTGTATGCTGGTCAGGACCTGAATTATCATTAGGTACTTGTGGGCTATCAGGCATGAAACGAACAATACTTCCTCTCTTCTCTGTGGCAGGTTGTTGACGTCCAAGAATCATACTGCCACCAGTAGAGAGAGGAAGATGGGGAAGACTTGGATCAAAGACAGTACTTTGCCTTTGGTTTCCAGAACGATTCCTTTCAGGCTGACGAATTTTGGAACCACTGCTGTCTTGCAGGGGATGCCTTGATCTCTGGGGAACTGAAGAATTAGCTTGACGTACAGCAGGGCCTTGATCGCCATTTCCATGAGACACAGATGGATGTGGCAACGCTGGCCTTGCAACCCCATGCATGTTGGTTGTGACTGGAGGGTTCATGTGGCCCTTGGTGGCATGACTCTCAGTAATCCTCATGGGATTGGATTTCTGTACAGAAACATTGGGGCTTGTGTTTCGACCTTGAATATCTCCTGAGGAAGAGGAACTTGAAAAAGGAATATTCAAGGTGCTGTTCCTGGTGTTAATTGCACCTAACGACATGTCACAACTTTCCCTATTCTGACTCTCACTCTCTCTTCTAATATGGACATTTTCATGAGTTGGGGGACAATTATATTCAATTGCAGAGGATGGACCACACTGTGTATTCCTCTGATGTTCTGAGAGTGACCTCTGGCTCCCAATGACCTGATCACTGAGGTGAGGGGCAAGTAAGCTCTGCATGAAACTTTGGTGACAAGTATTTTCACTGTCCCTTGATGGAATACCATTTCCTGTTGGGATGCTCTGAACTGGTGGGTAAGATAATCTCTTTTGACGGTCAATTGGTGGGGGGCCAGTGTTTTGACTAATTCGAAAAGCCTGGGACTGCATACTCCGCAATGATGATACAGGGTTACCTATTTCATTGTTTCTTGAAGATTGTACTTCAAAATTACTCTGGGGCTGTTGACTAGCTCCACTTGGTTTAAACGTCTGACAATCAGAAAGGCGGATATCTGAGGCCACAGTATGGTCCACACGACCCTGCATATTATGAATAGCCAAACTCTTATTTCTGGGAACATCAAGATAGCTTCTCATTTCAAGCTGATCTGAAACTCTGGAACCCTGAATTGATATCCCCATTCTCTGCTCTGAATTAGAAGATGTCTTTCCAATGAGTGCCTCAGCAGAATAACTTGAAACTCTATTTCTCTCTGGCCTGTGTGGAGTACAGGTCATGTCTGAAGATCTAGTCACAATACTTGGTTGGGACACCATTTGCTGCTCTAAGCCTCTTGATGTCAAAAGCCTCTGCATTGGATTATGGCCAGATACATGTTCAGATGAAACCCCTGAACCTTGCTGTCTGCTTCCAACATCCTGCTGTTGGTGCATAATATCTTGATTGAGATGGTTCTGGGGATGGTTATGATGGTTCCGACTAGTTGAAGGGTTTTCACAGCTCTTCTCTGTCTGGGAGCTTCCAAAGTGTTGCTGCATTTGTTGCTGCATCTGCTGATGGTGGGGATGTGGCTGGCCAGTCTTGGATCGGGATTGGTCAGTTCCATGGTGCTTTGGTTGTAAGGAAAGCTGAGAGGTCTGGGTGCCCTGAACAAGATTCCTCTTTTTCTGCATCTGAACTTCCTGTTGCAGAGTCCTCTGTTGGTGGACATTATGGGGCTGAGAGTGGACAGAGCTCTCTGCATGAGGTACATGATGCTGCATTTGATATAAGTGATGCCTCTCTCTTAACTGCCCTGCTTGTTGTTGTTGCTGTTGCTGCTGCTGCTGCTGCTGCTGCTGCTGCTGCTGCTTTATGTAGAGATGGTTACTATGAAGGTGAGATACACCTTGAGCTGGAACATGCTGCTGCAGGGCCTGTAGATGCTGACTTGCCTGGGTTTGCTGCTGTTCAGCAACTGAAGGCTGAGAACCACACTGAACTTCAGTTTGCCTCAATGCAGGAGTCACAAAGTTGTTACTAGGTGGAAATAATCGTGTAAGGCCATCTCCATGAGCTGGGTTGCTAACAGGCACAACTGAGTTTGAAGAATTAGGAGGGATCTGACTGACCATCATTTGAGTTTGGTCAGAAATGGTGTCTGGAGTTCTGCTCATCAGGGACATACTTTCAAGCCTGAGGGGGGCTGGCTGACAGTGCTTTTGACGTTTAGCTGAAGACAGTAAAAGGTCATCTTGGACAGCACGCTTAGCAGAATCCTTACGGCTTTCATGGCTTGGCTTTAAGAGTGGCTCTTGAATCTGTGAATTTGGTATGGTACTAGTCATAGTATTTAGCTGTTCTTGGGAATATTCAGTCATCAGAGATGGTCCAGGAGGTTGACTGCCATAGGAGCTAGATGAAACGGTCAGATTAACCGTTGCAGGCACAGTTGTTTGCTCTGAAGTTGGGGATAAACCCGCACAGCTGGCCAGAGGATGGCTGATGCTGCTCTGATGGATAAGATTATTCACACTTAAACTGGTGATGCTTGGTGGCTGAGAAGTTGAATCCTGTAAAGATGCATTTGATGTTTTAATTCCTAGAGAACAACTTGGTTTCTCAAGGGGCCTCTCCATAGTTGCTTCAATTGAACCCTGAGAATTAAATTCATTTGGTGTTGCTTCTGCCTGTCCTGTGCCACTCTCTTTAGGTATCTGTGATTTGAAGGGTGGGTCTCCCTCTAACAATGATGCTTCAGAAGGCTTTGAAGCAACTTCCCTTATATCAGCCTGGAGGCCAACTCTCCCCTTCTCAAGGTTCTCCTGGTCAAAAATAGCTCTTGCTGCAAGAGCTACTATATCAGTTTGCTCTACAAAGGTACAGCTGTCACATGTATTAGTTGTTGCATTGCTGGTCACATCTTCTCTTGTTGTTTCAGGAAGCATGGATGCAACTGAGAAACTACGACTACTGCCAGAGCTGGTTGACATGGGAGAGTCGGCCTGTCTACCGTTGATCAAAGAACCATTAATAACCTCTTGATCAGGGAGGCAGGAATGATGCTGTGGAGGATCTCTATCATCATTGTTCATCAGTAATAGTTCCTGTTTGGGATGTAAATTCACACTTGAATCAACTATTTTAGGATTTTCTGAAGAAAAGTCAGGATGATCCATCTGATCAGAAAGAGATGATTTCTGAGGGTTTTTTTTTTTAGCAAGATCAGATAGCAATGTAGTTAAACCTTGCCCCTTTAAGAGACCTGTGGTTTGCATTGTATCTGATGAATCTTGCTCAACTCTGCAAGGTTCAGCAATGATTTCTACCTCAGAAACACAGTCAGTACTTGTAGTGCTTGTTGTAGATGACAAACCAGGAACCTGAGAAACCAAAATGTGAGGATCACTTGGAGATGGAATCAATACATTGGCTGAAGCGCAGGGTTTGGCAGCATCTGATAATGCTAAACTACTTGGTGGTTTATCCTGAGATGTCTCTTGTTGTAGATTAGGGGTAGAATCTTTGGATTTTGCTGCGGCCATTGCAAAATGTTCACTTGTTACAGATTCTTGGGAGGGTGGGCTGGACTTTTCTGCTGACTTAGATTTCGATACAGACTCAGGTATTAATGATTCAGAGCTTAGAACACCCAAAGAATGTGAAGCAGAAACACTCACACTATTTGCCTGAGACACAGAGACAGATGGTAACACAGCAGGGAAGCTTTCTAGCAGTCCATCATTACAGGGTGGCTCTGCTGAGCCTTCAGTGTTGGGGCAGTCTAACTTGCTCACATCTCTGACTGAATTCAGGGGACACGCTGACTTGTTTGCTGCTAAGTGTTTCCTGCCACCTGGCTTCTTATTCAACCTTTTAGATTTCATGTTAGGCAAACAAGCAACAGTGTTCATTGAGGAAGTACTCACTAGATTATAAGTACTAGCTAGTGTGGCTGAACTATCTGTTGTCACAGGAGGTGCTGCAGTTGTTGTTAATGAAACACAGTTAGCTGTAGTGGTTTGACTATTTGCAGCAGTTTGAGAATTGGCAGGCTGGCTAATAGACAATTGTACACAGCTTTGCCCAGCCATCTGTGATATGCTTTGATTGAGGCTGGCCAAAGCACCAAATGTATTCAGGGCAACATTGGTATTTGGATCTTCGCTGGTGGTGGGTTGAATAATTTGCATAGGGGTTTGATTTGTAGTTCCTGATGAAGACATCACAGGCTGCAAAGCAAAGAGCTGTCCATTTAAAGAAATGGTTTGAGGCTGTTGGTTTGACATGGTAACAGAAAAAGTTTGTGTTGAGTTAGACGCTGATAAAGATGAAGGTCTTGGTAATATGTGGACAAGATGCTTTCCTCCAAAAGTCTGTGGTGTTGGAACATTTTGCACTGAATTATTAGACCCTATTACAGTATTGGCTCCATTGATGGGGAGTCGAACAGAACCAGGAGGTGGAGCAGGGAGGAGTGGCAAAGGATTCTGATTAGCAGCCTGTATGATTACTATCTGTTGACCTACTGTTTGGTTGGAAACTTCTGCCCTCATCACTGTTGGGCATGGGGTGGTGCTAGGTGGCTGAAGAATTATAACATTTTGATTAGTTGGAGCTGAATTAACAGCTGACCCAACTGGCTGAGCCATCTGAATCACTTGCATTGCTGAATTCAGTGGAAGGATATTTTTGGGAGGCTGAGATTTAACTTGTGGCTGGGCAATTAGTGGCTGCATAGGTAAAGATGGACAAGAAGGCAATGTTACAACTACTTGCTCAACTGGCTGCCCATCTGCTGGAAAGGAATTATTCAAGTTGATGTCTGTAGCCACATATCTACTGTGGTTGCTTGTGGTGGGGCTAGTACCAGACTCATTTAATACTGGAGTCACAGCAGAAGATGGTGTCTGGCTTAAGGGCTGAATAGTGTTTCCTGCCAGTTGCAAAGTAGTCCACGTTGTCTGTGTGTTTCCAGCTGAAGAGATTCGTGTAAGGCTATTAATGTTTTTCAAATCTGAAGTACTAACACTTGAAGAAGGCAAAGAACAAGAAAGAGTCCAACCATTGTCCAAAGGGTTTCCCGAAAGAGTGCTTATAGGAATGGTGGCCTTCCCTACTCCAGGGGCAGATGATGCCACCACTGTAGCTGTACTTGTCAAGTCTGCACTCTTACTAATGCTCATTGGAGAAGAATCACCTGCAGTTCTGGGAGGCTGCGAGCAGACTGTGGTGGTAACTGAAACAACAAAAGTGTTTTGAAAATCACCTCTGAAGTCCTGTATGCTCAGGCAGGACTTGTTTCCATGGTGCACTTTAGTGGCAGTTGCTGAGGAGCTGTGGGGGATGTTTGTAACACAAGGGGTCATTTTCTTCAATACTTTGGGGTTCTCTTGTCCATTCTTATTTTCAGAAGAATTTTGATCATTTAGGCATGTGTGCAAAGAATGATGTTGGTGAGGCTCAGATTCAATTGAAACAGCAATCAGTGAGCCACTAGTGGCACCAAGCACATTTGATTCGCTTTCAGAGGTGGGAAGCTCGAGAATACTCTGAGCAGAAATGGCAGCAGGAAGACAAAGAGGAACAGGCTGGTTGGTAGCCAATGCAGGAACTGTGGTCTGATGCCATGGCTTGTTTTCAGAAGGGTAAACTCCAGAAATAGATACAGGAGTCACAAGATTGCAAGTCCTCTGTACTGGCACCACATTGGCGGTCTGCTTTTGTAAATTATGACTAACATTAAAAGTTATCCCCTGAACAGCTGTTCCCTGGCTGTTTCCACCAGGCTGATTCCCGTTGGAATAAACAATAATTTTTTTTTGAACCTGGTCACTAGGAATAACAACAGAGACCTTTGAGTTTTTAAGATTTCCTTTCCAGTGAATTGTCGGGTCATCATATAAGCATATGTCATTAGCTTTCAGTAATTCAATATATCGGCCATTTTCTTTTTGGATTTCTTCCAGTTGTTTCCGTAGCTTTTTTATTTCTTCAGCTATAATATTAAAAACAAAAATTTATAAATACCTGAGAATGTCAGTATTTACAATAACTTGATAAAGAACTGTATACTAAACTACTGAATTCTAATTCTAGCATTCTAAGTACTTCAACCGAGACTCTTCAGCTCTTTTCTAATACAACTTCTTTTTTCTTTTTAGAATGATATCTTAAATCCCTATGCCCTCCTTTAAAAAGTATAAATTTTTAAAGGTCAACTGAAAAATTACTCATAATGTAGAAACCTCAAAATTCCCAATTCAAAAATTTCCAGTAGGGCAGCTACATAGGTGAAGTAAGGGAAGACATACTGATATCATGGCAACATGCTAGCAAGATAACATTGAATATCAATATGCCATTTAAATGCTGCAGCAGCCAACATTACCTGTGATAGTAACAGGCAGTCTCTTTATTTTTTATTTTATTCTTTTGAGACAGAGTCTTGCTCTGTGACCCAGGCCGGAGTGCAGTGGTGCAATCTCGGCTCACTGCAACCTCCACCTCCCAGGTTCAAGCAATTGTCCTGCCTCAGCCTCCCGAGTAGCTGAGATTACAGGTGCGCACCAACACTCCCAGCTAATTTTCATATTTTTAGTAGATTCAGGGTTTCGCCATGTTGGCCAGGCTGGTCTTGAACTCCTGACCTCAAGTGATCTGCCTGCCTTGGCCTCCCAAAGTGCTGGGATTACAGGCATGAGCCACCATGCCCAGCCGACAGTCTCTTTTATAAATCAATTTAGTTTCTATTTTATCCTTTGAAACAATTGAGACAAAAAGGAATAGAACACATAAGAAGCAAAGTGGCACCAAAGTGCACCAAAGAAAGCATCGACAATGGAACCTGCACTTTGCTTGGTAGGGACAATGCAGGTATGCTACTGAGCAGTGAGGGCATTGTCACAGCCCTCCTTTCTAAGGTAGATAGCTTCACCTATGAGTACCACTAATGGGGCAGGCTTAGCTGCTGGTATATGCTCTGTGACCCCACACATCCCCATCTGCCTTGAAACAGTGGAGAGTATTCTCATTCCTTTTCCAAAGCATCCTATTCTCCAGGCTAACACCCTGTGAGGGAGCCTGAAATGAAAAGTTCCATTCCAACAAAGACGAGCTGAAACTAGCAGATCATTTTTCTTAGTTTAAAACTAAGAGACAAAAGAAAGATACCAGTGTCCACGGACAGTAGAAATTAAAGAACAATCATTATGGACCAAATAATAATCATGGTTCTCACTTACTGCACCTTTACTACCTGGCACATTTCATTCCTTGTTTCATTTAATAACAACGACAACTATAACAGCTAACATTTATCAAGCAATTACTCTGTGCTAGGCTTTAATCTAAGTTCTTGTATTATCTCTTTTAATCCTCATAAGAACCATGAGATGGCAATTTATATTTTATTATCACCACTTTTAGATGTGAGAAACAGGCCCAGAGCAGTTATGTAATTTGCCTAAATTCAGCCAGGTAGATACTATGATTATCCTCATTTTAACATAGGGAAACTGGGACTGGGAGAGGCTAAGTAACTGACCAAAGGGTACTGAGTGAGTAAATGAAGCTGAGACTCAAACCTAGGAGGGCCTGAGTCCAAGGCCATTGCTTTGGCTACTAGATACATGCACAGTGAGCATATGGAAGAAGCCACTGAGAGAAAAAAAGAGGATAGAGCAGATGCACAGAAAAAGAACCAGAGAAATAACGATCATGACAGAAATAACAAACACAGATTTAGGCTGCCTTAGATCCCACCCCTAACCCCTGGCCTGTCTGGTCAGCTTTTTCTGAGTCCCACGCAACTTCTATTTTTCAACAATTTCCCTTTTTCCTAAGGTAACTTGATTGTCTCAGCCTCTGGCTTTGAAATCAAAAGAGCTTTCATTAGAAAAGTCTACTCATCATTCTGTCTTACATCCCTTCTGTGGAGTACCTCAAATGGTTACTAAACATGGATCATTTATCTATCTGACGGCATCACAAAAAGACCTGGGCCATAAACACCAGCTAAACTAGGTGAGGGGGGGAAGCTGCTAATATTTAACTAAAAGTAAACAAGGAGAATTCTGAATGCTGACCTCCTAGGTAGGCTTTCCAATATCTTTCCCATCCATTACAATAAACACAGCCCAGCACTGACCTTACCTCAGGCAATTCTGCCCTTTTTTCTCTCTTTTTAAGGTGGCCTACTGAGTTGTCACAGAAAATTCTCTCCTTGCACTTGTCAGGGGTATAAATAAAAGACAATTTCAAACTGGCCTACCCTGAGCTTTACGCTTGCCTGGAATATTTTTTTCCCGCTGCTATAAGAAAACTTTCTCTCCAATGCTAATGGAAAAAGAGAACTCATTTGATGGCATTAAAAAGTCACCTTTATCTAAGAATCAAGTATCATTAAATGATCAGGCAGTTTGATGCACACATTACAAGAAGTATAAACAAAATGAATGTTTTGGCCTTTTTTGCTAATGCATAGTTAAATCGTGGCACAGGCATATCCTAATCTTTTTAATAAATTTCACTGAGCAGAACTCCCCCCTTACATCTTCTTATGGGATTGCCCTAACTGCAATGTCCAATTGGAATAAAGGAGATTTAGCATTACTAGTATCATGAGTTAGGCAAACATGAAATACACAGAAGAGTTCAAAGTCAAAACTATGTATGCCTACAAGATAAGAGGTGCTCACAGAGGAGAAAGAGTTAGACTAAAATGAATTTATTGGTAACATTATTCTTCCAGACCCACTGAATGCAGGGTCTTAATAATGTTTTGGGGCCAAAAAGCTTTCTATGTCATAATATAAATTTCACTGTGACACAAACACCTAAACATTTTAAAATACAACAAAAAGTAAGAACTTTTAAATCTTTACCTTGTTCATTGTTTCCTCCATTAAGCAGGAGTTCATCATTTTGCCTTTTCAATTCTGTTATATATTTAAAGGCTTGGTCCAGGATCATATTCTTGCTCTGTCCAAGAAAATTTTAAAAGTTTACAAGTTTCACTGAAGGGTAAGAACTTGCCAGATGAAACTTTAAGCTTTGTCTTTATCACATATATATGATACGTATCTTCTCAAAATTTAAAACAGGCACTATATTCAAAAGCTTCTACTGTATATTTTTCATTTATTAAATGGTTATTGGGCAGCTAATGAGTGGCAGGCTCTGTTCTAGGCACTGGGGATATAATAGTAAAACAAACAAAGTCCCTGTCCTTGAAGAATACACACACACACACAGAGGAATGCTATGAAGAAATATAAAGCAGGGTAAAGAGGGAGCTAGAGTGATGGTGGAGGTTACTTTGTGCAAAGGACTGAATGTTTGTGCCCCCTAAAATTCATATGTCTAAACCCTTATCCCCAGTGTGATGGTTTTTGGGAGGTAATTAGGTCATGAAGGTGGAGCCCTCATGATGGGATTAGTGCCCTATAAGAAGAGACAGAGATGATCTCTCTCTCTGTCTGCCACTTGAGGACATAACTAGGAAGTGGGTTATCACCAGGAAGTGAATTGGCTGGCACTTGATCTTGGACTTCCCACCTTCCAGAACTGTGAGAAATTAAAGTTACCCAGTCTATGGCATTTTTGTTGCAGCAGCCTGAACTAAGACACTGAGAACATTTGTTGTATATGGAGGTTGGGGAAGGGCCCTGAATAAGGTGATACCTGAGCAAAAACTGGAAGGAAGTGAAAGGAAGCAGGCCCTGCAGATATATGGGAAAAGGGAGTCCAGACAGCAGGATCAGAAGGGCAGGGGCCCTTAGCCAAGCTAGGCTCGGCACGTTGGAGGAATGGTAAGGAGGTGAGCGGAGCTACAGTGGAGTACATGTGGGAAGAGTAGTAGAAGGCCAGAGAAGGCCTTCAAGATTTTGTAAAGGTTTTGGATTTTAATGTTATTCTTTACTCTGTTTACCACAACTACGAATTATTCTAAATAATAGGCCAAGAGAGGAATGTCACTTGATTGAGTTTTGGTGTCATGCTTCCAGTAAATTGTATTCCTAAGCTTTTTCAAAAAGATTGTACGTTATGTTAAAGTATTCCTTTATTCTCATGTCCAATACATGCCTATATACATCCTTTTTAAAAACTCAGACAAGGCCAGGCGCAGTGGCTCATGCCTATAATCCCAGCACTTTGGGAGGCCGAGGCGGGCAGACACTTGAGGTCAGGAATTTGAGACCAGCCTGGCCAAAATGGCAAAATCCCGTCTCTATCAAAATTACAAAAAAATTAGCCAGGCATGGTGGCGCACACCTGTAATGCCAGCTACTCAGTAGGCTGAGACAAGAGAACTGCTTGAACCTGGGAGGCAGAGATTGCTGTGAAGTGAGATCCTGCCACTGCACTCCAGCTTGGGCAACAGAGTGAGATTCTGTCTCAAAAGAAAAAACAAACAAACGAACATACAGACAAAAGGATTTTGTATTTCCTTACATTTAAAAATATATCTTGGCGGCCGGGTACGGTGGCTCATGCCTGTAATCCCAGCACTTTGGGAAGCCGAGGTGGGCAGATCACCTGAGGTCAGGAGTTCGAAACCAGCCTGACCAACATGGAGAAACCCCGTCTCTACTAAAAATACAAAATTAGCAGGGCGTGGTGGCACATGCCTGTAATCCCAGCTACTCGGGAGGCTGAGTCAGGAGAATCACTTGAACCCAGGAGGAGGAGGTTGTGGTGAGCCGAGATTGTGCCATTGCACTCCAGCCTGGGCAACAGTAGCAAAACTCCATCTCAAAAAAATAATAAATATATATATATATATTTGCGATACTTCCATATAGCATCTAGACATCTTTCTTTTTTTTTTTTTTTTTTTTTGAGACAGAGTCTTGCTCTGTGGCCGAGGCTGGAGTGCAGTGGCGCAATCTCGGCTCACTGCAACCTCTGCCTTTCGGGCTCAAGCAATTCTCCTGCCTCTGCCTCTCAAGTAGCTGAGACTACAAGCACATGCCATCATGCCTGGCTAATTTTTTTTTTTTTTGGTAGAGACGGGGTTTCACCATGTTGGCCAGGCTGGTCTCGAACTCCTGACCTCAGGTGATCCTCCCACCTTGGTCTCCCAAAGTGGTGGGATTACAGGTGTGAGCCACCATGCCTGGCCCCTACTTATTGTTTCCTTTTTTTTTTTTTTTTTTTTTGTAACAGACTCCTGCTCTGTCGCCCGGGCTGGAGTGTAGTGGCGCGATCTCAGCTCACTGCAACCTCCGCCTCCTGGGTTCATGCCATTCTCCTGCCTCAGCCTCCCGAGTAGCTACAGGCACCCGCCACCATGCCGGGCTAATTTGTTGTTGTTGTTGTTTTTTGTTTTTTGTTTTTTTAGTAGAGATGAGGTTTCACCATGTTAACCAGGATGGTCGTGATCTCCTGACCTCATTATCTGCCCGCCTCGGTCTCCCAAAGTGCTGGGATTACAGGTGTGAGCCACTGTGCCCGGACTACTTATTGTTGCTAATGACTGTATTTATTTTATTTACCAGTCTATTATTGATAAACATTTAAGATACCTTAACAGTCATTTCTGGTTTTTATCCTTCAGCTATCAAGAATGTTGCAATGAATATTTAACCTCTACTCCAGGATATATATTATTAGCTATCTCTGGTACTTTGTAGATAACTCTTTTCATGTAGGAATCACTGTGATTTAGTCCTTTGTTTGGCAATTTATAATTCTGAGTTCTTTACACTGAGTCCCAACAGAGACCCAATACGTAAACCCAGGAAGTTATTTACTACTAAGAGAAAAATAATATTGTTCTTTTTAAAAACAATAATCTGAACAAAGGCAGAACCTGATAATTCCCAGCCACCTGTCCCTCTACTGCAGACAGGGGCCAAAGCCTGTGAAGAAAATCTTAGTTGGCTCTGCTTCTGATAGCCAAATACTGACTTCCTTTGCACATTCTAGAACACCAAGGAAGTAAAATGGTTATGGTTTCCTTTCTTCAGAGAAACTCGCAGGGATGAAAGCCAAGAGCAGGAAAGTAAGATTTTCCTGGGCAAACATCTATGTTTACTGAGTAGCTACCTAGCTACCTTCCATTGAGATGTGGAGAAAGAAAAACAAATTAGAAGGCATAGTGTGTGCCATTGTGTTAAGGAAACAGAAAGCACAATTTTTAAAAAGGCTGAAAAATACATACATGGAGCCGGGCATTGTAATCCCAGCACTTTGGGAGGCCGAGGTGGGTGGATCACTTGAGGTCAGGAGTTTGAGACCAGCCTGGCCAACATGGTAAAACCCCATCTCTACTAAAAATACAAAAATTAGCCTGGCGTGGTGGCATGCACCTGTAATCCTAGCTACTCAGGAGGCTGAGGCAAGAGAATCACTTGAACCTGGGAGGCGGAGGTTGCAGTGAGCCGAGATCATGCCACTGCATTCCAGCCTAGGCAACAGAGTGAGACTGTCTCAAAACAAACAAACAAACAAACAAACAAACAAACAGAAACATATATGGAAGTCTAAGTCCATCCTATAGGGAAGAAAGGAAATGAAGAGTAAGTCCTTTCCAAGGGAGATAACATAGAGAAGCAAGCTGATTTGCTCCTTTGACATACTGGGAAGGCTCAACACTGAGAACCACCAGCCTCTACAGAAGATGGAGTGAGCTGGGGGTTAAAATAGAGGGGAAGTGGCTGAAAGACTCCTAATAAAGCAGTAATAAGAACCACCCCCTACCCTGCCCCCACGCACATATTCTACACAGCTGGATGACTTTCCCTTCCTGCCCAAACCGCAGGAGACAAGTTTATTTTCTCTGAAATTTGAACCAGAGAATTTCAACCTCAGGGATACTTGGCACAAAAGTGGACAAGACGAGGGTCCTAAGTGGAAACAGCGGGGTAGAGTAAAACTCTGCCTACTACAGCACAAGACTCTCTAGCCCCCTAACTCCCATCCAGCTCCCAGAATAATAGCAACCTCTTCCTCTTCCTACCAGTCCCACTCCCAGGCAGGAGACTGATGGGTTCTTCTCCAAGAAAATGAAAAAATTAATAGCTATCCCACAAAAAAAAAAAAAAGACAAATACTGATATGTTTTAGTTCCACAACAAGAACAATAAAACTAGCATAGCTTCTAATCATGCAACACTTAGGGCTACCAAAATACAAACCTATTCAGTCAGCTTTTTAATGCCTCATTCCCAAGTATGAAAAAAACAGCTTCAAGTCACTAAACATTTCAGGAAAACCCCCTCAAAAAAAGATGAGACAAAAAGGGGAAAAAAGGAAATCAGAGGAAAAAAACATAAACAGAAAAAAACTTCAGGAAAAAACCTACATATACTATTCAGAGGTGAGAAGATATTGTATCCACAAACATATGGTAGGAAAAGGAACAGAGAATAAGAAAAAAGACTATTGGAAATTAAAAATATAAGAGCTGCAATTAAAAACAGAAGAGCTGGAAGAGGTCAACTGGTTGAGAATGAAAAAGGAGAACAGAGTGTTCCAGAAGTAAAGTCTTGAAGAAAGAAAATGGCAAATGAAAATTATGTAGTACATTTGACCTTACAGAAAACTCTACTAAGAGATGGTTGGAAGTATCAGAAGGATTAAAGATAAGTATATGAAAAATTAAGCAAATGGAAAACTATGAGGTAATTATTTACTCCACCCAAAAACAAAAGCAACAAATGAAATATAATAGTACACTCCTTGGCTCAACCATGAATAATATTTACAGTTTTAAAAACATAAAAACTGAATACCAATTTAACCAAAAGTGATAGAATTATAATGGAAGGACTGAAGAAGAAGAAGCCAGGGGAAAAGCATAACAACGAGTCAATAGATAATCTCTAAAATTGAAAAATTCAGATACAGCAACGTAAGTATGCTATTTAGAAATATAACAGTAAAAAAAAAAAAACACAGAAGAAACAGTTGAGAATATTTGCCTCTGAGGAGCTATGTTGGGGTTAGGAAGCAGGTAGGAGATTAATGTTTGTTGTTTTAAGCTTTTTAGTGCTGTTTGCTATGTGTCTTATTAACTTTTTGCATATATTCATTTAATTACAACATTATAATAGTGATTATTGCTTGGGAGTAAGATATCAGTTTATTTTTTAAACCTTTTTGTGCCTTTCGTATTGTTTCAATTTTTTGTTTTTTTGTTTTCAGTGGAGCATGCTTTATCCTCATTATTAGAGGGATAATAATAATTATCCCTCATTATTAGAGGGATAATCCTCATTATTAGAAGGAACAAAAAGGTATCTTCATTAGAGAACACTGTCATACTTTAAGCTGAGATTTTAAGTACTACTGGGGGTTAAGAGGGCACGGAGAATAAATTTTTAAAAAGATCCTTGGAAGATTCTAAGTAAAAATTTAAAAGGAGTAAGAACATGCATTGGCAGGAAAACAAAATGAAAAAATGCCTTGCAAATAGAGTGGCATATATGTAAACATAGTCATGTGATTAATTTAGTAATCAAGAGAAATCTGAAGAGTCTAGAAATTATATGGTACATTTGACCATGAAGAAACTGTACTAAAAGATTGTTGGAAGAATGGGAAGAATTAAAACAAGGCAATTATTAACTTCAAAAGAACCATACATAGAAATAGAAAGCAACAAAAATAATCATTCTAAGCACCAAAACAACTTAGGGAATTGTCTGTTCATAAGTAATGAATGAAGATATGAGTAGACTTCTTACCTGCTTCAGGGCAGGAGAACATGGGATCAGCTCTCCTATTCTGTTTATCCCAGCATTAATTTTCTTCTTTCTATGCCTCTCCACTAGATGGGAGAAAATTCGTTTATCAAACCTTACACTACTTAGTCAAAGTGCCCTCATTCAACCACGGTAAAGAAGTTTTAGGTAAAGAAATCCCTAAGAAATGCTTATCAATGGCCAGGCGTGATGGTTCACACCTGCAAACCCAGCATTTTGGGAGGCCAAGGCGGGTGGATCACCTGAGGTCAGGAGTTCGAGACCAGCCTGGCCAACATGGCAAAACCCCATCTCTACTAAAAATACAAAAAGTAGCTGGGCGTGGTGGCACACGCCTGTAGTCCCAGCTACTTGGGAGGCTGAGGCAGGAGAATTGCTTGAAACCCGGGAGATGGAGGCTGCAGTGCGCTGAGATCATGCTGCTGCTCTCCACCCTGCGTGACAGAACGAGACTCTGTCTGAAAATAAAAAAAAAGGGAAGGGGGAAGGGGAGCGGAAGGGGAAGGGGAAGGGCTTATCAAACATTATCTACTATAAATAACTATAATAAGTAAAATGTCTAAGATGTCATTTTTTAAATCTAGTGTTACAGCAATCTACATAAGCAATACTTTTATTAGCATTTTGCTTTTTTTTGAGACAGGGTCCCCCAGGCTGGAGTGCAGCAGTGCAATCTCAGCTCACTGCAATCTCCTGCCCTCAGCCCCTTCCCTGGGCTCAGGCCTCCCGAATAGCTGGGACCACAGGCATGCAGCACCATGCCCAACTATTTTTTTTTGTATTTTTAGTAGGGACAGGGTCTTGCCATGTTGCCTAGGATGGTCTCAAACTCCTGAGCTCAAGCTATCTGCCCACCTCAGTCTCCCAAAATGCTGGGATTACAGACCTGAGTCACTGCACCAGACCTTAAAATTTTAAAGACCATCATTGATAATAATTACTTTCAAATTAAAAACAAATAGGAATTGCTAATATTTCATTACTACTAGGCCATCATTCTATTACAGTTCAAGTAATCACTAGAGATTTTAATGATAATCAAATTTAAAGAATCCACTAACAAACAAGTTATTAGAAAGCTGCCTCTTTATGGCAAATGGGCAAATGAGGCCTTTCTAGGCAGATTAAAGAACCTTAAAACACCTTTTTGGATGACTACTGGGCCTTTTTGGAATAGAAACAGCTATTAGCTATGACTTAAAATAGATAAGAAAGAGTACTGGTTTGGTTTTCTCTATGGGATCTGGGATCTGGGATCTAGACTCTCCACTTTGGCTATGTTGGATCTTTCCCATCAAAGAAACAAAGCAACTGACAGCTTCTCAATCAACTGTGAAATGTTCCAGGCTTAAGTGTTACAAATTTAAAAGGGGTCAAAGGATAGGAGACATTATACAAATAATTTCTATAAGACTCTGTAAGTGGAAACATTAGTATTGGCTATTTTCTATTACAAAGTTTTCTAAAACATTCCTTTTTAACAAAGGATTCCAGTGCTTCTAAGTAGATGATCTTTCAGTAGCATGGGTGTGACGTGTTTTGCAAAATATATATATTTTTTGCTTTATGATCTAGCAGTAAGAGCATCCTTTTTTCTTTCTTTTCTCCTTTTTTCTTTTCTTCTTCCTTTTTTTTTTTTTTTTTTTTTGAGACAAGGTGTTGTTCCATTGCCCAGGCTGGAGTGCAGTGGCACAATCACAGCTCACTGCAGTCTTGACTTCCCAGGCTCAAGCAATCCTTCCACCTCAGCCTCCAGAGTAGCTGGAACCATAGACATGCACTACCATGCCTGGCTAATTTTTTTTTATTACTTGTAGAGGCGGGGTCTCCCTATGTTGCCCACGCTGGTTTTGAACTCCTGGGCTCAAAATATCCTCCTGCCTTGGTCTACCAAAGTGTTAGAATTACAGGCATGAGCCATCACGCCTGGCCTAGCATCCTTTTCAATGACACCTAATTAGTCTTTCTTAGTAAGTTATGGTAAACACATCTCTTTCTTTTTTTTTTTCTTTTTTTTTTTTGAGATGGAGCCTCACTCTGTCACCCCAGCTGGAGTGCAATGGCACGATCTCGCTTAACTGCATCAAGCGATTCTCCTGCCTCAGCCTCCTGAGTAGCTGGGATTACAGGCACGCACCACCATACCCGGCTAATTTTTTGTATTTTTAGAAGAGATGGGGTTTCGCCATGTTGGCCAGGCTGGTCTCAAACTCCTGACCTCAGGTGCTCCACCTGCCTCGACCTCTCCAAGTGCTGGGATTACAGGCATGAACCACCACGATCGGCCTATAAGCACATATCTATGGCACCATGTGACAGCTGACTCCAATCAAAAAGATTAGCTCTTATGGTCAAAAACATTAATTTATACAGCAAAAAAAAATCAAAGCAATAAACTGTGCTTACCTTTCCTCTGAATTCTCTAATAATAGTATTTGTTGGTTTCTAAGAGTAGATTTTGTAATGCATGGAGGTTAAAAAAAAAGTCAACATTAAGACTTTTTACCCCCTGCAGAAAAATGGAGTTTCAAAGGCAATAAACTCCACATTCTGAGAAACAGCAATATCCCACCAGTGTTCAACATACTTTTCCATAGATAAAATTTTCCCAAGGGTCCTTTCCTTAGACAAAGGAAGGTATCGTTTATAGATACAGTGTGCCAAATTCCAAATGTATGCACAATTAATTTTATAGATGTTTATCTGGCTTTGGCCTGTAATTTCAATATTTGAGATAAAATCCAATATTTATTTTCTATATCTTCCTATAATTGAGGACTCCAGAACTTAATTTAAGACTGTTCACATTACAAGGCTCTTTAGGATCTATAACCTGCTGCTCATCTCTTAGCTATACCTCTAGGCAGCCAGCCCCCTCGGGAATTGCTGCAAAGATACATACCCTCCATACTATCTAGGAGAATAATATCTGGACTATCTTGGTAGGTAAAATCACTTAAAACACTAGCTCCAGGGATACAGTAATCTCTTAAATTATCTAAATAGACTATGAATCAGAAGATGATAAGCAAGCCATCTTCATGAGACTCAGGGAGTATTTTGTCAATAAAAAACAATAAGGGAACATTTTCCTAAAACATAATGAATAATGATTCCTTGCTTATAACATAAAAACTTATAATCAACTGCAGTATGATTTCATTTTGAATGCAAAAAATGCTAACAGGTAAAATTTAAATTGTTTCTACCTGCATTGTGTGTCTCCCGGTTTTTCTTTCTGAAACAAAAAGTACAGATAAAAGGTAACATGAAAATAATGGGAAAGTATTTTTACCATTTTATACTTTAAGAATCACAAAAATAAATTTTATGAATTTGTATTTGTTGCAGCAATAAGAAACAATCTGAAGAAACATTTCCTTAATATATATTATGGTATGAAAATCTAATGGCAGAGAACCTCAATATAAATTTAGAAACCACAATTTCTGGAGGTAACTACAACTCTCTATTCTTCCATACCCAGAAGTCATAGGTGGGGAAATGAATCAATCACTGAAAAGCTTAATTAACTATTTCAAAATATAACTTAGGTGCTGGTAAATTCACGAAGTGATGTGCCAAGTAGGTGATATCTGATGTTTGTCCTGGCACCTGGACCAGTACGGGTGTGCGTGTGCAGGAGACACAAGCAACAGCAGAGTAATTTTGTAATCCCTAGGGAGGGAGATGTGGCAGCCAACAGCACCCGTGTACAGACAAGTGGCATCTGAGCTATCTTGTATTTGTGTACCTCAGGTTGTCCAAACTCTTAAATTTTCTTGAGAGCCAATCTACTAAAAGCATTGACTTTCCTTTTTATACACAATTACTCAAAACATTAGCATTCTCTAATAGCTATTTGGTAAGGAAAGAGAATCATGATTTTAATATTAGTAGAACCATTGGCCATGCAATTCTAAGCAGAAACATTGCTAAAGGTGCTAGAAACTCAGAAAAAAAGGTTATACAAAGAACCAGAAGTAACATTGTTCTGATATGCATATTAGCATTAATGGATTATAATGTCACAGAATGTCTATTCACACTGACTAGAGCCTAAATCAACTTAGGATATACAAAAATTAATACTATAGGCAAGTGAAAATGTCATTACAAACAAAACATTTAACATAGATTTGGTAATATATTAACTACTGACAGTCATTCTTGTTATATTGCTAGTAGAATAAGAACAGATAATTTTTTTTCTTTTTTTTTTCTTTGAGATGGAGTCTCTGTCACCCAGGCTGGAGTGCAGTGGCATGATTTTGGCTCACTGCAACCTCTGCCTCCCAGGTTCAAGCAATTCTCCTGCCTCAGCCTCCCGAGTAGCTGGAACTACAGGTACATGCCACCATACCCAGCTAATTTTTGTATTTTTAGTAGAGATGGGGTTTCATCATGTTGGCCAGGCTGGTCTTGAACTCCTGACCTCAGGTGATCCACCAGCCTCGGCCTCCCAAAGTGCTGGGATTATAGGCGTGAGCCACCACACCCGGCCAGGACAGATAATTTTTAACCATATACCTTTTTCAGTAAATCTGTATTTATCTACAAATATTTTTGGAGAGTAATAATTTCCTCGGTATCTAAATAAAAGTTCTCTAAGGACTACCTATGTAGCAAAATAGGAACTAATTCTGCTTCTTATCTGCCCAAAGCATATTATATTGGGGCTGTGGATACATACCTGTGCTGCTTTTTTGTAGGCGTCTCATTCTCTGTCATTTCTGGCATGGTTACAGTAATAGGAACCTACAGAAGGATAGAAAGACACACCAGAAAGCTTAGTCATTCTAGAATCTTACAAAAATTGGTCAATAGCAATTTGATTTGAATATTAAAATGCTAAAAAATAAAATTGACATTGAAAAGCATTGGATTAGGTGTTGCAGATAGAAAGAAGTATAAGAAAATAGCATAAAAGTACTATAATTAGCAAATGTAGAAAATGGTGAATATCAAATGTGAGGTATAGCCAGAAACTGCTTGAGAAAATTTGAGTAGAAAAAGATCACTGCAGGCTTGGAAATCAAGAAAAGCTTAAAGGGGATGTGAATTTGAGCAAGAGCTGGAAAGATAGGTAGAGCATAGTTGAGTTGGGAGAGTATGCTATTTGTTCATGTGAAGTGTTATACAGAATTTAAACTAAAACAATGGTTCCCTACTCTGAACACAAAAAAAACAAATGTGACAAGAGCACAAACATGTAATATTCCATACATGAAAGCAAGCATTCATTCACTCACTCATTTGTTGGGCATTAACTTCAAACTGCTAGAAGTCTCATATTATCATTTGACTGTCATTAAAATCTGGGTATGAAAATTCTATATATATTTCAATTATCAGGCTACTAAATAATACATGCACTATTGGAAAATATATACATATATGGAAAAGGCCAGAAAGCAAATACATTAATATATTAATCATAGTTAAGTAAGGGTAGTGATATTTTGGTGATTTCATTCTCTTCTCTGACTTTCAAAAATTTCATAATGAAAGCTGTGATGCTTTTATATCCCAGAGATTGACAACTGTATTAGTCCGTTCTCATGCTGCTATAAAGAAATACATGAGACTGGGTAATTTTTAAAGGAAAGAGGTTTAATTGAGTCACAGCTCCACAGTGCTGGAGAATGCCTCTGGAAACTTACAATCATGGTGCTCTGTCACCTCTTGAACATTTTGCTGCTTAGAAATTTCTTCCACCGGATAACCTAAATTCTCTCTCTCAAGTTCAAAGTTCCACAGCTCTAGGGCAGGGCAAAATGCTTCCAGTCTCTTCACTAAAGCATAGCAAGAGTCACCTTTGCTCTAGTCTTCAAGAAGTTCCTAATCTCCATCGGAGACCACCTCAGCCTGGACTTCATTGTCCACATCACTATCAGCATTTTGGTCAAAATCATTCAACAAGTCTCCAGGAAGTTCCAAACTTTCTCACATCTGCCTGTCTTCTTCTGAGTCCTCCAAGTCTCTACAAAGTTCCAAACTTTCCCACATTTTCCTGTCTTCTAATCTGAGCCCTCCAAACTGTTCCAACCTCTGCCTGTTACCCAGTTCCAAAGTTGCTTTCACATTTTCAGGTATCCTTATAGCAGTGCCCCACTCCCAGTACCAATTTACTGTGTTAGTCCATTGTCACGCTGCTATGAAGAAATGCTCAAGACTAGGTAATTTACAAAGGAAAGAAGTTTCACTGACTCACAGTTCTGCAGGGCTGGGGAGGCCTCAGGAAACTTACAATCATGGTGGAAGGGGAAGCAAACATATCCTTTACATGGCGGCAGGAAGGAGAAGTGGTGAGCAAAGTGAGGAAAGCCCCTTATAAAACCATCATCTCATGAGAACTCACTCACTATCACAAGAACAGCATGAGGGTAACGGCCCCCATGATTCAATTACCTCCCACTTGGGCCCCTCCCATGACACATGGGATTATGGGAACCATAATTCAAGATGAGATTTGGATGGGGACACAGCCTAACTATATCAACAACCTTTCAAAATGAGTCTACCAAGTTGGGATACCTGCTGTGGTACACTGGAGGAGGTGCAAGTGTGGTTTCCCATTTTTTTCTCCGAGAGAGAGAAAAAGTAGCAAGTATGAAGTCTGAAGTCAGAAAGCATGAGTTTAAAATCTGTTTCTGCCACTTCCTAGCTGTCAGGTCTTGGGCAAGTTACATGACCCTCAGAATCTCAGATGCTTCATCTACACCGTGAATCATAATAACAGTATTACATTATTGGATTGTTCCGAGCAGGGAATGAAATTTTGCGGGTACAGCACAAGACCACGTTACCTAGTAGTAATAAGGATTTAATAAATGTTAGCTTTAAATGTTAGTGAGATATTTCAGGTTAACTTTAGCCCTAGGGAGGAGGGAGAAGGGTCCTGGGAAATAAGTAGACATGAATGCAGGAAGGGGATGACAGAAAGCACTGACTGAAGCAGCCTGTCGAGAAATGTGTCATCAAGACCCATGTCCAGCAGCTTATTCCTATTCCACCTTTTCCCTACCATTTGTGAAGTACCTATCAGCCTAAAAGCAATGAGCTCACATTAGGTAAACATATGGTGATGGTGGGGAACATGTAATTAAATAAGTAAATGAATAATCCCTGTGACCTTCTCACCTAAGGGCTTGCAGAGTTTCTTCACTTTTGATTCCTGGCTTCCAATGCCTCCCGTTTCTGATCCAAATGTATCATCTTCTGCCAGAAGATGGTCTATGGGTTATGCTTTCTTCTTACTACACAAGAGAAAAATCAATGAATGTTTATAGTTGCTAGGTGTCCATTAGCACCGCGTAAGGCAAGGGCTGACAACCTATGGCATGCAAGCAGATTTTTAGTGCCACGAAGGATGATCCTGAATTCTCCCCACACTTGAAAGCAAATCAATGCAGTTGCTCTCAAAAGTCACTTTCCTATTGGTTACCGATGCTCCATCCCGACAAAGATGGTAGTCTTACAGCCAACGGATGGTCCCCAAGAGGGGATTCTCTGTTTTCTCTTATGCATGCTCATTGTACCTTAGGTCCTCACTAGCTGCTGGTTACTCAAAGTCCTCCACTTGGGTCTTACCCTAACTTCTGTCCTCAATTCTAAAATTATCTTTCCTTCAATTTCCTACCTCCTACTTCTCTCTTTTAAGAGTGCCTGAAAACTTACATAAGGACCTTCCCCTAAGGCACTAGGAAGACAGCCCTCAGACCTTTGCATTGCATGTGTTCTTTAAAAATGTAAATTTGGGGGCTTCATTCCAAACATGACAAATGAGAGGTCTGGGTAGGGCCCAGGAATTTGCACTTTCAACAACCTCCTTGGGTGATCTTCTCCCCTCCCCTCCCCTCCCCTCCCTTACTCTCCCCCTCCTTCCCTTCCCTTCTCCCTCCCTTCCTCCCTCGCTCCCTTCCTTTCTCTCTTTCTTTTTTGTTTTTGGTTTTTTAGGTACAGAAAAAGTTTTAGAAACTTCAAGAGAGGGATCTGAATTTTAATAAGTGCCCCAGGTGATTCTGATAGGAAAAAGCTGGAAACACAGGCAGTTACCTTTAACTGGTGAAAGTTCAAGCATCTGACCAATACCCTAGTTCCAGCCTTTCCCCTGCAGCCCTTTTGAAAGTCTGCAGATAATTTCACATATAATTAAGGTATATAAAGTAAAAGTTCTAGTTGTCTAAACATCTAGAGTATTTTTTTTTTCTGGGCTCAGTCCATAATAACCAATATCTAAAATCTTGAAGTCAATGACACTAAGGGTCTATCACATAAGTAAACATTCTCTGCACTCAGGTGAAAGCCAGGAATTTAACTGAAAGAGGAAGACAACTGTAAATCAAAATCATCCCGTTTACCAAATGCCATTATGAATATCCATCTCAATGTAAAATTATTTATAGGTACAATTTTCATGCTACTAAAATTGCATTCCTGATGCTAAAAAAAAAGAGCATCTATTGGAAAGGAACTATACAATATTTTCATAAATCCCTGTCCACTTAATAATTAGCTTATTAATAAAGAAATTACATTTTTAATATTTACATAACTACAAATATATGCCTTAAAATATTTAAAGTGTCATTAAAAATTTTTTTTAATTTTTAAAAATGTTTTTAGAGACAGGATTTTGCTTTGTCATCCAGGCTGGTGTGCAGTGGTGTGATCACAGCTCACTGCAGCCTCAAACTTCTGGCTCTCAAACTCTGGTGATCCTCCCACCTCAGCCTCCTAAGCAGCTAGGAATACAGGCACACACCACTATTCCCGGCTAATTTTTTGTAGAGATGGGATCTCACTATGGTGTCCAGGCTGGTCTCTCTGTCTTAGAGATGGGATCTCACTATGCTGTCCAGGCTGGTGTCTCTCTCTCTCTCTCTCTCTCTCTCTCTCTCCAACTCCTGGCCTCAAGCGATCCTCCCGCCGCAGTCTTCCAAAGTGCTTGGAGCCACTGCACCTGGCTCCATTAATATTTTGGCTCCCTTAGTTTTTGAATGCCAAAGGATTACATTAGTAATCTCTGAATTATTATGCTTTTATGGAAGAACTATTCCTGAAGTTACTCAAACCCAGTAGTTTTCAAGTGTGGTGCTCAGATCACCTGCATCAAAATCACAGTTTTCAAAACTTTTTTCCTTGAGATAAACCTTACATATAATAAATTGCATAAATCTTACGTATAATATTCAATGGGTTTTGACGAATGCACACAACTGTATGACCCAACCCCATCAAGGTACAGAACATTATCAACAGAGAAAGTTCTTTTTTTTTTTTTTTTTTTTGAGACAGAGTCTCGCTGTGTCACCCAGCCTGGAGTACAGTGGCACAATCTCAGTTCACTGCAACCTCTGCCTCCTGGGTTCAAGCAATTCTTCTGCTTCAGCCTACCTAGTAGCTAGGATTACAGGCACCTGGCACCATACCCAGCTAATTTTTGTATTTTTAGTAGAGACGGGGTTTCACCATGTTGGCCAGCCTGGTCTCAAACTCCTGACCTCAAGCGACCCACCCATCTTGGCCTCCCAAAGTGCTGGGATTACAGGCATAAGCCACCACGCCCAGCCTCAGAAAGTTCTTTCATGACCCTTTCAAGTCAATCCCTTCCCCTACTCCAGAAGCAAACCCTATCCTAAATTTTTTCACCATAGAACTTCATATAAATGTATTGATTGGGAATTCTTTTGTGTAAAGCTTTTACTAAGCATAATGTTTCTGAAATTCATCTAGTAGTTTGTTCATTTTTATTGCTGAGTATAAATATACAACTGCATGTGAATTTGTAACAGAGTTTATGTTTTTCTTTTTTTTTTTGAGACAGAGTTTCGCTCTTTTTGCCCAGGCTGGAGTGCAGTAGAGGATCAAACGTGCATCAATGTTCACCACAGATATTGGCCTGTAGTTTTCTTTTTTTTTTTTTTTTTTTTTTTTGATGTGTCTTTGTTTGGTTTGGTATCAGGGTAACATTGGCTTCACAGAATGAATTCGAAGTATTCCCTCCTCCTCTATTTTTCTTAACAGGACTGGTATTAGTTCTTCTTTAGATGTTTGGTAGAATTCAGCAGTGAAGCTATTGGGTCCTGGGCTTTTCTTTGCTGGGAGACTTTTAATTATGACTTTGATATCATTACTTGTTATTGGTCTACTTAGGTTTTGGACTTCTTCATGGTTCAATTTTGGTAGGTTGTATGTGTCTAGGAATTTATTTCTTCTAGGTTTTCCAATTTATTGGCATATAGTTGCTTATAGTAGTCTGTAATGATCCTTTGAATTTCTGTGGTATCCAATGTACTGTCTACTTTTTCATTTTTTATTTTATTTGGGTCTCCTCTTTATGTCTCGGTTTGTTGATTTTGTTTATCTTTTCAAAAAACAAACTTTTTGGCCAGGCACAGTGGCTCACGCTTGTAATCCCAGCACTTTGGGAGGCCAAGGGAGGCATATCACTTGAGGTGAGGAGTTTAAGACCAGCCTGGCCAACATGGCAAAACCCTGCCTATACTAAAACTATAAAAATTCACCGGGTGTGGTGGCACATGCCTGTAATTTAAGGCTGAGGCAGGAGAATCACTTGAACCCGGGAGATGGAGGTTGCAGTGAGCCAAGATCACACGCCACTCCAGCGTGAGTGACAGAATGAGATACTGTCTCCAAAAAAAAAAAAAAAAGTTTTGTTTCGTCAATCTATTTTGTTTTTGTTTTCATTTCAATTTCATTTATTTCTTCTCTGATCTTTACTTAATCTCTTCCACTAATTTTGAGTTTGGTTTGATACTGCTTTTCTAGTTTCTTAAGATGTACTGTTAGGTTCTTTATTTGAAGTTTTTCTACTTTTTATTTTTATTTTTGAGATAGACTCTCACTCTGTCACCCAGGCTAGAGTGCAGTGGTGTGATCTCGGCTCACTGCAACCTGCACCTTGCAGGTTCAAGCAATTCTCCCTACCTCAGCCTCCCGAGTAACTGGGATTACAGGTACCCACCAGCACGCCTGGCTAATTTTTGTAGTTTTTAGTAGAGATGGGGTTTCACCATGTTGGCCAGGCTGGTCTTGAACTCCTGACCCCAGGTGATCTGCCCGCCTCAACCTCCCAAAGCGCTGGGATTAAAGGTATGAGCCACCATGCCCAGCCTGAAGTTTTTCTACTTTTTTGATGTGGGTGCTTTCCTCTTATTACCACTTTTGCTATATCCCATAGTGTTTTGTATGCTGTGTTTCCATTTTCATTTAAGAAATTTTTTAATTTCCTTCTTAATTTGTTCATTGACCCACTAGTCACTCAGGAGCATATTGTTTAATTTCCCTGTATTCACATAGTTTCCAAAGTTTCTCTTATTATTGATTATAGTTTTATTCCACTGTGATCAGAGAAGATACTTGATATTATTTCACCACCACGACTGGCTAATTTTTTTTTTTTTTTTTTTGTATTTTTAGTAGAGACGGGGTTTCACCATGTTGGCCAGGCTGGTCTCAAGCTCCTGACCTCAGGTGATCCGCCTGCTTCGGCCTCCCAAAGTGCTGGGATTAGGCATGAGCCACCACACCCAGCAATATTATTTCAATTTAAAAAAAAAATTTTTTTTTTTTTGAGATGGAGTCTCACTCTGTCACCCAGGCTGGAGTGCAGTGGTGTGATCTTGGCTCACTGCAACCTCCACCTCCCAGGTTCAAGCAATTCTCTCCCTCAGCCTCCCGAGTAGCTGGGATTACAGGTACCTGCCACCACGCCTGGCTAATTTTTTTGCATTTTTAGTAGAGACGGGGTTTCACCATGTTGGCCAGGCTGGTCTTGAACTCTTGACCTTGTGATCCACCCGCCTCGGCCTCCCAAAGTCCTCGGATTACAGGCATGAACCACCAGGGAAACCCGGCTAAAAATGTTTTAAGACTTTGTCTGGGCACAGTGGCTCACACCTGTAATCCCATCACTTTGGGAGGCAGAAGTGGGAGGACTGCTGGAGCCTAGGAGTTCAAGACCAGCCTAGGCAATATAGTGAGAGCCTATCTCTACAAAAAATAGAAAAAATTATCCAGATAAGGTGGCATGTGCCTGTAGTCCCAACTACTGCAGAGACTGAGGTGGGAGAATCACTTGAGCCTGGGAAGTTGAGGCTGCAGTGAGCCATGATCGTGCCACCGCACTTCAGCTTGGGAGACAGAGTGAGACCCTGTCTTGCAAACAAAACAAAAAACAAACAAACAAAAAAAAAAAACACCACTTGCTTTGTGGCCTAACATAGGATCTATCCTTGAGAATGATCCATGTGCTGAGGAGAAAAATGTACATTCTGCAGCTGTTGGATGAAATATTCTGTAAATATCTCTTAAGTCCATTTGGTCAATAGTGCAAATAAGTCTAATGTTTGTTGATTTTCTGTCTGAATAATCTGTCCAATGCTGAAAGTGAAGTGTTGAAGTCTCCAACTATTATTGTATTGGGGTCTATCTCTCTTTGATATAGTAATATTTGCTTTATATATCTGGGTGTTCCTCTATTGGGTGCATATATATTTACAGTTGTTATATCCTCTTGCTGAAATGTTCCCTTTAAAATTATATAATGATGTTGTCTTTTTTCATAGTTTTTGTCTTGAAATCTATTTTATTTGATATAACTACTCTTGCTTTTATTTTGGTTTCCATTTGTATGCTATATCTTTTCCATCCCCTTATTTTCAGTCTATGTGTGTCTGTGTGTCTTCATAAGAGAAGTGTGTTTGTTGTAGGCAACAGATCGCTGGGCTTTTTTTTTTTTTTTTCCTTTTTAATCCATTCAGCCACTCTATGTCTTTGGATTGGAGCATTTAGCTCATTTACATTCAATATTATTATTGATAGGTAAAAACTTACTCCCACCATTTTGTTATTTGTTTTCTGGTTGTTTTATGGTCTTCTCTTCCTTCTCATGTCAGTGTTTTTCTCTGGTGGTACGTTTTAATTTCTTGCTTTATACATGTTGCGTATTTATTGTATTTTTCTGACCTGAGGTTACCATGAGGCTTGCAAATAACACCTTATAACCCATTATTTTAAACTAATGACAATCTAACTCTGATTGTAAAAACAAACAAGCCAAGAGAAAACTGATAAAAACTCTAGTTTTTAATCTATAAAAACTATTATCTAGTTTTTAATCTATAAAAACTATTATCTAGTTTTTAATCTATAAAAACTATTATCTAGTTTTTAATCTATAAAAACTATTATCTAGTTTTTAAAACTATAGTTTACTTCATGAACATAAGAGTAAACAGAAAATCTCAATCATTTTATTACATCAAATACAAAACTCTACACTTACATTTTATCCCCTGCTTTTTTTTTTTTTTTTTTTTTTTGAGATGGAGTCTCGCTCTGTCGCCAGGCTGGAGTACAGTGGTGCAATCTCAGCTCACTGCAACCTCCACCTCCCGGATTCAAGCAATTCTCCTGCTTCAGCCGCCCAAGTAGCCGGGACTACAGGCACGCACCACCATGCCCAGCTGATTTTTATATTTTTAGTAGAGATGAGGTTTCACCATGTTGGCCAGGATGGTCTTGATCTCTTGACCTCGTGATTTGCCCACCTTGGCCTCCCAAAGTGCTGGGATTAAAGGCGTGAGCCACCGTGCCCAGCCCATCCCCTGCTTTTTAACCTTCTGATGTTTCTACTTATATCTTATTACACTATGTCTTAAAATGTTGTAGTTATTATTTTTGATAGATTTGTCTTTTAGTCTTCCTATTCAAGACATGAGTATCTTACACACTAGAATTACAGTGTTAAAATATTCTGTATTTGTCTATGTATTTACTGTTACCACGTACCTTCAGACAATTTCTTATTACTTGTTAACATCTTTTTCTTTCAAGTTGAAGAACTCCCTTCAGCATTTCTGTAGGACAGGTCTGGTGTTGACAAAAAACCTCATCTTTTGTTTGTCTGGGAAAGTCTTTTTTTCCTCTTGATATTTGAAGTGTATTTTCACTGGATATAATATTCTAGGATAAAAGTCTTTTTCTTTCAGCATTTTAAATATGTCATCTGACTCTCTCCTGGTCTGTAAGGTTTCCACTGAGAAATCTGTGGCCAAACATATTGGAAATGCTTTATATCTCATTTTTTTTCTTTTCCTTGCTGCTCTTAGGATCCTTTTTTATCCTTGACCTTTGGGAGTGTGATTATTACATGTCTTGAGATAGTCTTCTTTGAGTTAATTTTTCTTGATCGTCTATAACCTCCTTGGACTTGAATACTGATATCTTTCTCTAGGTTTGGAAAGTTCTCCAATATTATCTCTTTGAATAAACTTTCTACCTCAATCTCTCTCTCCACTTCCTCTTTAAGACCAATAACTCTTAGATTTCCCCTTTTGAAGCTATTTTCTAAATCCTGTGGGCATGCTTCATATTTTTTTTCTTTTGCCTCCTCTGAGTATTTTCATATAGCCTGTCTTCAAGCTCGCTCATTCTTTCTTCTCCTTGATCCATTCTACTGTTGAGAGACTGATGCATTCTTTAGTTTGTCTATTGAATTTTTCAGCTCCAGAATTTCTGCTTGATTCTTTTTAATTATTTTAATCTCTTCATTAAATTTATCGATAGGATTCTGAATTTTTTCTCTGTGTTATCTTGGATTTTGTTAAGCTTCCTCAAAACAGCTATTTTGAATTCTCTGTCTCAAAAGTCACATATCTCTGCCACTCTGGAATTGGTCACTGGTGTCTTATTTAGTTCATTCAGTGAGGTCATGTTTTCCTGGATGGCCCTGATGCTTGTGGATGTTTGTCAATGTCTGTGCACCGAAAAGTTAGAAATTTATTCCAGTTTGTTTTGTCTGGCTTGTTTGTACCCATCCTTCTTGAGAAGGCTTTCTAAGTATTCAACAAGAATTAAGTGTTGTAATCTTAAGTCTTTGGTCACTGCAACCATATGTGCATTAGGGGGCACTCCCAAGTCCAGTAATGCTGTGTCTTTTGCAGAGGTACCACTTTAGCGGTCTTGAGTAAGATCCAGAATTCCCTAATGTATCAAGCAGAGTCTCTTGTTCTCTTCCCTTATTTTCCCCCAAGCAAATGGAGTCTCTTTCTTCATGCTGAGCTGCCCGGAGTTGGGGATGGAGTCACGCAATGCTCCTTTGGATAAACCCACTGAGACTGCTGGGACACACCTGAAGCCAGCACAGTATTGGGTTTCGCCCAAGGCCTGTGGCAACTATCTCCTGACTATCACTGATGTTTATTCAAGCCCAGGGGCTCTTTAGTCAGCAGATGATGAATCCTGCCAGGACTGGGTCTCTCCCTTCAGGGTCGTGGGTTCCATTCTGGCCCAGTGGGGGGTCTAGAAATGCACTCCAGGAGCCAAAGCCTGGAATCTTTAGGAGTCTACTTGGTGCTTTATTTTATTGTGGCTGAGCTGGTACCTGAGTTATAAAACAAAGTCCTCTTTATTCTTCCCTCTCCTTTTCTCAAGCAGGAGTCTCTCCTGATGGCCACCACAGATGAGAATTGTGCTGGGTCACACCTGAAATGAGCACAGTTTTGGTTCTTGCCCAGGGCCCATGGCAACTACTGCCTGGCTACTGCTGATGTTTATTCAAAACCCAATGGCTCTTTGGTCAGCAGGTGGTGAATTCTGCTAGGAGTGTACCCTTCTCTTTAGGGCAGTGGGTTCCCTTCTGGCCTAGGGTGGGTCTAGAAATGTCATCCAGAAGCTATGGTCTAGAATGGGGGCTTTATTTTACTGTAGCTGAGCTGGGATCCAAGTTGCAAGAAAAAAATCCTCTTTACTTTTCCCTCTTCTGCTGGAGCTGCAAGCTGTGATGTCTGGAGTTGGAGGAGTGGTGATGCAAGCACTCCTTTGGCCACCCCAGCTAGTATTTCACTAGGTCGTGTGCACCCCAAGTCCAGTGGCTCCAAGCCCAGTGCAGCACTAGGACTTGCACAGGAATTGCAGGCCTTGTGGCCTTTCAAGTTCATTTAGAACTCCAGAGCACTTTAGCCCTCAGTGGTGGGGCTAGCTGGAACTCATGTTCCAACTGATAGGATGGAAGATTCCCCTCTGGCAAGGGCTGGTCTAAATGCTCCCTCTGTGGGCATCAGCTGAATTCTGCCCTGTGTTGCTTTCCACTGTGACAGAGCAACACTGAATTCCAATGCAAAGTTGCACAATCACTTTGCTCTCCCTCCCCCAAGCACAGCGATTCTCTCTGCATGGCTGGGGAAGGGGGGAAGGGTGGTGTAGGCAATTCAAGGCTGTCTTTCCTACCATCTTCAGTGTCTCCTTCCTTGATATGATGCTAAAACTAGGTACTGTGATCACTCACCTGATTTTGTTTTCTTTGTACAGACAGGGTCTCACTATGTTGAGCAAACTGGTCTCAAACTCCTGGCCTCAAGCAATCCTCCACCTCCACCTCCCAACATGCCAGTATTACAGGTGGAAGGCACTGTGCCTGGCCACCTGATATTTGGTTCTTATGTGGATAGTAGTTCTGCAGCATGGGGGCAACTGCTGGAGGGTTCTATTCAGCCATCTTGCTCTGCCTCATCCCTTCCTCAGTGCTTGTGATCTATACATGACATCTTTCCCAGCTTCTCAACAATAATCACAGTAATTCTTACTTTCCTATTTTCTTATTCTTTTTGTTACTTAACTGGATTTTTTTCATTATACAAATGAAATATGCTTGTATTTATCTACTCAGATCATACCGAAGAAGTTGTGAAAAGAAGTACTCTTTTCCTCAAATTTCCTGTTAACACTATTCAAGTATTTATTTCTATATTACTATTTTCCCCTTTTTGTTCTTTATATTTTGGAAGTGAATACTAAGTCTAGCCCACACGCAAAGCGAGAAGAGTTAATCTCTACCTCTTGGAAAAAGGATTATGTATTTAGAATTATTCTGCAAGGAATATTTGTCACTTCTCCCCTATTTATTTATTCAATAATTTACTTATATCAGTATGGACTCATGGAGATTTATTTCATTCTTCAGATCACAATTCAATGCTAGAGTTAATATGTTGTTCAAATTGTCCACACATTGGCCATTGGGTGCTCTTTTGGATTAGCTGTTGTGCCCTTTACACACACAGTCACACACACACACACACACACACACACACACACACACCCCCTTTCTAGTACTTCCTTACTTTTTGGTACTACAAGATACTCCAGGCTCATCTTGTGTTTCCCCTGCCCCACTCTTAGAATCAGCTTTCCATCCAAGGAATTTTTGTCCCTTTCATTGGAGAATGGAATTTAGAAACCAAGATCCAGGTGCTGCCTGTCCTCATTGCTACTGGGGTGTCACTGCTTCCAAGCCTTCTCAGCAGACAGAGCTATTAAATAAATCTATGTCTATTAACCCATGTACAGACACAGATCTACATTTGCCTCTGTATCTATCTGTATTTATATTAAAATAAGCATGAGTTTATACTTACATCTCTGATTCTAATCTAGCACCACAGGGCTCAGTATAGTCTTCCCCCCTGCTTATTTGTAATATCTTTCTGACAGTGAGAAATCTGGCTCCCAATGTCTACAATTACTTTTACTAATTTCCTCAACTCTAATAACCATATAAATTGGTTCCAGAATGCTAACTCCACTCCTCATAGTTCTTTTAAGGATCAACTGACATCATACACATCCAAGGTCCTTTAAGGCAGGAACAACTTCGTCCTTTTATCCCAAGGGCTTAGCACAATACATGCACAATGTGTAACTCAAATGCTTATTGAATGAACAATGGTCTTCTGAAACTAGTATAGCTAAATTTATACAAATGTAAAATATTATTATAATCATTAACAAGCTTGCTTTGTAGTATAACTGTAAAACTGATTCCAGGGTCAGCTAATTCAAAGTTTAACTCTTTGGTCTTATGCTAGTCCCTTGATACATGATCACCTACCAGTAATGTTTTCTCCTCTGTTACTGAATGGCCCTGAGTGCCATCTGCAGGGAAGGCCCCCACTTTCTTTTTTTTTTTTTTGAGACGGAGTCTCACCCTGTCGCCCAAACTGGAGTGCAATGGCACGATCTTGGCTCTGTGCAACCTCCACCTCCCGGGTTAAAGTGATTCTCTTACCTCAGCCTCCCTAGTAGCTGGGATTACAGGCACTCGCCACCACACCCGGCTAATTTTTTGTATCTTTAGTAGAGATGGGGTTTCCCCATGTTGGCCAGGCTGGTCTCGAATTCCTGACCTCGTGATCCCCCCACCTTGGCCTCCCTAAGTGCTGGGATTATAGGCATGAGCCACTGCACCTGGCCAGAAGGCCCATTTTGAATTCACACTTAGCAAACCTAGTCTGTCTCTCATCAATTACTCCTAGAGCAGTGGTTCTGAAAACTGAATACTCATCAGAATTACCAGAATTCGTTTCCAGAGATTGGTTCAGTATATAGGATGTAGTGTTCTTGAGGGCAGGTATTTGAGTGTGTTTCATTCACCAATGTATTCTAAGTGCCTAGAATCATGCTAGGCACATAGTGGGTAATCAACAAGTATTTGTTGAATGAAGGAATGAGTGACTGAGGTGGTGTGCAAGAATTTTTCAAAACTCCTGAAATGATTCCAAAGCACAGCCACTGCGGTCATTAATACAGATGCTGGCTGGGCGCGGTGGCTCACGCCTGTAACCCCAGCACTTTGGGAGGCTGAGGCGGGTGGATCACGAGGTCAGGAGATTGAGACCATCCTGGTTAACATGGTGAAACCCCGTCTCTACTGAAAATTAGCTGGGCGTGGTGGCGGGAGCCTGTAGTCCCAGCTACTCGGGAGGCTGAGGCCGGAGAATGGTATGAACCTGGGAGGCGGAGCTTGCAGTGAGCCGAGATCATGCCACTGCACTCAAGCCTGGGCAACAGAGGGAGACTCCATCTCAAAAAAACAAACAAACAAACAAACAAACAAAAACCAGATGCTATCAAGCCCCCATGTACCTTTCACCTCACATCAATGAATGAAATTGTACAGTAAATAGGAATAGCCTTTGATGTCAGACTTGGGATCACATCTCAAAGCTGGCAGGTACTGGCTATCTGGTTTTGAAATAAGTACCCTTTAGAGTCTCAGCATCCTCACATTTAAAACTGGGAGAGTTTCACCAACTCCTCAGAGGACTGTTACAAGTTTACATGATGATACATTTTACCGATCTAGCAAAGTGCCTGGTACATAGCAGGTGCTCAATACGTGTTAGTTGACTTTCTTCCATTTCCCCCTTAATTTACTGAGAAGATAGAAGTCAAGTCATCTGGTCCAAGTTCCTTAACTGGATTCTACATTTACCGTAAATCCTATAAATCTATAAATCTATCCTTTCAGGCCTCCAGGACTTCTTAAAGTTAATTATTTGATCTGAGAAAAGGGAAACTATATTTGATTTTTTCCACTTTAGCACTATTTTCTCTCTTAACCAGCTCTCCTTCCAAAATGCAAGGATTTTCCTCATGTTAAACAAGAATTTACTGCCTTTTCTGCCTACAAGTCTATTTCTCTCCTCATGTTCCTGTGAAACTTCTCACCTCTCCAACTTGGCCAATCTCTCCTAAACCTTCTGGCTGCTCCAGCCAACCAAAGCTGCTTCCTTGGAGGTCAGGGGCTATTTTTCACCAATCATAGGTCATTTTCCTCTTGGCAGGATTTGAGGCTGCTGATCTCTCTCTTTCTTGAAATTCTCTCTCCTAGGTTATCTTTCTCCTCTCCAATTATGCATCCTCTTTCTCTAACATGAACGCTTTTCTTTCTCCTTTGAGTTCCAAGGCCCAACAATCTCTTCTCTTTTTCAGGTTTGCTTTTTCCCTACAAAGGTTTAAACTGCTTCTGTGCAAAAGCTTTTATGTTTTTGTAAGAAAGCTACCTTTCAACTCTGACTTTGCCCCTAATCTTTGGTTAGGCAAAGCTCTCTTCAGAACACTGCATTTTGAACAAATTAACAAGTCTGTTTGGAATGTGTTAAATTCCCTTTTCTCTTAAGAGATCTATTTCCAAGTTCTCCATTTTATCAATGACACCAAAAGTTTAACATGGATCTAGACCCAAAAATCTTCATATCTTCTCACCAAATTCTATCAATTGTTTTCATAATGTTCATCTCTTCCCCTTTGTTATGACCACCTTAGATTAGGCCCCATTTTACACGTCTGGCCTTAAGCAGTCTTTGTTATTGCCCTCAGCCTTTCTCCCATTTGATGGATTTTATACCCCAATGTCTCATCAGTCTTTTCAGTTCACCATATTTACCATGTCCTCTCCTGCTGCAGACTCTACAGTACTATTTCCCACAATCAACTGCATCATATCCAAACTCCAGGTCTTGGCATTCATGACTGTACCTTCTTCACTGGCAGGTCTCACCTACCCCCTTCCACCTAGTACAACACACATAAAAGCAGGTTTTCTAGCTAATTATGCCATCTACCCTTCCCTCCTCTTCAATTCAGACAGGTTTATCCCTGTGCGCCTTATCAGCTACTTCACTTTATGCTAAATTCATGCTATTTTCCCACTGAAATGACCTTTCCACTTTGCTCTGTTTATCCAAATCCTACCAACCCTTTAAAGTCCGGTGCAAGTCTATCCTCCTATATAAAATCTTCCCTAATATTTCTAGCAAAACTAAACCCTCTACCTATACTCTGGACTCTATCACTCTCGCTACTTAGTAAACTTCTTACATAATGTCCCTTTTCTCTCATATATTATTAATCCCTCCTTCTCTCTTAGTGCCTTTCCATTAAAAATATCCTTATTCAGGGCCAGGCACGGTGGCTCACACCTGTAATCCCAGCACTTTGAGAGGCCAAGGGAGGTGGCTCACTTGAGCTCAGGAGTTTGAGACCAGCCTGGGAAACAAGGCAAAACCCCATCTCTACCAAAAATACAAAAAATTAGCCAGGTGTGGTGCTGCAAACCTGTAATCCCAGCTAATCAGGAGCCTGAGGTAGGAGGATGGCTTGAGCCCAGGAGGCGAAGGTTCCAGTGAGCCAAGATCGCACCACTGCACTCCAGCCTGGGAGACAGAGTGAGATCCCATCTCAACAAAAATAAAAATAAATCCTTATTCAACTTTTTCCATGTAAAAACCTAAACTGATTTTTCTCCTGACCTTGCAACTCCCCACAGGTGTCCCCATTCTTCCTCCCAACCACCAGTCTTCTTGAACAAGTTGTTTACACTTACTACCCCCTCTTCCTCACTTCTTATTCACTCTTCAACCAGCTGTTACCTGACTTTTATTCCTAAAACTGCTTAAACCAAGCTCAACAAAAGACTTCCACACTGCCAAATCCGATGAACTTTGTAATAAATCTGTTGTTTTGGCCTTCTGACAATAATATCCTGCCTTTCCTTCGGAGATCTTCTCTGTCCCATTCCTGAAATCTGATAGGACCATCAAACACAGGCTCACCTCTGGGGTGGGCATGGGGCTAACTAATAAGACTCCCTGCACAAGGAGAATATCTTGCTGAGGCTGAGTTAGCCCCATGGATCCTTATGATCCTGGGAGCTTCTGTTTTCCTGGCCTTCCCAAGCCTTCATTATTCTATCTCCCTTTCTTTCTGTGAGTTTATCCAGTATCCATTTGCTGCTTAGCCAAATTCAATCTCTATTGTTTATAACCAAAGAGAAACTGGTCCCTCAAATGACACAGAGGTAGACAGCGGTGACACTACAATTTCTTCTCCTTATCTCCTTCTCTTTGGTTTCTGCTGTTTAAGGAATTCCTGAGAACTCTTCATTATCCTCTTTAAAGATTTCTCTGACCCCTAGAGCAGTGGTCCCAACCTTTTTGGCACCAGGGACTGGTTTCGTGGAAGACAATTTTTCCATGGACAGGGAGTGGAGCAGATGGTTTCAGGATGAAACTGTTCCATCTATCTCAGGCATTAGATGATCATAAGGAACATGCAACCTAGATCCCTTGCATGTGTGGTTCAGAATAGGGCTCGCACTCCTATGATAATCTAATGCTGCCGCTGATCTGACAGGAGGGTAGCTCATCTCCTGCTGTGCGGCCTGATTCCTAACAGGCCACTTGGGGACCCCTGCCTTAGAGGTTAGACTAAATACCCTTCTTCATACTCCCAAACATCCTAATACTCCACAATGTCTTAACATGAAATACAATCTATATACTTACTAGTTTTCACCACCAGACTATAATAAATGGTAGAAACTTATTACTCCATTACTGAGTGCTAATTATTGAGAATACAAATATGTAAAAAATTCATATTATTCATATTACTGAGAATACAAACATGAAAAAAAATTTCATGTTTGTATCCTCAACAATTAGCACTCAGTAACTGAGTAATAAATGTCTGCTGAAAGAATATCTGGTCTTTCCTTTTTTTTGTATTAATCATTATGTCATAGATTTTACATACTTATGTTTAATTTAGCATCTAATGAATACTCCATTGAGTTCCTTAAACAATCCTAATAAGTCTAAAACGTTCTTATGAGCTGAGTCCACCATTTACTATTTCTGTATTCTCTTCAGTACCTAACAGTGTTGGGCACATGGTAAATAATAAATACTTGGTGAACTGAATTAAAAACACAGTATTAGCACACTAATAGAAACAACTTATCATGTCCTACTGATCTAATTAAAAGATCTGGCCTTCTGAAGTAGTGCAATTGTCCCCATATGGAAATTTTAATGAGAAAAAGAAAAATTATCCAATTGGACAGTTAACCACGTTTCTTTTAGCAAGAGTTCCACAAATATTTTATGAATAATAAATGTATACCTTTACAGCACAGAGTAAAAGACTCAGGACACATATATGCCTGTGCATACTGGAAGGAAGATTACATATTTAAGGGGTCTGTCACAACTACAATCACTTAGATTCTACTAACCTTTAACAAATCTATAATAGGAGTATAGGACATAAAAATATTTAATAGCAAAATCAATTAATGCCAAATCAACTTACGTTCAAGATGTATATGGCTATCTTTTTATAATATATAACATGGCAGTCATTTACTCATTTAAGAACATTTATTAACTGCCTAGTAATCACAAATACAATGTTAGGTCCCAAAAATACAAAGATAAAAAGAACACATTTCCTATGTTAGTGGAGTTCTATTTCTGCCATGTTGCAATGGTATTCAAGAATATGTGAATGGTACCCCCTGGAGTTGCTCAACATGGAGGCCCTGGTTAGCAGTATGGTGGGGAAGGCATATAAACACATACTTATGGCAGTGTGCTAAGTGCTAGCACAGAAACAAGTACAACTGTTACGGGGCCACGGAAGATAAATCATCTACTAATGAAATTAAGAAAAGATATGAAAAAAACGGATGTCTATACAGGAATTCAATGCTAGTTAAGGTATGATGAAGCTACTAACATACCTAAGATGAAATCAAACCTAAAACTATGGTTGCAGGAAGAGTCAGAAGGGTTCCAAACCAAACCAATCCAACTTAAAACCACTGTGAAAGAGATGAAAAATAAAATATTCCTTAGCATAACATTTGAGAACAATGAAACACATACACATAGAACTTAAACTGCCACATACCGTAAGCCTAAAGAGAATCTTTTAACCATGTAGCATAGAAGTTCAAAGGGGGTCGATCACTAAGAACTAGAGTAAGCTATCCAGAAAACTTTCATAAAAGTGTAATTAGAACTATTATTGGCGGTAGGGAGGAATAGAGGAAAGGTGTCCATATCCTGAGAAAGGTCAACGTCAACGTCTGTAGCAAAAGCAGTGGGGGGAAAGTTGGACACATGAGTGAGGCCTGATTTAGGAAAGCCCAGAACACAAGCTTAGCTTTTGGACGTAGTCTCATGGGAGTTCTCAGCCAGGGCTACTGAACAGAATCACCTGGAGAGCTTTAAAAAATATGCCCATGGCAGAGCTTTACTCCAGATCAAAAATAAGAGAGTTTCTGAGGGAAGTGGCCTGGGCATTAAAACTTAAAGACACACAAGGTGATGCTCATGTACAGTCTGGATTGAGAACTACTGGACTAGAGAACAGAGAGGTAAAGCATGACAGATATGATTAAGGCTCAAGCTTGATTTAAGACCCTGTTTATAAGCAACAAACTTGAGCTGATTACCTGTTGAAGCTTGTATTCTAACCTGAGTTAAAAATTCTCAGTTTTCTTAGTGTTTCTTTTCCCTTGTTGACAAGGCTAAGCTCTGAAAATAGGAAAAGTACCCATCAATTTCTCATACATGACTGGTTCATTGAGTGTAAGGTCTACAACCTTAGAATTTTACTTCCACGATGTTCCATAGACGACTAACCTAGAAGATAAGTACTTCAATTCTAAGCTGCTCTTACATCCCTGCAATGCACTCCTTTTATATCAGCGAATGTTCTAGGCTGCATCCAGATTTTGCAAAACTCCTAAATACAGGGAGATCCCAATACCTATGTACACCTAAGTCTTTTAGCTTAGACCAGGAGTGTCCAATCTTTTGACCTCCCTGGGGCACACAGGAAGAAGAAATGTCTTGGGCCACCCATCAAATACACTAACACTAACGATAGCTGATGAGCTTAAATAAATAAGTAAATAAATATCACACACAAACATCTCATAATGTTTTAAAAAGTTTACAAATTTGAGGCCGGGCGCAGCGGCTCATGCCTGTAATCCCAGCACTTTCGGAAACAGAGGCAGGCGGATCACCTGAGGTCAGGAGTGCAAGACCAGCCTGGCCAACATGGAGAAACCCTGTCTCTACTTAAAGAAATAAAAATTAGCTGGGCTGGTGGCATGCACCTGTAATCCCAGCTACTCAGGAGGCTGATGCAGGAGAATTGCTTGAACCCAGGAGGCGGAGGTTGCAGTGAACTGAGATAACACCACTGCATTCCAGCCTGGGCGACAGAGTGAGACTCTGTCTCAAAAAAAATAAAAGAAAGTTTACGAACTTGTCTTCTTGTCTTGGGCCGCATTAAAAGCCGTCCTTGGACGGGGGTTGGAAAAGCTTGGCTTAGGCTAAAGCAAAACTGCTTTAGGATTAAGCATTCATTCTTGCATGGATACATTACACTACTTCTGCTTTCAGAAGTGCAATTACAATGTATTTTACTTCTTTTGTAACAAATACTTTGAGTACTTAAAGAGAAACAACACATGTATCCCAAACAGCAACTCTGTACTATGTTAAACAAGAGTTCTATGGGAGAGAAAAAAGTCATCAAGGTGAATGGAGAGTAGGACAGCCTGTTGATCCTTCAAAAGGCAGGTTTGTCTGTTTGGTTTTCTTTACAAAAGAGCAAACCTGGGAATATGTTTCAGGATCCATGTAACTCACCGTAAGATTTATTCAAGAAATCTGTACGTTGTTTATAGGTAAGGAAATGTCTTCTTTGCCTACACAGTTGGCCACGACTGTCTTGATCTGTGTGGTGTTAGGTTACTGTATCTACTTGATGGTAAAAATGTTACAAGAACGGAAGTTGAAATTCTGCACTTTGGTTTATGCAGTCTCATATTTCCAGATAAAGTTAATAAACGCAAAGGACCATATCCCAATGTAACGAGGAGGGTTGGGAGGACAAGCTTCAAGAACGAGTGGGGTGAATTCAACTATCAAAATTGTAAACATGAACAAGAGTCCAGGAATCTTATATTTCATCCGGATACATGAAAGTAGATTTCAAGAGTTGGTCATTCACTTGCACTGCTTCTACTCAGAAAGCAAAAGAACGGCTTCTAAAAAGAAAACACAAGCCTAACACTTCGACAGAGGGGTGAGAGGGAAAAAGCAAGCCACATGAGTCTGACGAACGGGTACGAAAGAAATTCAGAGGGCAAGGAAAGAAGGGGAATGAAGAAGACAGGAAAAGGTGAAGGAGGCGGGCAAAGGCCATCTGGTGTGAACCTGGCTGCCCAGCTCTTTATGCACCCAGGGCAGCGTGGGGCCCCTCTCGCCCCGCGCGCATCTAGGAGCTGGGGCGCAGTGCGAGCCCCCCACGGGCCTGGCAGCCGGGGACGCAGGGCGGGCGGGAGATGAGGGGTGCGCTCGCCGCGGGCGCTGACGCCCCACCAGGTGCCGCACGCAAGGGTCCCCAGGAAGGAGGCGCACTTAGCGCAGCCCTGGCCTCCCGGAGCAGGAAGGGGGTGGGTGGAGCTGAGCCCGGGGCCGCCCTCCGGAGCCGCCCCCGCAGCCCTGGCCCCCGCCCCCCGCCCCGGCTGTCAGCGGCCCCCTCCCGCAGTCACTTACCCGCCGGCTGCGCGGTCTCGGCCGCGGTGGCGGCGGCGACGGCGGCGACCCCCGCCTGGGTCATGATCCCAGGAGGGGAAGGCAGGAGTGTCTGACCGTCTGGGCGAATCTCTCCGTCCGCGGCCACCGCCTGCTCCTCCGGGGCTGGGGGAGCGCGGGCCCAGGCCCTCCTCTCCCCCCGCCCCCGCCGCCTCTTTTTGCGGCCACCGCAGCCGCTGCGAGCCCGAGCCCTCAAGGCCGGAGACCCGGCGGCAGCGCGGCCTCAACTTTCCCAGCCCCCCTCCCCCCGCCCCTCCCCGCCCCTCCCGCGGCCGCAGCTCAGCAAGCGAACAGCCTACCCTGGGCGCGCCGCGTTCCCGCCTCTTTCACTCAACCCGCCAATCAGGCTGCGGGAACGCTGCCGTGGTAGCCAATAAGAAGACAGAATGCCGTTGCACTACGCTAGAGGGCGGGAGGAGGCGGAGAGGAAACCAAGGAGTGAACGGGGATCGGGCGGCCCAATGAGGAGGGCCGGGGGGCGGAGGTGTGCAAGTTGGGTTGAAGAAACAGGAAATATTCTTAAAGGTAGAGTGACGGACAGGAAGGAAAGCCAGTAGGTGAATGGGAAAGAGGTGGGCCTGGTTCCTTAAAGGGGACGCCTTGAGAACCTAGAAAAGAAGGTGTTTTAAGAAACTTCTTTGTATCTTCTTCTGTGGTCTCTTTTCTTCGTCTTTCGGTAGGAGTTTGGAAGTGGAAAAATTGAAAAGGAAGAGGGCACGGAAGTCTTTCGGAATAGTTAGCCCCTCTTAACGTGGAGGGCAGGAAGGTGAGAAGATACGTCTTAGTAAATGTGGAGAAGAAAGAATCAGACGTTTCCGACTTCTCGATAACTGGAAGATTGTTGCTGACTTGACGCTGCTCGCATTCGTAGGCTGTGGTCTCTTGTCATCCTTTATTTGCAACAACACACAGATTTCTGTGAATTGGAGATGGCCATGTTCAGAAATGCCCTGGGGGCCTCCCAGCTGGGACAAGGGAGTTTGGCATTGGGGGATGGGGTTTGAGATCTCAAGCCTGGGTTACTAAATACCTGGATCTAGGAGAGGTAGGGCCAGGGGTCACGAAATGGAGACCTGAGTGCCCCTTAACTCCAGGATCTGTGTGGAGCCCTTGGAACCGTGATCACAACTCCCTCTTCCTAGTTTCGCTTCATATTTTATAACCTCCTGCTGAAACAGGTGTCCTCCACCTAGTTGCGGTTATAGATTTCCAAGCCCTTCCACAACCAGATTTGGAAATATCCCAGATCTTAGATGTCCGTGGGCTAACTTCCAGAAGGTGCACACAGGGCATGGCATAATGGGAATTACTTGAGCCTGTATACAGAAGCAGCAGACATCGCATTGAGCAAAAGGGTAAAGGCTAACAGTAACGGAGTCTTATGTTTGTACAGCAGATTGAAAAGCTATGATGAAACGGAAGGCCTGTAATGTTGCTTATAAACTGTGGTACTAATAAACAGGCTAGAAATTTTCTTTAACTCATCCATCTAGGCACACGAAGTTCTAATTAGCCTTTGAACAGACTTGGCACATCCAAATCAAAACTGCAGATAAGAAAGATTCTACGAGTCAGAGCCATAATAGCAATGCTAATAACATCACCATAAAATTGTATAGTATTGGTATGCTCAGCCATAGGAAACAATTTCCAGTGTGTTCAGAATACAAGGTATTTCTCGTTAACAAATATCATATCCAGGGTGTGCATGATTTCCTAAACAACTGCAATGCATCAATTCTAAAGTAAAAACAAATAGTTTTGATGATTCATGAAACAGAATTTAACCATTCCTTTAGATCACCTTTAAAAAATACACATTAATATATTTCTGGCACGATATAGACGTAGAAAAGAAGAACAATTTCCGTTTGATAAAGATCAGAATATTAGCTTTTTAAATTAATCCTTATTACCTAAGTGTAGCCTAAATCCCAAACAGGGATTTTTCTCTTTTCTTTTCTTTTTCTTTTCCTTTTCTTCCCTTTCCCTTTCCTTTCCTTTCCTTTGTTTTCCTTTCCTTTCCTTTGTTTTCTTTCTTTTCTTTTTTCCTGCGACAGGGTCTCCCTCTGTTGCCAAGGCTGAAGGTCAGTGGCACTGTAACAGCTCACTGCAGCCTCCACCTCCCAAACTCAAGCGATCCTCCCACCTCAGCCTCCCAAGTAGCTGGAACCACATGCCCGGCAATTATTTTTTTCTTTTGGATAGAGATGGGGGTCACATTATGTTGCCCAGGCTGATCTTCAACTCCTGGGCTGAAGCCCAGAGATCTTTTTTTTTTTTGGCTTTACCCATTCAACATCAGTTTCAGATAATCACACCAGTCCTATTTTCAAACTAGCTGGCAGTGCTTACAGTGACCTATATTGGTGGTAAAATATACTGGCCAAGTGAAACTGGTCTATAGGGCTGTTAGTTCATTTTTTTCAAGTGGACAGAGTGAATCTGATTTTCACCCACATTCTTGAGACTTTTCAATGGTGCTGAAAGACTATTTGCATGATATATAAGTACTTCCTTGCATCCCCAGTTTCATATCAAGACCTCCGTTTTTTCCTACTACTGGAGATGAGTGACTGCGGGAGGAGGCTACTGAAAGCCTGGGGCGGCGGCCAGAGCTGCGGGGAGGCCCCGGCCTCAGCTCCACCCACCCCCATCCTGCTCCAGGAGGCAAGAACGCGCAAAGTGAGCCTCCTTCCTAGGGACTACTGTGTGCGGTACCTGGGGGGTGCCAGCGCCCGCGGGGTGCGCACCCCTCTTTTCCCCGCCTGCCCCGCGTCCCCGGCTGCCAGGCCCGTAGATGCGCGCGGGGCGACAGGGCTCCCATGCTGCCCTGAGTGCATAAAGAGCTGGGCAGCCAAGTTTACACCAGGTGACCTTTGCCCGCCTCCTTCACCTTTTCCTGTCTTCTTCACCCCGTCTTCTTTTCTTGCCCTCTGATTCTCTTTCGGAACCACTCGACTCCTGTAGCTTGCTGGGTTTTTTTAGTTTTTCTTGTGTGTTTGTTTTTTGAGACGGAGTCTTGCTCTGTCGCCCAGGCGACTCACTGCAACTTCTGCCTCCCGGATTCAAGCGATTCTCCCGCTTCAGCCTCCTGAGTAGCTGGGATTACAGGAGCACGCTGCCACGCCCGGCTAATTTTTTTGTATTTTTAGTAGAGATGGGGTTTCACCATGTTGGCCAGACTCGTCTCGAACTCCTGACCTCAGGCAATCCGCCTGCCTTGGCCTCCCAAAGTGCTGATTTCAGACGTGAGCCACAGCGCCCGGCCTTTTTTTTTTTTTTAATGGAGTCTCGCTCTCACCCAGGCTGGAGTGCAGTGGCACGATCTCGGCCCACTGCAACCTCCAGCTCCGAGGTTCCAGCGATTCTCCTGCCTCAGCCTCCCGAATAGCTGGGACTACAGGCGTGCGCCACCACACCCAGCTAATTTTTCGTCGTTGTATTATTTATTAGAGACAGGGTTTCACCATAATGGTCAGGTTGGTCTCAAACTCCTGACCTCGTGATCTGCCCACCTCGGCCTCCTAAAGTGCTGGGATTACAGGCGTGAGCCACGGCGCCCGGTCACTTTTTAACTCTCACTTCTCTGTCAAAGTGTTAGGCTTGTATTTTCTCTTTAGAAGCCATTCTTTTGCTTTCTGAATAGAATAAGTGAATGGCCAGCTCTCTTTTTTTAATTATTTTTTTAGAGATAGGGTCTCACCCTGTTGCCCAGGCTGAAGTGCAATGGCATGATCATAGCTCACTGCAACCTCAACTCTTGGGCTCAAGGAATCTGCCTCAGCCTCCCAAGTAGCTAGGACTACAGGCACTTGCCACCACACCTGGCTAATTTAAAAAAAAAAAAAAAAATTGTAGAGACCAGGTCTCACTATGTTCCACAGACTGGTCTTGAACTCCTGGCCTAAAGGGGTCCTCTCTTCTGCCCTCCCAAACGACTAGAATTATAGGCGTAAGCAACCGCTCCCGGCCTAAATGGCCAGCTCTTGAAGCCTACCTTCCATATTTCCCAAAGAAACTGCCCAACTTTTACCCAATGCGGTCATAATATTTGTTTCCACATTCCCAGTGGCAATATACATGGGCTCCAGATATTCCGCAGCATGGCCAACACTTGATATTGTCACTCTTTTTTTTAATTCTAGCCATTATAGTGAGTGTAAATGGTATCTCATTGTGATTTTAATTTCCATTTCTTGGCTGGGCGGGGTGGCTCACACCTGTAATCCTAGCACTTTGGGAGGCCAAGGCAGGCGGATCACCTGAGGTCAGGAGTTCGAGACCAGCCTGGCCAACATGGTGAAACCCCATGCCTACTTAAAATACAAAAATTTGCCAGGCATGGTGGCAGGGGCCTGTAATTCCAGCTACTTAAGAGGCTGAGGCAGGAGAATTGCTTGAACCTGGGAGGCAGAGATTGCAGTGAGCTGAGACCGCACCATTGCACTCCAGCCTGGGCAACAAGAGCAAAACTCCATCTGAAAAAATAATAACAATTCGCCCATTTAAAAATCAATATGTTTGTCTTACTGAATTGTAAAAAATATTTAGGTGCTTTGGATAAAAGTTCTCTCTCAGATATGTGTTGTGCAAATACTTTCACCCAGTCAGTAACTTGCTTTTTATTTGCTTAAGAATGTCAATAAAAAAAAAATAATAAAACAAAATACAGGCATACCTTAGGGATATTTTGGGTTGGATTTCAGACCACCACTATAAAGAGAATATTACAAAAAAGCAAGTCACACACATTTTTGGTTTCCAAGTGCATATAAAAGTTACGCTGGGCCAGGCACTGTGGCTCATGCCTGTGGATTGCTTGAGCCCAGGACTTTGAGACCAGACTAGGCAACACAGTGAGACCTCATTGCTACAGAAAAATTAACAAATAAAAAAATGAGGCGAGAAGATCACTTGAGACTGAGGTCAAGGTTACAATGAGCCATGATCTCACCACTGCACTTCTGCCTAGGCAACAGCAGTGAGACCCTGTCTCACTAAAAAAAAAAAAAAAAGTTATGGCTTGCCAAGTGCATTGGCTCAGGCTTGTAATCCCAACACCTTGGGAGGCTGAGGTGGGAGGATCACTTGAGGCCAGGAAATCCAGACCAGCCTGGATGACAAAGAGAGACCCTGTCTCTACCAACAATAAAAAATTGTAAATTAGCTGGTAGCATGCACCTACAGCCCCTGCTACTTGGGAGGCTGAGGTGGGAGGATTGCTGGAGCCCAGAAGTTTCGGGCTGTGGTGAGTTATGATCATGCCGCTGTACTCCAGCCTAGGCAACAGAGTGAGACCCCATCTGTTAAATAAATAGATAAAATTTTAAATTTAAAATGTTTTAAATTAAATTAAAATTGGAGTCAGTCTTCTCAAACCCTGTTGCTGCTTTATCAAATAAGTTTATGTACTATTCTAAATTCTTTGATTTCAACAATGTTCACAGCATCTTCACCAGGAGTACATTCTATCTCATGAAACTACTTTCTTTGCTCATCCTTAAAAAGCAACTCCTCAGCTGGGCGCAGTGGCTCACACCTGTTATCCCAGCACTTTGGGAGGCCGATGTGGGAGGATCATGAGGTCAGGAGTTCGAGACCAGCCTAGCCAACATGGTGAAACCCCACCTCTACTAAAAATACAAAAATTAGCCGGGCATGGTGGCACGCACCTGTAGTCCCAGCTACGCGGGAAGCTGAGGCAGGAGAATCACTTGAACCCGGGAGGCAGAGGTAGTGAGCCAAGATCACGCCACTGCACTCTAGCCTGGGCGAGAAAGCGAGACTCCGTCTCAAAAAAAAAAAAAAAAAAGAGCAACTCCGCATGTATTCAAGTTTTATCATGAGATTGCACCAATTCAGTCTCATGTTCTGGCTCTACTTTTAATTCTAGTTCCCTTGCTATTGCCACCACATCTGCAGTTATTTCCTCCACTGAAGTCTTGAATTCTTCCCTCAAAGTCATCCATGAAAGCTGGAATCAAGTTCTTCCAAACTCCTGTTAATGTTGATATTCTGGCCTCCTCCCATGACTCACGAATGTCCTTTATTTTTTTTTTTTTCCGAGACGAAGTCTCACTCTGTTGCCCAAGCTGGAGTGCAGTGGCGCAATCTCGGCTCACTGCAACCTCTGCCTCATGGGTTCAAGCAATTTTCCTGCCTCAGCCTCCCGAGTATCTGGGATTACAGGCAGGCGCCACCATGTCTTGGCTAATTTTTGTATTTTTAGTAGAGACGGGGTTTCACCATGTTGGTCAGGCTGGTCTGGAACTCCTGACCTTGTGATCTGCCTGCCTCGGCCTCACAAAGTGCTGGGATTATAGGCGTGAGCCACTGTGCCTGGGGCACGAATGTTCTTTTTTTTTTTTTTTTTTGAGATGGAGTTTCACTCTTGTTGCCCAGGCTGGAGTGCAATGGCACGATCTCGGCTCACCGCAACCTCCACCTCCCAGGTTCAAGCGATTCTCCTGCCTCAGCCTCCCCAGTAGCTGGGATTATAGGCATGTGCCACTACGCCCAGCTAATTTTGTATTTTTAGTAGAGACGGGGTTTCTCCATGTTGGTCAGGCTGGTCTCGAACTCCCGACCTCGGGTGATCCGCCCGCCTCGGCCTCCCAAAGTGCTGGGATTACAGGCGTGCAGCCGCGCCCGGCCACGAATGTTCTTAATAGTATCTAGAGGCCGGGCACAGTGGCTCATGCCTGTAATCCCAGCACTTTGGGAGGCCAAGGCTGGCAGATCACTTGAGGTCAGGAGTTTGAGACCAGTCTGGCCAACATGGAGAAACCCCGTCTCTACTAATAATACAAAAATTAGCAGTATGTGATGGTGCATGCCGGTAATCCCAGCTACTCGGGAGACTGAGGCAAGAGAATCACTTGAACCCGGGAGGCAGAGCTTGCAGTGAACCGAGATTGCGCCACTGCACTCCAGCCTGGGCGACAGAACGAGACTCCATCTCAAAAAAAAAAAAAAAAAAAAGCCTGTAGAATGGTGAAGCCTTCCCAAGAAGGTTTTCAATTTACTTTGCCCAGATCCATCAGAGGCCTCACTATATTAGGGGACTTCACAAAGTTAGTGGAAGGCCAGGCACGCTGGCTCACGCCTGTAATCCTAGCAATTTGGGAGGCTGATGCAGGAGGACTGCTTGAGCCCAGGAGTTTGAGAACAGCTTGGGCGACTTGGTGAAACCCTGTCTCTACTAAAAATCTAAAAATTGGCTGGGCATGGTGGCACGTGCCTGTGGTCCCAGCTACTTAGGAGGCTGAGGTGGGAGGATTGCTTGAGCCAGGAGGTCAAGGCTTCATTGAGCCAGTACATACCACTGCACTCCAGCCTGGGCAACAGAGTAAGACCTTGTCTCAAAAAAAAAATTGTGGAAAAATGGAATTAAAAGATAAAAATTGAAAATATAAACATGATTTCTTGATTTCTTTTTCTTTTTTTTTTTTTTTTTTGAGACAGAGTTTTGCTCTTTTTGCCCAGGCTGGAGTGCAATGGCGTGATCTAGGCTCACTGCAACCTCCGCCTCCCAGGTTCAAGCAATTCTCCTGCCTCAGCCTCCTGAGTAGCTGGGACTACAGGTGCGTGCCACCATGCCCAGCTAATTTTTTCTATTTTTAGTAGAGATGGGGTTTCACCGTGTTAGCCAAGGTGGGCTAGATCTCCTGACCTCGTGATCCACCCACCTCAGCCGCCCAGAGTGTTGGGGTTACAGGCGTGAGCCACCACACCCAACCATAGACATGATTTCTTAACATAAAATCTCCATCAACTTCAAGATACTTTTGTAAGCAACAATACCAGCAATTTAGCCCATCCCTAAAGAACTGAGAGTCCTGGGAATTTAACCATGACAATTCAGTATTTTTAACTAATTATTAACTGAAGAAATGTGAGTTAGGAAACAAAAAGAAGTGATAAGGAGCCAAACCAGGACTGTAAGGTGGATGCCTAGTGATTTCCCATCAAAACTCATGCAAAATTGCCCTTATTTGATTAGAGGAATGAGCAAGAGCATTGTTGTGTTGAAGAAGGACTCTCCAGTGAAAGCTCACCTGGGGGATTTTTCTGCTCAAGCTTTGGTTAACTTTCTCAAAACATTCTCATAATTAGCAGATGTTACTATTTTTTTGGCCCTCCAGATAGTCAACAAGCAAAGTGCCTTAAGCATCTCTTGACCAGTTCACTTGTGCTTTGACTGGACCACTTCCACGTCCTGGTAGCCACTGCTTGGATTGTGTTTTGTCTTCAGGACCACACTGGTAAAGCCATGTTTCATGTCCTGTTAACAATACTTTGAAGAAATGCTTCAGGATCTTTGCCTCACTTGTTTAAAATTTCCATTGAAAACTTTGCTCTTGTCTGCAACTGATCTGGGCACAACAGTTTTGGTACCCATCATGAAAGGGAAAGTTGCCTCAACTTTAATTTTCAGTCAAAATTATATAAGTAGAATCCATTGAGATGTCTATAGTGTTGGCTATTGTTTCTGTTGTTAAATCATTGGTCCTCTTCAATTAGGGCATGAACAAAATTTTTTCTTCACAAATTGATGTGGATGGTCTGCAGCTATGGGCTTCATCTTCAACATCACATCATCCCTTCCTAAAATTATAGATTTGTAAACTGTTGATTTATTTGGGGCATTGCCCCCATAAACATCTTGTAAAGCACCAATGACAATGATTTTACCATTCTTCCACCCAAATGTCACCAAAAATCGTGTTTTTGTTTGTTTTTTGAAACAGGATCTCACTCTGTTACCCAGGCTGTAGTACAGTGGTATAAACACGGCTCACTGCAGCCTTGACCTTCCCAGCTTAAGGGATCCTCACACCTCAACCTCCCAAGTAGCTGGGACTACAGGTACATGCAACCATACTTGGCTAAGTTTTGTAGTTTTTGTAAGAGGTAGGGTTTCATCATGTTGCCCAGGCTGGTTTATTTTGGTGTGAAAAATTTTTGAAATCCATGTGCATAGCTTTTCATAATATGAATTTTCCATGAACTTTTTGGAGACCCCTGTTTTTGTTGGCTACAGCCTTATAAAATGTATTTCCTGAATAATGAGACTTAAGAGTTGAAATTACTCCTTGATCCATGGGCTGCAGAATGGATACTGTGTTAGCAGGCATGAAACATTAACCTCCTGCACATCTCC